>NC_000002.12:6373636-6676666 GCF_000001405.40 Homo sapiens | reverse complement strand
CAATCCTTTAACAAAAATGTATTGAATACCTAATATATGTCAGGGACTGGGGTTAAAATAGATAAGCCCAACCTAATTCAGAGACAGGTAAAGAGAACATCATGCTACAGCTTAAGTGATCTAAGCAATGGGAAGAACATGAACCCTGCAGTTGAGGTGTCCTAGGTTAAAACTTTGACTCAGCTGCTAACCATGTGAGTGACTTGTGGGAACTTCTTCCCTGAGTCCTAATTGTCTTTATTCACTCAATTGGGCTGTGGTATCTGTGTCAGATTGCTGACTGTTCTACATGCCTGGCTTTAGGAATCCTCAGTGTATGTAAGCTCTCACCCTCTCCACGTGTTGCAACATAATTCAAATTTTATCTCCAAGTTTATGACATATTTTCTTTTTCCTAGAATAGTATGAATAAATACCTTTTATATCTAGGTTTTATCATTATTATTTTATTATCCTTGTTAAACAGAATTCCGGACTTTGTATTTCTATGTGCTCTTTCTTCAAAGCTGCTTGCAGATACCGTTGAGACTCTTCTTAGAAAAGGGAGGAAATATCCAGTTTCTCCAAGTCATACCGCTTGCCCAGTTGTCACTTTAGAAGTTAACTGAGAGTATGCCAGACACTAGATGCTAAGGCGCCTCTTTTTCAGAATATCAGTATCTGCTGAGGTGCTAGTGAGCAATGACACACTGCAGTGGTCTCCCTCAAGTAAGCTCTCACAGCCAGATCATCGCGGGACTCTAGTGTTCCCTTGTGCACATGTGAGTTCCTGACTGTACAGCATCCTTTGATGCCAGCCCAGGAGTTCTCTCCTCTATCACCTGGGTGAGAATCTAGGTCAGGAAGACCCAGACACTTGGCAGTGGCTGCCTCTGTGTGTGTATCTGTGGGGGCGTTTGTGTGCCTGTGTTTAGATCTTGCTTTTTGTTACACCATGTGCTGTGTAGACTATTTATTTTAGACCATTTTAATACTTATATTTTATTATAAATATCTTATTATTTATTTATTTTAAAATGTAAAAGTATATTTTGCCTTGGTAATTACATAGCATGTTTTGAGGCAATTAGAGATGTCCTAAGGAATTGTTTACTCGGGAGAAAATAATCGTTATCATAGTGACAATAGCTACAATGAATTGAGCACGTTTTATGAGCTAGGCTCAGCTCTAGACACTTTACAAACCCTTTTTCTAATCCCCACCTCAATCCTACAAGAACCAACTGTGTCACCCTTCTTTTGCAGGTGAAGGGATTGAGGCTCGGGGGAAGAAACTTAATTTGTCCACAACTATGTGGTTCATTAGAGCTTCTACAGTGGAATTTGACCCTGGTTTTGTCTGAACCTAACTTCCAAATTATCTCTAGTTTTCCACCCATCCACGATTCCATGAGAATTGGGAAAGAAAAGTGCATCTCAAATTGAAACACATACACAGTTAGTGTCTATTGTGCCTGGAATAAGTGAAAGTTTTGAAAAAGTTTGGAAGAACTCAACTTTGTAGTAAACTCTCTGTAGATTTGCTTATCACATGTGATTCGTATTTTTATAAGGTGTTGGAAAGACAGTTCCCAGAGTGCAAGGGTTTGGAAGTGCAGGAGACCAATTCCAGGTGAGTGTGTGCTCCTCTCCCTCCTTGCAGCTTCCTATCCCCTTTAGTGCACCATTTTTAATTGGTCTTTTCAAGCTTATTTATGCCCCTATTCAACTGTGAGCTACTTAATTGAAGGATTTGTCTCAGTCATCTCTGTGTCCTCAACATCTAATACCACTTTCTGACATACATGCTACAAGACACTTGCTGGTACTTAAAAAAATTGACGAAATATTACAAAATCTGTATTTTATAATAGAAATAATTTAGTTTTTAGTATATTTAGAACATATCTGTTATCACTTAGCATTGCTCATGTAGCCAAATCTGTTAAAATCTATTCTGTTCTACTGACTCATAGTTTGGGTAATTTTCTGCTTCATCTATTTCATATAATCCCTTTTCAGCAACCCCTGACAAAGCATTCACTGTGAAAAATGTCTTAAAATACACTTTGGTTACAATTAGGCATTCCAGTTGCCTGCTGTAATGTTATTTCAGTTCTTTACCCAGTGGGGTGCCCTTCCCCAGCCACGTTTTTGGGCATTATTAAGGAAAGAGTTGAGGCTAAGCCTTCAACCTGGGCCTGTTAGTAACGTCCCAGTAGCCCTGGTGCCCGTCAAGCAGTGGTGCATTCTTCTGTGGACTTTCCTGGCACAGCACCATCAACCCTCCCAATGCTGCATCTCCCTCCACTCTTCCACCCACTTGTGCCTAGCCACCTCCACCTACCTGTGTCTCATTGTGACAGGCAGTGACGGTTAATACTGAGAGTCAACTTGAATGGACTGAAGGATGCAAAGTATCGTTCCTTGGTGTGTCTGTGAGGGTGTTGCCAAAGGAGATTAACATTTGAGTCAGTGGACTGGAAAAAGCAGACCCACCCTCAGTCTGGGTGGGCACTATCTAATCAGCTGCCAGCACAGCCAGAATAAAAACAGGCAGAAGAACATGGAAGGACTAGACTGATTTAGCCTCCGAGCCTCCATCTTTCTCCAGTGTTGGATGCTTCCGGCCACTGAACATCCGCTCCAAATTCCTTAGCTTTGGGACTCGACTGGCTTCCTTGCTCTTCAGCTTGCAGATGGTCTATTGTGGGACCTCACCTTATGATCGTGTGAGTCAATACTCCTTAATAAACTACCCTTTAAGTGTCAAGGCCCTGAGGTCTGATTCAGAAGCTGCCAGATTTATATCAGCCTCGGTGATTTCTCAGCCAAATATTCCTTCTCTAGTATCTAGTATCTAGATGGACCACATTGCTTTCTTCTTTCCACTGCTGTTCTTTTTTTTTTTTTTTGAGATGGAGTCTTGCTCTATCACCCAGGCTCGAGTGCAGTGGTGCGATCTCAGCTCACTGCAACTTCTGCCTCCCGAGTTCAAGCGATTCTCCTGCCTCAGCCTCCCAAGTAGCTTGGACTACAGGTGTACGCCACCTTGCCAGGCTAATTTTTTGTATTTTTGGTAGAGACGGGATTTCACCATGTTAGCCAGGATGGTCTTGATATCCTGACCTCGTGATCTGCCCGTCTCGGCCTCCCAAAGTGCTGGGATTACAGGCGTGAGCCACCATGCCCGGCCTTCCACTGCCATTCTTATGCTTCTCTGAAATCACATGCATAAACTTCTCTAATTAGAACAAAAGTATCTTTGAAGGAGGGAGCCATGTCCAGTTTGCTCTATCCCTTCTCCTTTTCCTTCTGCTTTCTCTCTTCTTATACATTAAAGATGCTTCATGGATGGTTTTGACAGAATGGAAGAAGATAGTACCTTGGCTGTCTGTGGGGATACAGTAGAAAGAACACACTGATGCACTAGCTGCAGATGACCAGCAGCTGAATTCCACCCTTTGCAAGAAATCGTGAGCTCATCGCCTTCAAAACATTCTTTCTTCTTAAAACATGCAGGGGATTTTAGCGAGGCCCTTTAGCTAATGAATCTCCACATCCAAGATTCCTGCTCCGGGAAACTCCCTGTGGCCTCCTTCCTTCCTAGGGACTTGGTCTGCTCTCTACTTTCTTCCCCATAATAGCAATGACATCTTTGACATTTACTGCTTGTTGAATTTTTCTTTTCCTCCAAACCAGTTACAGTGTTTCTCTTGTTTTTCTTGCTTTTCTTATATCTTAGTAGGGTTTTGATAAATATGTATTTGTAGAAAGACTGGTCGAATGGATGAACAGAAACTCTAATATCCTGCTAATTTCTTCCAGTGATGTGTAGCAGTCACTAAATCCTGCTAGGTCATACTAGAAGCTCTTTTCCCATCTTATTTTGCTCCCCAATCCCCCTACAAAATAGAGCACACAGATCTCTCTCACTCAGATATCATATCTCTAAGTTGATGTTTCCTAAAAGTGTTTCTATAGAAGAACACTAGCTTTATAACAGGCTCTAGTAAAAAAAAAAAAAAAAGAAAAAAGAAAAAAGAAAAGATGAAAGGCCACATAAATTACTTGACTGATAAATGTATTTTTTTCTGAGTAATATCTATTCATATCAGAATCAGTTTGGAAAGCACTCTTCTATGTATTCATTGTTTTCTACTACACAAAAGCTCTTCTCATTTGAAGATTTTTAAACATTCCCTAAAATACAGTAATTTAGCGTATGAAAATTCTGGATACAGAGAAGATTCTTAATATCTTTTTCCTTTGACAATCAGAGGACTCCTTGCGCAATGACAAAACATCAGTGGCATCAGGGATTGGATATTGCTCTCCCTTGAAATTCCAATGCATGGGTCACTTTCTTCTAGCACCCCTTTGGAATTGCATAAATAAAGCACATCACAGATTTTAAAGCTCTGTAATGGAACTAATAGCTTTTTCAAAGATATTCTTTAAGACCTACTCAAATCCTGCAAGACATAATAAATGAGGGAATGATGAGAAGCATTTATTTCTCAGTGTATAACTGTAATGCCTCCTCTCTACACTCACAATTTATGAGGAGTAAGGATTTTTTTTGTGAGTGGAATGCATTACGTTAGGTAAAAAAATTAATGGCCATCTGTAAATGTGGGGATGGCTGGCAAATCTGTTATGCATGTTGTAATAAAAATGGTTTATTGGGCTATCAAATTCAGACACAGGAGTCAAAAACTGCAGACTCCATTGGGTTACATGCTTGGACCTAACACTGTCTTCATGTACCCTGGAGTTTTCCTGAATCACAGTTCTTCTGGCCCATTTTGAAGGCATTTAATGAAATGGCTTCCTTTTAGGATGTTAATCCTTAGACATGTGGCTTCTGCTTCTGAGCCCTAGGCTCCTAATATGAAAACGATAGGTTAGATTAGATATACTCTAAGGTTCCATGCACACAACTTTCTAGGATTGAAAATCCTTTCTCATGGACATAGTCTAAAATAAACCTAGTTAGGCTGAAATTCTCTCTATTTCCATACTGTGTAAGAACAAAAGAAATGATGTACCCACATTTTTTTTCAAAACCTCTTGTGTCAGGAAGTAAGGACTTGCTCAGAGAACAGGGACACACATCATGAAGTACAGGGGTCAGCTTGGAGGGAGTGCCACTGGCCGAATCAGAAAGAGTTTGAGCATCAAAAAATTAACAAAGAATGGCAGTGATGGCTTATAGAACCAACGGAACAAAATGAGAATCCATGAGTTCATATTGATATAAATCAATCAATCAGGAGCATAAAGTGCTTATCCCTGCAGTCCTGATGATGTTGACTTTGATCACATGGTTTGGGTGGTCTCTGCCGGGTTTCTCACTGCAAAGTTACTGCTTTTTTCTTTGTAAAATATTACTACTCTGTAGCAAGATACTTTGAGACATGTGAACATCCTGGTTCTCATCAAACTTTCACTACTAGCATCCACCCACGATTCTTTCCTGCATCATGTGCTTGCTGTGATGGTTACCACATAGTGAGTCTCTTAATAACCATTTCTTCCACATTTGTGATTGATTGGCATTCTGTTCTAAAGCTGAGTCCCCCCACCTCTAAAATTTATTTTTTGTTTGCTTATTTATATCAGTATGGACTCAATGACTCTTGATGAAGATTATACAGGTGATACGGTTTGGCTCTGTCCCCACCCAAAATCTCATCTTGAATTGTAATCCCTATAATTCCCTCATGTCAAGGGGTCAAGGGAAACACCAGCTGGAGGTACTTGGATCATGGGAGCGGTTCCCTCATGCTGTTCTCATGAGAGTGACCGTGTTCTCATGAGATCCGATGGTTTTATAAGTGTTTGGTAGTTCCTGCTGCATTCATTCTGCTTCCTGCTGCCTTGTGAAGAAGGTGCCTTGCTTCCCCTTTCCCTTCCTCCATGATTGTAAGTTTTCTGAGGCTTCCCCAGCCATGCTGAACTGCGAGTCAATTAAACTTCTTTCCTTTATAAATTACCTAGTCTCAGGCAGGTCTTTATAGCAGTGTAAAAACAGATGCTTAATATGAGTCTTGATAGTTTCCTATGTCTAAAATTATTTTAAAATGATAAGTTTATGAAAACTGTACACATGTGCCACAGCAAACTGGGGAATGAATCCTTGGCTCCCAGTGGTTTCTCAAACAAAACAGCCCTCGGCTGCCTTTGCTTTCCTTATGATAGCCAGTGCCTTCTCAGGACTCACCAACCTGAGAGTACAAATTGGGTACATAACAGAGCAGTATTTCTCTGCCATAGCCACCAACTGCATCATCGCAAAAGTAAAAATAAACAAATATTCAAATAAACACATGTGCGCACACACACACACACACACACACACACCTGAAATCCTCTGAGGGTCTCTAGCTCAGTATTCAGGCATCCCCTTGTGGGCTTCGTATGAGGCCGGCCCTGCCTATAGCACATGGAGCAGTGGGGTTCCTCATACCCACCATGTTCTCTAATGCTGAAATTGAGGCGAATCTGAGTCCTTGCCCATATTGATGGGCTTGTTCTGTGCTCCAAGTGCCATCCATCTGCTTAAGATGGGGGCCACAGTGTGATGTGATGTCCACTTGTGCCTCCCTTATTACCTGAACATGAAATAAGCCATTTCATACCGCTGTGGTGTAAATGCTGTGTCACCCCTTCTCCCACCTTATTTTTTAACAACTTTTTTTTTTTAGGTTCAGAGGGTACATGTGGATGTTTGCAACATGGGTAAATTGCATCAGACACATACTCTTGATAGCTTACAAAGATTTTTATCATTCAGGTATCCTGCTTCTGTGCCCCTTCTTCCTGGAGCGTGAGCACAGAAGGTCAGGAAAAAGGCTGGGATTCAGAGGATGATCTAAGGGGTCCATACCTCTCATCCCAACAATTACTGGCAACCTTTGGATCAAGCTTATGCACTTAGATTCTTGTTTCCCATAAGTCTCTTCAGTGGTTCGTACTCACAGGTTTCTGAAAACCATGCCTCAGATTTGCCCTAGATTGGAGGTCACCTGACTCTGGATTCTGGTTTCCTAGGAAAGAAACAGTTTATGCCTGTTGTCCTACTGATATTAATAATGCCTCGTTTCACTCACAAAAATGTTACTGTTTAGATGACATGTTGACATGTTTATTATTTAGCCAGCCTATCTACAGAGGGTAATGTAACCATACACGCTTTTACATTTTGGTTTCCCCAGAAATTTCAGACCAACTGGATAGGAGGGTGAAACTTAGGACCACTCCCAGGGTGAGTGCTTGTGTCTAGGAACAGGGTCAGAAAGCTCTACCGCCATAATTGTTTTCATGGTTCTGCCGGAAGACAAATTAATCAGGTAAAGTGGAAAAGTGAAGGGGGGAGTCTAAAGAAAAATGTTTATTGATAAGCTAAGGCTTGGGATCTCAAAAAAATTAGAGTGTGATGACTGTGGGGATGGGTGAGCATTTAGCATAAAGCTCCATGAAGCTTCTCCCGGGACAAGGGCACTGTGCAGGCCACAGCAAGTTACCACTGCTGTGCTTAGGGGAGAGGGTAGGGGGATGCTCCGGTGCAAACCCGGACAATTCGGCTTCAGTATAGATTGAGGTACATGCCAGGACCTAGGAGCAAACCCTGTCTTGTGTGAGCACCAAGGAAGGAGAAGCGGAAGGAACCGGAGGAATCACCACTTGCTGGGCCCGAGCACGGCAGCAGCTCAGCCTGGTGGATGGGAGGGGAAACGTGGCAGGCAGTTCAGTACGCTTGCCTAGAGTCAGAGCATGTGAGGCCTTGAAAGTCCAGCCAAGGATAGGGCTCGACAGGTACCGAGTGTGAACATAAAATGTACAGCACTGTTTGTCACTGAAAGATTGAAAAGTGAATTATGAAAGGGTAGACATGCGCTCCAGGACTTCTCAACAAGAACCCATTTTCATCCTTCCCTTTGAGAAGCCCATTCTGGTGAATGCACTGGGTTTTGACTATGAACAGGAATGCAGTCACCAATGGCGGTGGCACCTGGAGCAAATTAGTCCAACAAGATGGTCACCTCTGCCCCAGGGTGGTTTCCTTCTGTGATGGATGGAGTTGGGGTAAAGAAACATTTGACTTGGGCATTTCTCTCATCTCAGAATAACAAAAAGGCATAACTCAGTTTTACCCCAGGCAAAGGAACATATAATCTCTTCCATCTGTGCAGCCCCTGGCTGTTCCCGAGGCTGCTCTCCTTCATTTCTAACTCATGGGCAAGGAGCAGTGGCTTGGGAATCAGCTTTGGGTTCCAGCCTCAATTCAGTGGCTCATTTTGTGACCTTAGATGTGTCATTTACAGGAGGGGAAACTAATACTTTTGAGCACATACTATGTGTTGGCCAGGCTTTTACATTCATTCCTCACCCCACGTGTATTAATTAACCTCCACTGTATGTCAGACACTGAGCTAAGTAGTAGCCACACAGAGGTCAGTAAAACAGAAATTGAGTCCTTAATACTCATTAAATCCCCCTGGGAGTGGTGGTTTTTACCTCCATCAGACAATTAGGAAGACTGAGGCATGACAGGGTACCTTGCCCCAAGTCACACAGGAATATGGTAGTCTAGAGATTTATGTACATATTCATGTCTCAGAGGCAAAGCCTTAAGTTTTCCTCACTTGTAAACATATGATGATTGGATTGGAGTGCTGCTAATGACCTTCCTATCTCTAGAATTCTATGACACATTTTTAAAAGTTCCATGCAGCAACCTCATGGAATAGCTAGGTCAGCTGGTTATCTTTTTAACACCTGGATTCTCAGAAACTGTAGTTGTACATAAATTGTCCTGTTCCCTTTCCATTATATGATATATCACTGGCAGGCTAAAACATAATGGCATCACACTTTCCATGTGATTAACCTTTTGAAAATAAGTTGAGGACAGATCTCACCCCGTCAAGAAAGAAAAATTGAAGCCTTTTATTTTTTTTATCTTAAAGGATGGTCTCTAGGGACTGAGAAAAGAAATTTGAAAGGTGGGAATCACAGACCTCCTAGTACGTAAGTGAAGTAGAAGTATTTTTGTCTTCGGTATAACTTTGAAATGCTGATAAGACCAACTAGGGAAAATGCAGCTAACTAGCGGAAGAGTTTTAAGCAAATCATTGCATATATCCACATGCCATTATGGTGAGTTGGCAGAGTAAAATAATGTGAGGCTCTCTGATGGCTTGTGAACCACATCCAATGAGGATCTGGACTGCAGACTTGTTTGGCCTGATTAGGGTCAAAACTAATCATAAACTGCTGAGTACATACGTCTTTAGGAGGAGCATACACTCTTCTGTGCCCTGTATAGTTTTTCTCCTCCCTTTTGCCATATATCCAGCAGCCTTACCCATGCCCAGACCCTGGAGATTCATCTGTGAGTACCACCTCCTCATGTAGTGGGAGATCCCCTGGGTCATGGCAACTCCAGGTTGGGTGCCAGAGAGAGCAACTGAAGAGTGGGAAGAGAACACAGAGGCTTCACACAAGGCACTCTGGCTCTCACTGGCCCATCTTCTGGTTCCACTGAGATAATCCTCTGAACCTTGTTGGTTCTATCTGAAAAACCAATCAACAGCCTTGCAGGATTTTGTGAGAAGTAGAAATAAGAAATAATGAGAAAAGCCCTAACCTATGACCAACCTGTCACTGCTGTTCTTTAAAGGACAGCTGTCATTATGTCTCAGTTCATATGGCTGCTGTAATAAAAAAAAAAAAAAAAAACCCAGAAACTGAGTGGCTTAAACAAAGACATTTATTTTTCACAGTCCTAGAGACTGGGAAATCCAAGATGAATGCAGATTTGGTGTCTGGTAAGGACTTGCTTCCTCATAGATGGTACCTTCTTGCTGTGTCCTCCCATAGTGGAGGGGGTAACCAAACTCCCTGGAACTTCTTTTATGAGGATGTGAATCCCATTCATGAGGGCCCACCCTCATGACCGAATCACCTCCCAAAGGCCCCACCTCTTCATACCAACACCTTGGGGGTTAGGGTTTTAACATACGAATTTTGAGGTGGGGCACAAACATTTAGTCCGTAGGACATGACTGTGTTCTTCTGTTCATTTTGCATGTCTTGCGCATGTAAAAGTGCTCACCACTGTGCTTGGTTCAGAAACTACAAAGAAACAAAACTGTTATTTTATTTTCAGGAAGTGATATGGTTTGACTCTGTGTCCCCACCCACATCTCATCTGGATTTATAATCCTCACATGCTGAGGGAGGGATGTGATTGGATCATGGGGGCAGTTTCCCTATGCTGTTCTCATGATAGTGAGTTCTCATGAGATCTGATGCTTTTATAAGTGTTTGGAAGTTCCTCCTTCACTCTTCTCTCTCCTGCTGCCATGTGAGGAAGGTGCCTGCTTCCCCTCTGCCTTCTGCCATGATTGTAAGTTTCTTGAGGCCTCCCCAGCCATGTGGAACTGTGAATTAATTAAACTTCTTTCCTTTATAAATTACTCAGTCTTGGGTATTTCTTTATGGCAGTGTGGAAAAAGACTAATATAGGAAGCATGTCTTTTAGTGGTTCATCTCCTTATATTGGTAAATGGGAGCAGAAGGGGTTGACTACAGGATATCTCTGATCCTGGCCACATTCTCAGCTCTGTGATTTTTCAAGGGAAGTGCTGCTTCTCCCAGTAATGAAGAGGCATCTTGGTTCAACCCTGTCCCTTGTCTGGATAGCATATGCATAATTAGCTCGTTTTCTTCTAAGACTCTTTGTTTAAGAGGGTTTGGTAGATTTGCTAACTCAGTTGCTTGTTTATAACTCTTGTCATACAGTCAATTACAGAAGTCTTTGAATGTTACTGAAAATGTGTTTGGCTTAATCAGTTCTGACAGTGGTGGGGACAGATTGAGAATCTGCGTGCCCTGCAAAGAAGCTGCCAGTGGGCTTGGCTCAGGATGGATCTCTTTGCATTACCAGGGTGACTGTGCTGAGAAATTTCACCTCTCAACAAACCACTCTATCACCTCTACCAGCAAGTTAAGCAGAATTGGTATTTAGAATTTTTAGGAGCCCAGAAGACTTCCTCTAAACTTTAACAGCAGCAGCAACCACCACCACCGCCAAATAGTGCAGTCAACAGCAGAGGAACTCAGCAGGTGCTGGAGTCAGATTTCCGGGTTCAAACACCAGTGACACCACCTCCTAGGCATGTGACTTGGGCAAATGAATTAACTCCTCTATGCCTTGGTTTCTTTATCTCTAAAACAGCATCAGAGAAAGGATAATAGAACACAGCTCAGGGTGGGGAAGCGCTTACATGAGAATATGTGTGAGGCACTCGTCCAGCACCTGGCACATGGTAAGCATTCAGTGAAGGTGAGGAGTCACATTCACTCCCTTGTGCCAGGCACAGAGATCATTTCTCTACAGAGGTTAGTGCTAACATGGGAGCTAAGAAGTAATGAGAGCTTATGTCATGCCAGGATTTCCTCTAAGTGCTTGTGAAAGTTAATTTTAGGTGTCAACTTGGCTGGGTTAAGGAATTCCTAGAACCCTGGTAATGCGTCGTTTGTAGGTATGTCTGTGAGGTGTTTCCAGAGGAGATTAACATGTGAGTTTGAGTGGACTAGGTGGGGATCATGGAATCGGCTAGGGCCCTGGAGAGAACAAAAACACAGAAAAGGTGAATGTGTCTATCTAACAGCGGGAGCTGTGATACATATTTCCTTGGGCAACAAATTCAGGCTCCCAGTCTTGGGACTCCAGAACTTACATCAGTGGCACACACTGAGAGTGGTCTCACACTGAGAGTTACACCATGAGCTTCTCTGGTTCTGAGGCCTTGGTTCTTAGACTGAGTCACAACACCCCAACGTCTCCAGGTTGCAGACAGCCTGCCCTGGGACTTCTCAGCCTTCAAAATTGTGTGAGCCAATTCTCCTAATAAATCCTCTCTCATATTTCCTATTGCTTCTGTCTCCGTGGAGAATCCTGATTAATACAGTGCTCTACCCATATTAACTTATTTTAATCTTCAGAAAAATTTAATAAATTAAAAACATGTTTTTATTTCATAGAAGAGGAATCTGAGGACTAGCAGAGTCTGGACATGAGCCCCACGTTTATCTTACTACAAAGCGAATGCCTAAGATCACAGCTTTAAGAGTAGCTACTGCTTGTCATTCTGCCCTGGGCCAGTGACCTCATAATGGAAGCTTGGCTGTTCTTCCAGAAGCTGGGGTGCTGGAGACTGAGAGAGGAAAAGAACTACCTTTGCAATCTTTGACAGCAGAGAGACTAAGGCAGAATTTTCTGATTTCGTATAGTATTTTGACAAATGTGTAAAATGCCCAGAATGTGTAAGCTGCTAAATGAACATCCTGGCCCTGGATATGGAGATGAGAAAGATGTTTTCTCCCCTTCTCCGGCACCAGCATTCATTCTGACATGACTGTTTCTTCTGTCCTTCCTCCTTCTCCTTCATCTCCTTCTCCTTCTCCTCCTTCTTATTCTTTTCTCCCTTCTTTTAAATCCACTTCAATGTCTGCTCTACCATTTACCTTTTTCAGGCAGCATGCTTAATAAGAATGCAAAATGTTCTGGAAAGTCACTACTCAAAAGTGTAGCTCCACAGGCTGGTAGTGTTGGCCTCCCCGGTAACTTATCAGAAACATGGAATCTTAGGCCCCACCCCAGTTCTCCAAATCAGAACCTGCATTTTAACAAGATCTCTAGGTAATTTGCGTGCACATTGAAGTTGGAAAAGCAATGGGCTAGAAGGAATATGAACTTTGGCAACTGAAAGAAATAGACTTGAATCCCAGCTTCTCCATTTGTTATCTGTGTTGCCTTGGAAAAATTGCATAACCTTTCTGACATTGTTTTCTAATCTATAAATTGAACTTCATAATATCTTGTAAATTGTTTTAAGAATTGGTGATAATAAAGTTAACTACAGTTAATCCTCTGTACCTGGTAGAGTGTGAAATGTTTAACATCTATATTCTTTCTCATTTCAACCTCACAACAATACTATTAAGTTTATGCTGACTATATCTCTTGATGCAAATGAAAAAGTTTAATTTACGAGCAGGAAGTGCCATGCCCGGGGTTGCAAGTCAGTAATTGATGAAATCAGCACTTGTCAGAGCTTTGGTTCCCCAAAGAGTGGAGCGGATGATTATTATAATAATTCCATCCAGAATGGAGAGATGTCTTGGTATTCACTTTTTTATTTCTTTAATATCCGTGTGTCTTTCCAACACCATTCAAATTATTTCACATTCCTTGTTTCATTCACCTGGTGTTATGCAATATATAGAATGTCATTATTTAGTGTCTATAAAGCAATATCCTCTCTAATGAGTGAAACATGCTTTCTCAAAGCCCATTGGGTTGTGAGCAATATGGCTGTCAGAAATCAAATCAGTCGAACATCTGATAGTGACCTCCAAGGGTGTGGTTCTTCCCCTGATAAAATTTCCTCCCTCCTCTCCTTCAGGGCAATTGGAAGGGAACTAACTTTGCTCCTCTGAGATCTGACCCCTTCCAAACCTGGCTAAAGCCAGGGCTACTCCTTTCCCCATCCAGGTGTCTGTAAGGTGGCAAGACGTCTTTTTCTTTTTTAGGGCTGTGTCTGAAAAAGACTGTCTCAAGGGAATCCTAAATGGAGACTTCTCCTTGGCCACATTACATCTCGCTCTGGCCCACTTGGCCCCGTTTAAGAAGCTCGTGAGAGAGCATCATGAGCATTCCTCTCAGCAGCATCCAAGAGGGATCCTGCTCAGAGGATGCTAACTTGGTTTTGTTTGTAATTGTATTACAAGGAGTTTTGTCAATGTTTCTAGACCTAGGATGCTTTAAGAATCATTAGGATTAATCAGGTTATAAATCCTTGCCGGGCGTCATGAACAGCATCATCTCATAGTCTCTTTTTAAGGAATAAAAGTGACCCAGACAGATGTTCTGCTAAGGATGTGCTGAGTGTGTTACAGGTATGGGAATTCTTTGGGGTCTGCATGGAGCCATTGATGAATTAGGAGCAGACAGAGGAGGCTTTCAAAAGAACAGGAACTCTGCTGCAAGATCAGAAAGAGGCCTCACTAGATTCCTATAAAAAGAACATAATGAGGCCAGGTGCGGTGGCTCACGCCTGTAATCCCAGCACTTTGGGAGGCCGAGGCAGGCGGATCACGAGGTCAGGAGATCGAGACCATCCTGGCTAACACGGTGAAACCCTGTCTCTACAAAAATACAAAAAGAAAGTAGCCAGGCATGGTGGCGGGCGCCTGTAGTCCCAGCTACTCGGGAGGCTGAGGCAAGAGAAAGGCGTGATCCCAGGAGGCGGAGCTTGCAGTGAGCTGAAATCGCGCCACTACCCTCCAGCCTGGGCAACAGAGCAAGACTCCATCTTAAAAAAAATAAAGAAAAAGAAAAAGAAAAAGAAAAAAGAACATAATGAAATGAGGTGTGACCTCACACTTTAATCTTGATTTCCAAAGGGAGCTCATCTCCCCAAGTCCTTCTCCCTGTCTCTGTGAAGTCCTCTGCACAATGGCCACCAGCAGCTGACAAAGATGAACAATGCCTGCATGCTTCATCTAGTGTGCTCGTAACGGATGCAAGAGGAATAGAGGAAGGGGCTGAGGACTGGAGATTGATTTTGACATTGAAATGTGATGGCTGCTATGGGATGACGTGTGTCCTGCCCTGGGGATAGCCCTCCTACACAGAGCACCTTGTTTTAATTCACATATGTTTCTCTGTGCTCTCTCAAACTGGTTCGGCAGTTGAGGCTTAATTTTTTTTTTTTTCTTCGAGACAGAGTCTCGCTCTGTCACCCAGGCTGGAGTGCAGTGGTGCCATTTCGGCTCACTGCAAGCTCCACCTCCTTGGTTCAAGCGATTTTCCTGCCTCAGCCTCCAGAATAGCTGGGACGACAGGCACGTGCCACCATGCCCAGCTAATTTTTTGTATTTTTAGTGCAGATGGGGTTTCACCATGTTATCAAGGGTAGAAAATAGACCACCTGGAAAGAAGAAAAAATGTCTAAGATACACATGCATTTGGAGTTTTCAAGTCCTTCAGTGAACAAATTGGACTAAAGGCTCTCAGTGACACATCAGATATATGGGGCCCATGTAGCATGGGAAACTTGAGTTGCAGATCTAGCCGTCGGGGGGCTTATGGTATTCCATAATGCCATCGCACTGATTCCCACAATCCGAAGCTGATCCACCTGCCATGGGGGAGATGGAGGCACAGCCCAGCTTCTTAAGCAGCTCACCCTCTTAAGCAGTCCAGCGCAGAGTGAAGCTGAGCCTGTCCGCTGTGGGCAGCGCTCTGAGAGGGGGTAGTCATTACTCTTTACCTTACAATAAGGAGAAATTTGGCATGTAAAGTTATGTAACGTTTTACTTAAGTTTTCTGAAATCAGCTTGAAAGGGTGTAGGTTAAAATCTCCAGTGGTTTTAGCATGAACTGTGACTTAAAAGGGGTCTCTCATTATGAAGTTCAAAATTTAAAAAATGTGTTCTTGACTATATTTTATCGAATTAGCAGAGAAACTCACTTTAGATATTTTCTTAAAACAATTAATTAACAACCTGGTGCCAGATGAAGCTAGGGGTCTGGAGTGGCGCCAGGGCCTCTGAGAGACTGAATGGGGCTGGAGTCCTCTGTGAGGCGCCCTCACATGGGCTCTGATATGTGTGGTGTCCACAAGCAGCCTCTCGGTGCTTGTTCACTTGACTGACCCAGTTTGTTTTTATATAAAACTTTTATAAAACTATATCACTAAATATTTTTAAACTGGCTACTTTACATTTTGTACTGCCTAAAATGTTACAAAAACTTACATAACTTTTATATGTTTCCAAGAATATTGGCCCACGTCTATATGGCACCCCATGGCCAGATCATTTAAGGAATGACAGAGATGGAATGAACGTACACGGCCGTCACTGTTTCTCACGACAAACTCTTCCTCCCATGCCCAAGAAGAGTCTCAAAACAGGTATGAAAGAGTGAAAGACAGAGCTCTCTAACCTTCGTGTAAGGAAGTGACTTTTTTTATAGTAAGTTTTCATCTTATTTTAAAAATATATATTAATTATAGAAAATTTAGAAAATACAGGTAAGCAGAATAACACAAACAGTAATACTAATAACAACTAAGTAACCAGTACTCCCACAGTCTAGTGACTACACAGTGATTACACAGCAAAGTTTCTTTCCAAATACTTCGCCCTGGACCCTGCATGGACTACATTTTCAAACATGCATCTTACGACACATACTGTTTTTCTACGTACTTTTTCATTGAACATGTTATTTTTCATGCGATGATTCTTCTTCCATACAGGTCAGCTAACCTTTTCTGTAACGGGCCAAATAGGAAATATTTCAGGCTGTGTTTCAACTACTCAAATGCTGCTGTTGTAGTATAAAAAGGGCCATAGATGCCACATAAAAGATCAAGCATGGCTGTGTTCCGATAAAAGTTTATCTATGGGCACTGTAATTTGAATTTTGTATAATTTTCATATAATGTCATGTATTATTCTTCTTTTAATTTTTTTTCAACCATTGGAAAGTATAAAACCCACAGCTTGCAAGCCACACACAATGGCAGCCAGCTGTTGTCAGCTGACCCTTGTCCACAACATCCCCTCGAATGGCAGCATTGTATTTTAGTGCACTGTACATTCTTAATGTAGGCAATTTCCCAATGCTGAACAGGTAGCTTACTTCCTTTTTACTTTTTGCTCTTTTAAAGTCTACCATAATGAATGTCTCTGTGTACAATTGCTGGATTAAAATGTATTCCCATTCCCAATGATTTTGCTTTGTATTTTCAGAATGCCTAAAAGGCAACTGCCCACATGCCTAGAACTCATTGGAGATGAAGGGGTGTCACACACACAGGAATAGGGGGCCATAAACAGAGGGCATGTTAATCAGCAGGTCCCTGACGCTGCCAGGAAAATGCTGGTAAAGGGGCAGACGCAGAAGCTGCCAGGATAGAGGAAGAAGCAAAACTCTGTGTCCTCATTGCCATTCTTTGGCAAAAATAGCAGAATTTCTAGAAGGGGAATCAGTTTTTTGCCAGGCCCTGGTCTTCAGCTTATGTCTGTCCCATCGGGTTACAGTAGAATCATAAGGGAAATCATTCACGGGGCCTTGCTCATGTGACTGCTCCGTGAAGGTGAAGCCCCAGCGGTCATCCTCAGACAGACCCATCACGCTGGGCAGGGGAGGGCTTCGGTCTCCTCTGCTGCTTGCGTGCAGGATCCAGAGCTCCTGCCAATAAAGTGACAAGCCCTGGTCACCTGCCCCAGGCTCCCTTCACTCATGGTGTTTTATGCTTTGGGGTCTCCATGTTCTTTCCTGCTGGAGGCCTTTGTCAGGGCCTCCTCTTCTATCAAACGCTACTAATAACATCCAACCGGAAAATGGAAAGGATTGGAGTCTGTCTCCATCCTTTATATCCACAGGCTTCTTCACTCACCTGGAATTGCATCGGCTCCTGGGTGGCCAGCTGTGCAGATACAAGGAGACCTGTGCAGGCAGCCTTCCTGTGTGCTGGAGGATTCCTAGTGCCCCAACCCAGGACAAGGCCCATCAGCTCAAATAAAAGCAATTTTTAAGACATTTTCTGGAATTATGAAGACCTGATGAAGATTACATGCTGTCATCAGAGAGTTTCTTACCAAAAAAGGAGGACTGATTTTTCAGTCAACCAGCTACATAAGCCAATACAAGGGTTCAATGAATGTTTGTGGAGTGCTTCATCATTTACTTCGCATGCATGAATACTAGACTTGCTCCAGCTGCAGTCTCCTCACCTTCCCTGTTTTCCATACATGAGCCTGTGTTGGCCAGAACAACAAGGCAGGGACCTGACCTCTGTCCACACCTCTTCTGCCCTGGTCCCAGTGCCCGGAGCTCCTGCAGGCAGCATCTCATTCATCATTAGAATGACCCTGGATTGATTTCCTGGGGCTTCAATAGTGAAACATCACAAGAGGTGTGCCTGAAACAACAGAAAGCTACTGTCTCACAGTTCTGGGGGCTGGAATTCCAAGATCAAGGTGTCAGCAGGGTTGGTTCCCCCTGAGGGCTACGAGTGAAAATCGGTTCCAGGGCTTTCTCCTGGCTTCTCATGGTTTTCTGGAAATCTTTTGTCATTTCTCCACTTGTGGACTCATCTCCTTAATCTCTCCCTTCATCTTCACATCATGTTCTCCCTGTATGGGTGTCTGTGTCCACAGTCTCCAATTTCAGAAGGTCACCATCTATATTGAATTAGAGACCTACTCTTTTTCACTATAACCTCATTTTAACTAATTACATCTGCAATGCACTTGTTTCCAAATAATTCAGTCTGAGGTCCTGGGGGACTTCAACATATGAACAGGATTTCAACATATGAATTTGAGGGAAAAGAACTCAACCTCAGCAAACTTTATGCAGCAGACTTTGCTATCTATACTTTAAACAGGATGACGATGTCCTGAGAAAATTAATAATTTACTGTGGCCACCTAGCTCAGAAGTCTGACTTCAAAACCGAAACTTTGTCTGGTAAACCTTGCTACTTCTGAACAGAGAGCAACCACGCTCCCTGACTATGTTCGAGTCAGCTTTGAGGGTTTGCTGTGGACACAGTCTCACAGGCACTTGAGGTGAGTAAGTTCTGATGTCTGTTGCCAGCCCTTCTCCCTCGGGCTTGTCTCTCATTCATGAGAACACACTCATTTATTAGCTGTCTTTGCTCCAATAAAGACAAAGCTAAAATGTGTATCCCAGAGAGCTGATTTCAGGGGCTTTCAGTTTTCTGCCAAATTCAATTCTGGTGAAATCTCTCCTCCATTTTCTTAGCAGGGAGGTAAGGGGCCCACTTAGATGCTTTTTGTGGGCTGCATTTTTAAATGAATGCAGCTGGGTATTTTGATTAAATGCATATTGAAATCCACTTATAACTAGCCAATCAAGACAATGAAAGGGACTCAATGCACCATTAAGATTGTTTTCTAAAATTTTTCAAGTTAAACAATTCATTAGGATATTGTTATGCTCTGATATCTCCTAGAAATGGGGACTGAGCCCCAGGACCAGTGACACGTTCCGGCCCATAGGCGACAGCCCTGTCCAATGTAGGATGTCTCGGCCAAAAGTGCTGCTTCTTCCAAGATGGAAATAACTGCTGAAAGAGATTTCAGGGCTATGCTCGATGTGTATCAGGTGCTTAGTGAATTATAAACGGAATCATCAACATGGTTTTGCACAATTCAAAGCAGTTCTGGAGCTGGGGCTGAGGCTTCTCCATCAGTTCAGCAACAGATGTGAAGTGTCCACATTCTCGAATGTCTGCTCATTTCTGTGGATTCTCAAAGCGATCCTTTTCCTTGAGATCATGTTATTTGGATGCTGCAACAGACATTCCTGGGTGGCACACACAAATCCCCACATCTCCTGATTGATTCTGAGCTGTGACTTTATGTGTATGTCACATGCATACACCGTGAACTAGGTGCAGAAGTCACAGACATCAAAGGCATGCTGTTCTCCTGCCTTGCTCACAGTCTGGAGGGGGAGACAGACAGACAAGTGAGTGTAACCCAGCGTGAGGGCCACCCTGAGAACTACAGTCCATGGAGGAGCATCGTGCCTAAGGAGGAGACGGGGAATGTCAGAGAGGAGTTCCTGGGAGAGAACCTTGGAATTGAGAGTCGGAGAAAAGTAACAGTTAAGCAGGAAAAGGGTGCCCAGAGGGCATTGTAAGCAGAAAGAATAAGCTATAAAGCCTTTGAGGAGTGAGCACAGAGGGTGCTGTGTTTAGAGAACCACAATGAGCTCCATATGGATAGAGTATATACAAGACAGCAAAGGAGAAGTTTACAAAGCTTTTACAGTCCTGACAGAGAAAATAAAACAAAATGTCTTCAAGCTCAGTGGCTCATTATTTAACTACCCGCAGCCATAAAATCTCATCTTTCCTTGGGGACAGCCAGGACCTATGACCAGAGTAGTTAGGCAATTTGGCTTCCAGAAAGACGGAGATTTGTGCCAGAATGATCTCTGGACTCCCCATCTTCCCTCGAAGGGCTTTTCTTTGTAAATCAGAAAGTGCTCTATGCAGGAAGATTGAAGAATTAGCTACTATTCCTGAAGACTAGTAAAAATATATATTTAATTTTAGAATTTAAAGTTTTTTACCTTGAGAGTTACAGGTCAGACAACCCATCCAACACATGATTAGCAGAGTAATTTTTCGCCTTTGCAATCCAATGTCACCAAAGGCATTTACTATCTGTCACATGCCAAGCAGTTCCAGAGCTGCCCTGGGGTCTCTGGGTTTTCTGATCCTCATTTGATTACCTAGCCATCACATCCAGATTAACTCAACTCCTTTAGGCTGATCATGCTCCCTAATAACTATTTATTTAAGCTTCCTTAAAGTTTTTCAGCATCGTATATTTCTTAGTATGTCAGAATTCAAGTGAGAGTTATCTTCTCGGAAATCATATAAGCTTCAGGAGGTTCGTATACCACTCTCTGCAATACCTGGGGCCGTGCTTGCCTGGAACCTCAAGGGTGACCCAAAATGAATAAATGAATGAAGTACTCCTGGTATGTTGAGCTTTCTTCTTCAAAATTCTAGAATCTTGCCTGTTTAAAACTAATGAGAGCTTTTATTTATAAAGCAAACGAATGTGGTACACTCTGCTTTAACACTTGACTGATATTATTTTACTTAATGTTTATGAGTGTCCAGGCAGGTAGCTTTGTAGTTAACGGCATAACCTCTGGAGTCACAGTGATTGGCTGGAATTCCTGCTCTCCTATTTGGTAGCTGTGTGTCCTTGGATTAGAAATCAGAAGTGTTTTCTTGTGTTGACATGAGACCAAAAGTGCTTCCTAAAAGGCCACAGTTGTTGCTGCTTAGGAGAATGCAAAACTGATTTCTTCTGTTAGACATGCCAGCAATTATTTGAAGAGACATCTTTTGTTCCCCAAATATTCAAAAGCTAAGGTCCTTTATATTTTCTTCTAATAGTATAGTTTTGTAATCTTTCTCCAACCTCTATCTGGGCCTCAGTTGTCTATACTATCCTGATCCGAGGCAGGCTGTCTGTTTCCTCGCTGTATTATTATGTGCCTGGAGACTAGACATTATGCCTTCCTATCTCTGCATGATGTTGGAGTTATTGGAGCTCAGGAGTCTGGTTCTCTTACTCAGTTACCTATAAGTATGGCAATGCTACTCAAATGACTGAAGCATTCTGGGTATCATTTCCTTACCTGTAAAAGGAGAAACTGAGGCTGCAGTTCTGAGGTGCAGGGGCTGAGATGCTAGGGTTGCTTACAGCCCCCTTCCAGGTGGCCCATTTCCTAGGCCACTTGTAGCATGGCAGTTGACTTCTTCAAGGTCCGCAGGACTTGTGGTGTTCTACTATAAGGACTACATCTCTGTAGCAGGTGGATGAACACATTCAGCTTCCATTACATGCTGCCGGGCCTGTACTCGACTCTGGACTGTACTCTGGAAACTTCAGGAGGCTCGACTATTTAAGAAAGCCCACAGTGAGTACCTTCTACATGGCCCTGTGTGGGAGGCAACTGGTGATGATGTGGGCCTTTGAAGCCCACCCCTCCTTCGTGGGGAGACAGGCACACTGGAAACTTCTTGGATGTTGGGGTTAGACAAACCCCAAGCTAATTATGTGAACCTGGGGAAATTACCTAGCCTCTCTGAGCCTAAGAATTAAATGCACAATACTTGTTGGTTGAGTGAAGAAATGGCATTGGGTTGGTGCCTGTGGAGCTATCAAGGTGCAGCCTAATGTGCCATGATTCCAGGTGGAGGGCAGGTGAACAACAAGCTATGAAAGTTGGGAATCACAGAACATTGCAAGAAATCATGTTCAGAAGGTCAGGACTGGAGCTTCTGGAATTTCAAATACCAGAATAAAGAATTCTGGCTCTTTTCCTGTAATTCAAAGTGTCCAAAAGTGTGTTTATTATAACACGAGATCAAAGAAATATTGATAGAAAGGTGTCAACAAGGTTATAGGAGCAGTTGAAAAACACCGGGTTAAATAAAGTCTAATTGTTTGCTTTACTATATAGTTGCTTAGCATCTTCCTACATCTTTAAATATGCATGTTGTAATCTCTAAAGCAAGGAGATATGTTTTGCAACCATACCAAACCGGTTTGATCACTATTTTTTTTTTCCAGAGAGAATATCCTGGGGCTGGCAACAGGGAACCAGTGTTATTTAATGGAAAGACTTTCAAGAACTTTGAGCAAGAGGATGTTTAGCGAGGATATGCTTTCCTGAAAACAATATCTATTGGCTCTCCGTCTGTTCTTTAAAACCACAGAGAACTAGCCCATCCTCTTCTCTATTGGGTGATCTCCTAGGTCCATGAAGACTGCTATTGTTTCTAGCTTCTGTTTTTTTCATCCATGCTAAATGTCTCCAGATCTATAAGCTGTCTCTCAAATGCTAGCCTGTTTAATTTTCCCTTACCATCTGGTGGTCAGAACTGAATTTGAATTCTAGGTGCATTTTGGCATAAGCAAGAAAGAATGGACCCAATTTTCTTACATATAAAGTGAGCTGGGAAGGTGGGGTTGGTTTCCTTTTCCTTTAGTCTTAATTATGTAACTTAATTGTAAAAAATGTATCTGTCTTCCAAACACGGTCAGTCATAAAACCTGGGCCTTTTTTTCTAGGACAGAAAAAGTACACTGATTTCTTCTCTTGAAAGCTCAACAGCCTGGAATATTTTAGGCACAAGGACATGAAGGGCTGGGGGAGGAAGGCAAATGAATTTTGTGCTTTATACCAAAGCCAGGCTTTTTCTGGTTTTACTAATGGAAGGTGATTATAGAACATTTTAATGTCAGAAAGGTTTGAAAGCCATTATGCTTCTCCGCAGATCTTAAAGCTCTCCTACTTAATGACTAGTGCCTTGGAAAAGCCAGTGTGCATGCTCTACCTCTCTCTCTCACACACACACATACACACACACCACACTCCAAATATAACAGTAAGAAGCTGATTCTGCTATTATTTGTCATGCCTACAACAACCCCTCTGTGTTGTCGGAGGCGCCGAGCACGTGGTGCATTCTTTAGCAGTACTTAGACACGCTGACATAAGATACAAAGATGATCCAATTACACTTTCTGCAACTGCATCTCATTCTGCTAATGCTTACAAATTAAGGGTGTCTGTCACTGCCTACATGAGCCTGTACAGAGAGCATCTCCAATCTCATGAATTTTAGAGTATGTTCCACAGAAATGCAGAAACCAATTCAACGGCAAGGAGTTGACACACAGCTCATAATCCCTGTCTAGTCAGTATGAAAATCTGTCTGTGCAAGGAATGCAAAATGTAGTCACGCATGGAGTCATGGGATATCAGGAGTGTTATTTTACCAGATCAGAGGTAGTGCTTTACTGACATGAAGTACTTAAAGTGGAATTGCTTTTCTGGGTTGAAACATGTGTATGTGCTCAGCTAATTTCAATCAGCACTGTTTAGTTGTTGTGCTTTGCTTTTTGAAACTTTCTGAAACCAATTACCTTCTCAATTGCTTCCATGATATCTCTTTCAGAGAGTCATGGGTTCTGATTTTGGAGTCAGGAGTTGGGAGCGGCGTTGTAGCTTGTCCGTGAGCTCAGGACCCTGAATTACTCGACTTATATGCCCAGCGTGGGGGCCTCCTCCACTTGCTTGAGTACCTGGCTCCCGAGTCCTTCATCAGTTGACTGTCTAGGTTGGAAATGTTTCCATGATCTGAAAACATCCATTCAGTCTTATCTAATGTATCCTTTCTTCTTTGGGCTAAATGTTAACAGATCCTTCGTTCATTCTTCAAATACAGCTCAGTTCCCAGGGCTTTCTTCTGCACAAATGAGTCAAAAGCGCTGCTGCATCCAACAGTGAGAAAGCAGATGTGTCCCCCTCATTCAGAACACCCAAACTCTCTTACTGTGGCTTAAGGGGCTATAACCTTCTGACTCACCCTTCATACCATAAGCTCATGCAGACTGCAAAGCTAACTAATGCTAACCATCCTTCCTGGTTGTTTTTAAAGCAATTTCTATTAAACCTATTTAGTCCACCTTTAGGCAGTTGCCTTCTGAATTCAGGTTCATACCATTACATTTCCTCCTGCTGCAATGTTATTTTCAGCCTGTCTTTCAAGCCTGTCCAGATTTTTGTGAACGCTGTTACTGAGTTTGCATGCACAAGGTTCCTCTCACAGATGAATCATGCCCAAATTTGACAAGTGTACTTTCTACATCTTCCACTACAATTTCTAAGAAACGAATAGGCTTCTACTGACATTAGTGAGTGGCATAAGCCTGAATGAAATAGACTATGACTCTTGACTGGCTGAATATACAATAAAAGCATAAAACACAAAATGCTTTTCCAACATAGATGCTAGAAATGAGAGTAAAGCTAAAATTCCCCAGCCATACACCCCATGTGGGCTCCAGCACTCTACGTTTAGCTGCCCAGATATCAGCACACATGGCTGTGATGGAGCCAGGAGGTGGGTGCTTCAGTCTTGACTTCCCCACTTTCTATCTTGTGTCCCACCATCTAACTTGTTTTGGGCAAGTCAGTTTTTTTGAGCCTACCTTTCCTCCTCTATGGTGTGTGGGTAGTAACACCAGTCAGACTTAACCTGAAAGTTGTGTGAATGAAAAGCATAATCTGTATGTCAACCCTGAAGATATACGTATGTCAGAAATTACTATAAAGAGATCATCAGCTGGGCACGGTGGCTCACACCTGTAATCCTAGCACTTTGGGAGGCCGAGGCGGGCAGATCACCTGAGGTCAGGAGTTCGAGACCAGCCTGGCCAACAAGATGAAACCCTGTCTCTACTAAAAATACAAAAATTAGCTGGGCGTGGTGGCGGACACCTGTAATCCCAGCTACTCGGGAGGCTGAGGTAGGAGAATTGCTTGAACCCAGGAGGCGGAGGTTGTGGTGAGCCGAGATGGCAGCATTGCACTCCAGCCTGGGGAACAAGAGCAAGACTTCATCTGGAAAAAAAAAAAAAAAGAAAAAAAAAGAGATCATCATTAATTTCCTTTCATCTCATGATGTAGAAACATTTAGATGTTGGGATCCTTCCACATACTTATCTAAGAAAATCTCTGGCTTTTTTTTTTTTTTTTTTTTTTTTTGAGATGGAGTCTCGCTCTTGATGCCCAGGCTGGCGTGCAGTGGCACCATCTGGGCTCATTGCAACCTCTGCCTCCCGGGTTTGAGAAATTCTCCTGCCTCAGTCTCCTGAGTATCTGGGATTACAGGCACCCGCCACCACGCCTGGCTAATTTTTTAAATATTTTTAGTAGAGACAGGGTTTCACCATGTTGACCAAGCTAGCCTCAAACTCCTGACCTCAGGTGATCTACCCACCTTGGCTTCACAAAGTGCTGGGATTACAGGCATGGGCCACTTTTCTATTTGTTTATTTTTGTGTTGGTTTTTCTATTTTTGGTGTTTCTGGATCATGGACTTTGAAAAACTTCCTGGCTTAGCAAATTAGTGTCCTTGTTTCAGTAGCTTCTGCTTGAAGATTTCTGCTGTAGGCAATGAGCCAACTGGCCAGAAAATATCCAGTTATGCTCTGCAGGTTCATGGTGGATGGGGACTTTCACTGTTGTTTAGAGAAACCATTGAGTGGATAACGTTCCAAACAGCAAAATCAAATGGGGATTCTGTACACTCGGGAGTGTCGGCTCTGGACAAATTAGGTTGCACTTGATTGTAAGAAGCCAGGCTTTATTAAAATAGAATATAAATATTAACAGAAACGGACTGCTTCTAATCCCCACTACCGTTGGCCAGGGAGGCCTCTCTTCAGGTTTTCTGAATGGAACTAAATAAGGAGCCCATGTTACCGCGGAAAGGGCACTGTGATTAGGAGCCTTTCATGAGCTTCCATGAACGTCTAGGGCTTGGAAACTTCATTTTCAAAATAAGGCTGTTGGATTAGATGATTTTCCCAACCCCTAACCCTCTGTGTTAATGAATGGACTGACTCTATAATCATGTTCCTTGGACATTTCTATGGAAACACTGAGCCATCATAAGGGAGGCCTTCATTCTGATGTAACAAAGCCAGCTGTGTCCACATGAGAACATTGGCAAGAGTGGGGACATGGAAGCTGTGTTCAGGCCGGTCCACGCTGGGTGACCCATGTGACCTGCTGCTTAGCAATTCCTTGTCACCATCTTCCCTTCTCAGCCTCTTTTTTCATGCTAACAGGCATAAATGAAATGATAAAAGTTTGAGCTCTTCTCGTGGAATTCTCGTGATACAGATATGTGCTACATGTTCATCATCTCGTTGGTCTTCACCATGATAACTGTGGAGTAAGAATTATAAGCAGGTCACAGATTAGGGACTTGAGATTGACAGTTTGGCTTCCCTGTTCTGGGTGGCAAAGCCTGTGGAGTACTCACCTACCTGCTGCATGAAGGCAGCATGGAGGGACTGTGGTGGATTATCTGCAAAGATGGCCAAAATTCTCTCATCCCTGCAGGCACATACAAGGTAAGAACACCTTTACCAGTGGAATGTGATGAAAATGCTGCCCAGACAATTCTAGACAGGGCCTTAAGAGGTCTAGATGCTTCCACATTTGCTTTCTTGGGAGCTCTGAGTTATCATGTGAGAACCACCAGTCTCCCCAACCTGCACCCTAAGCTCATTATCCACAAGGCTGTGCAAAATAATAAATCACTGTTGTTAGGACGCAAAGTTTGGTAGTGGTTTGTTATGTAGTCGTGGATAACTGCAGCAGGGATCTCAGCAACTTTTCTTCTCTGAACTAATGTTTAAAGTCAGGATGTAACATATTGTCTCCATGTGACTTTGTTGAACTAAATAAAGAATGCTAATACCAGATGCGGACCCTGCCTCTTCTGTTCTCTAAGACTAGGCATTGCTCTCTGATCAGAAGAGTCAATCCTGGTGAGTTTAACTTGAGCCTCAGAATCCTACTCAACACAAAGTTCCAGAGAGAAGCGATTATCAATGCCAATACCTTAGAGATGGTACTGGCTGTGGAATCTGTCATCCCTTGACTAGGTGGTCTCTAAGTTCCTTTCCAATTTTAATGTTTTCTGTTCTGATTTATCTTTTGGCATTGTGCAGGTGTCAGGAGAAAAAAATAATGCCAATGTGTCTCTTTAATTCCTTTATCATTAAGTCATAACCTTTCCCAACTCCCAATCCAGTTTTCTTACGTCAATACTTTGGTTTTTGCTTTGTGAAGATGCCAGAATCAGTCAAAACTAAGCTCACTGTCCTTGCTAATATTCTGCCCCAGAGAAGAACTGAAGCTCAGCTCTTCACCCTACAGAAAGCCTGAATTTTGTAAATGTTCTGCTTAGAATGAGGAAGAAAGATGAAGAATGAGGAGGAAGAAGGAAGGAACGAGAGAGAGGTAAAGCCAACAAGCAGAACAGACCTACATTTGCAGCATCTCCAAGTTTCTGCAACAGCATTATGTTGTTGTTATGTTTTGTTTTAATAAAAGCACATACCATTTTTTTTGTTACTCTTATATTCTTTTCATAACAGCTCAGCTAAAGACAGATAATGCTGGAGTCAGCTTTTTCTAAGAATTAGTCTCTTCAAACTGGCCATAGAGATTTGGTAGAAGTCATGGGTTTTAATTGAATTTCTCCTAATGGTCTCCCAGGGATGGAAATATGACTGATACAGGCTTACTTTCCCTCTCCCCTCGGTGAAGCTGTATTGCCTCCCACAGAACAGACCGTTCTTTATGTTCTAACCGGGCTTTTCATAACTCCACTGGAGAGCTGTACAAACCCTAGACTTGGCAACGGCTTTTTTGTTTTCTGAAGCCAGACCAATTCTGGACCCAGTTCCTGCTTTCTAGGAAGAAATAGCACATGCAACCAGCCTCTTCACTGATGAAAAAATACCTCACTCCTTTTTAGACAGCTTCTCGTATTGATAATTTTATAGAAATGTACTGTATAAGTGAAAGTCAGCATTTCCATTACACAACAGCCTGCTAGAGCTGCTTCCAAGGGGCAGAGACTCCTGTCGGCTGTTTGTCCGAGGTGATCTTCCTCCCTTAATCTGTCAGTCTAGACCTTAACAATGTTCCTCAAATACCGGCTCAAGTCCTTCCTTCTCCCAATAACTTTTCTATGGTCTCTGGACCTCCTTAGTCTTCAGTGCCGCTCCTCCTAAGTTTCTGCACCACCTGCCTTCAACACCTAGTCTGTGCTGTAAGCATGAGTTTTCTTGTGGCTTCTTTTTCTCAAGGCAGGCTGGGCGTGGGGAGCTGTCTCTGCAGCATCTTTTGAATATAGATGCCATTTCTCACTTTTCTTTTCTCTGTACCCTCTATAGTCCATTGAAAATACTGGGCAATTGATAAATTCATGCTAAAAAGGACGATGATCAAGGTAGGGCCAAGCTGCATGGATGAGGGAAGAGTTGCCACCCACACTGGGCACCACAGGTTCCCTGCACAAGTCACTTTCCCGTTGTGGATCTAGGTTTCCATCTTGGTTTTTTTTTTTTTCCCTTTTATTTATTTATTTATTTATTGGTCAGATGACTTGATCTTTATGGGCTGCAAGAGTCTGTCCTCCCATAGGGTTCAACCTTGGAAACGGGATGGTGTCATTAGAGTCCATCTGCTCACAGCCCTCCATGGGCAGCGCTCTTTTTGGGGGGCTCTGCTCTCACGTGCTGCCTGTGCTGTGGACACAGGTACACTGCCCGCTTGCACAGATAGTGTCTTTCTGCAGCCTCCCTGTTTACATGCTTCCCCAAGACTGGATTCTGGGGCCAGGATGAGCCATGCCCCCCATCTGGCTCTGACCTCCCCTGCGCCAGCTCTGGGTACTAGAAAGTCGCGGTTCTGCTGCTAGACGTTTTCTTCCTTTCTTTAGGTTGTTGCATGGCATAAGTAAAGTGACAGTTATAGGATACATGCAACTTTTCAGTGACAAAGATCTGTGCAGCATCGACAGTACTGCCTAATGAGGTTTCACCATAATGAAGTATCACAACCAGTTTACAGACCAGAAAACTGAGACACAGGAAGGGGTGGTGACTTGAGCAAGGTGCATCAGCTGGTAAGTGCAGAGCTGCAACTTTGCCTGGTTCCCAAGCCCACATGGTTGCTAAGATATATGCCAAGTCTTTTCTCACTGCATTTTTAAACCCCTGGGAAACATAAGACACCATCTCAGACCTGGGTTGGAGACAGGCGTGGAAGTTCAAGATGTGTACTCGGCTCTTCCAAAAACAACCCGAGAGCTCAATTCTCTTCTTTCCCTGTGCAGCTGCTTCCCAGCACAACTGTCCATCTGTGTTCTATTGTTACATGTTTATTTCTTCCTCATGAGCTTTTACAGTTCCCGCCTTTTATGGGATGTTCTTACTCTGGAAATACAGAATGGATTTACAGGGCTGGCAGAAGTACGCTGTTGGTCATTTTCCCAGTGTTGTCATTATGATATGAGGTGCATGGGGCCAGCCAACAATTGGATTTTATGATCAATTACTACCAGGATGATTGCTAATAGACATGTCGTTAGAAACCAAAGGGAGATATTTCATAGCAACTGTTTCTTGTCTTTGCTTTTCTCCTTTTTTGAACTTGACATAGGCCACCTGAGAGAGCTCCTTAGGCCAGCATGCTTGGGGGGTCTGTTGTGTACAAAGTGCTTTCTCTGGAGTCTCCCTCTAAGGGTCAGGAGTCAGCAGTGACTACTGGAGGATGCTAGACACTGGAGGGTAGATCATGTGTACTGCATCTCGCCACTGCAGGCACAACACGGGCTTAACAGATACAGTTGGTTCAAATTCTGTGTCTGCTCTTTACAGAATTTGTGGTTCTAGACAAGTCTCCTACTTTTCTAAATTCTGTTTCATATCTCTACAATGGAAAAAACACTACTAATCTCAAAAATTTTGTTGAGAAGATTAAACCAGATAGCATGGTTTCTGCAAGGCAGAAATCAAAGAAAGAAACCGTGGTGTCTGCTGCTCAAAGTGATTGAAATGGGGGTGTAGCAAGCCCTTGCTTTACACAGTGAGAGGGAGCACAGCAATCCCCAGAGCATGTTGTGGTCAGCCAGCTGTGGGCAGGTGAAAGGCAGGAAAAGGGGAACAGGAGTCCATGTGTTAGCAGCCAGCATTTGGGAAGCCTGGCTGGAAGAGATGGAGTCCCAGAGAGGGGATGGCCATCTAGGAGTAGGAGCCTGAGATGAAGCAAAGAGGAATCAGCTTTTTCAACAACAAGAGTCCTGATAAGATGAGGGGTTTAGTCTTGGAATAGGCTGGAGCTGTGCAGACAGCTGTATAGAAAACTCTCTCAACACCTAGGCACGTGGCCTATCCCAAAGACTGTAGATTCTCTCTGATTGTTGGGGAAATTCCTTTTGCTGTCCTTGCAGGTGGATAACAATGAAAGCAGCTGTATTAGTTCATTCTCACTCTGCTAATAAAGACATACTCGAGACTGGGTAATTTATAAATGAAAAAGGTTTAATTGACCGACAGTTCAGCATGGCTGGGGAGGTCTCAGAAAACTTACAGTCATGGTGGACATGGTGGACATGGCAGCAGGGAGAAGAAAAATGAGAGCTGAGTAAAGGGGGAAGCCTGTTATAAAACCATCATATCTCATGAGAACTTACTCACTGTCATGAGAACAGGATAGTGGAAACCTCCCCCATGATTCAATTATCTCCACCTGATCCCTCCCACCACATGTGGGGATTATAGGAACTACAATTCAAGATGAGATCTGGGTGGGAACACAGCCAAACCATATTAGCTGCCATTTATTGAGAACTTGGTCTAGCCAGACAGGAGGCTGAGCATTCTGCCTGTTTTTCTGTTTTCCTGACTTAACAATCCAGGGTAACCATTACATCGCTGCCTCATTTTGTAGATGAAAAAAACTAAGGTTCAGAGAGGCTACATAAATTACTCAGGCTCCGTGAATGTCAGATCCACACACCCATCCTGGGGACCATTCCATGGCACAAACCCTCACTGATGTCCCTGCAGCTAACTCAGGAAGCATCCTCATTCTGGGTTCTAGAGGAAATGTGCTGGAGAGGGCGTCACCCTCCCACCCCCATTACCTGGAATGATGGTTCCTATATCTTCTCGTTCCTCATTCTTCAATAAAAACCCCTCCAGGGATGTTAATTTAGGGGCTGAGAGTGAGTCAGACACATCCTACCACAGTCCCCCTTGACTTTGACAGGTCTGTCTTTTTTCCCTGCATCCTATTGGATCAGGTGAGAGTTCAGTTGTTCTTGTTGTCTTTGAACATACTTTATTTTTAAAGAAGTCTTAGGTTCACAGTGTAATTGAGTGGAAAGTACAGGGAGTTCCCATAGGCCCACTGTTCCCAAACATGCACAGCCTCCCTTATTACCAAAGTCCCCCACCACAGCGGTGCATTTGTTGCAATTGATGAGCCTACATTGACACATCACCAAAAGTCCCTAGTTTACATTAAGATTCATTCTTAGTGTTCTATATTCTGTGAATTTGGACAAATGTATAGTGATGTATATCCATTATTATAGTGTCATACAGAGTAGTTTCACTGCCCTGAAAATGCTTTGGCTCTGCCTATTTATTTTTTCTCCCCCAAACCCTGGGCAACCACTGACATTTTTATTATCTCCATAGTTTTGCCTTTTGTAGAATATCATATAATTGGGATCAGTCAGTATGTAGCCTTTTCAGAATGGCTTCTTTACTGAGTAGTATGCATTTAAGTTTCCCCGATGTCTTTTCATGGCTTAATAGCTCAATCTTTTTTTTTCTTTAGTGCTGAACAATATTCCTTCTTCTGGATATGCCCTAAATTATTTGTTTTTTTATGTACTAAAATACATTTTGGTTGCTTCTAAGTTTTGGCTGTCATGAATAAATCTGCTATAAACATCTGTGTGCAGGTTATTATGTGGACATAAATTTTCAACTCTTATGTGTAGATAGCCAGGAACGTGACTGCTTTGCTGGATCACATGGGAAGAGTACATTTAGTTTTGTAAGGAACTGCTGAACTGGCTTTCAAAATGGCTGTACTATTTTGCATTTCCACCAGCAATAAACGAAAGTTCCTGTTGCTCCACATCCTCTCCAGAATCTGGTGGTGTTAGTGTTTTGTGTACTCATAGTGTAGTGTATAGTGGTATCCCACTGTGGTTTTAATTTGCATCTTCCTGATGACATATGATGTTGAGCAACTTTTTGTATACACACTTTCCATCTGTTATATTTTCCTTGGTAAGATGTCTCTTAAGGTCTTTTCAGTTTGTTCATGTTTTATTGTTTAGTTTTAAGAGTTTTTTTGTATGTTTTGGATAACAGCTCTTTGTAAGACGTGAAAGACATGACTTGTGCAAATGTTTTTCTCAGTCTTTGATTTGTCTTCTCACACTCTTGACAGTGCCTTTTATAAACATTTTTAATTTTAATAAAATTCAGCTTATTGGCCAGGCCCAGTGGCTCACGCCTGTAATCCTAGTACTTTGGGAGGCCGAAGTGGACAGATCGCCTGAGATCAGGTGATCAGGTTAATATGGTGAAAACCCGTCTGTATTAAAAATACAAAAATTAGCCAGGCATGGTGGTGGGCACCTGTAGTTCCAGCTACCCTGGAGGCTGAGGCAGGAGAATCGCTTGAACCCAGGAGGTGGAGGCTGCAGTGAGCCGAGATCGTGCCACTGCACTTCAGCCTGGGCGGCAGAGTAAAACTCTGTCTCAAAAAAAAAAAAAAAAAAAGTTCAGCTTATAAATTATTTCTTTCATGAATAATGCCTTTGGTGGTGTATTAAAAAATTTATTGCTATACCTAAAGTTAGCTAAGTTTTCTCCTATGTTATCTTTTAGGACTTTAATATTTTTATGCTTTACATCTAGGTTTATGGTCCATTTTGAGTCAGTTTTCTAAAAGGGTGTCAGGTCCGTGTCTAGATTCAGTTTTGGCTTTAGGATATCCAGTTGCTCCAGTACTGTTTGTTGAAAATACTGTCTTTGCACCATTGTTTTGTCTTTGCGTCTTTGTCAAAGATTAGGTGACTATATTTATATGAGTCTATTTCTTGGCTCTGTATTCCATCCAACTGATCTATTTGTCTTTTGTTCACCAGTGCTACACTATTTTGATTGTTGACTGTAGCTTTAGTCTTGAAGTTGACAGTGGCAGCTCTCAGACATTGGTATTCTCTTTCAATGTTGAGTTGGTTATTCTGGGTCTTTTTTCTCTCCATATAAACTTTAGAATCATTTTGTCGATATCAAAAAATAACTCACTGGGAATTTGACTGGGATTTCATTGAATCTATAGATCAAGTTGGAAAGAAATTAAAGCTTGAAAATATCGCATCTTTCTATTCCTGAACTTGGAATATCTCTTTGTTAATTTAGTTCTTTATTTGGTTTGAGTTTTAGTTTTTTTCATATAAATTGTTATAGACTGAATGTTTGTGCTACTCCTCCCCTCAAAATTTATATGTTGAAAGACCCCCACAATGATGGTATTGGGGGGTGAATCCTTCAGCAGGTGATTAGGTGATGAGGGCAAAGCCCTCAAAGATAGGACTAAGGCCTTCATAAAAGAAACTCTTAAGAGCTCTCTTCCCCCTTCCATCAGGTGAGAATACAGAAAGAAGCAGGCACTCATGAGATGGCAAATCTGCCAGCATTTTGATCTTGGACTTTACAGCCTCCAAAATTATGAGAAAGAATTTGTTGTTGTTTATAAGCCACCTATTTTATGGTGTCCCATTATAGCAGCCTAAACTGCCTAAGATATAGATATTGTACATAATTTGTTAGGTTTATACCTAAGCATTTTAGGTTTCACTTATTCATCATTGGTGCATAGGAGAGTTATTGACTTTCGTATATTAACCTTGCATCCTGCAACCTTGCTATAATTGCTTATTAGTTCCAGGAATTGCTTTGTTTAATCTTTCAGATTTTCTACATAGACAATCAGGTAATCTGCAAACAAAGACCATTTCATTTCTTCCTTCCAAATACGTATATCATTTTCTTTTCTTTTCTTACCTTATTGAATTAGTTAGGACTTTCAATACAGTGTTGGAAAGCAGTTGAGAAGAAATATCCTTGCCTTGTTCCTGATTTTAGTGGAGAAGCTTCTTGTTTTTCACCATTAAGTATGATGTTTGTTGTAGGTTTTTTTTGTAGATGTTAGAATTCAGTTTTCACCTCTTCCATGCTAGCTCCCTCTTATCAATCTTGTTCCTTTTTAGAAATGTATCTAAGTTTTCCTGCTATCCTAGTCCTTCCTCTAGCATTTCATCAGCTTGGGCTCGCTCCTAGGTTTTCCCTATGTCATTAGTACAATGAAGCTTCAGTGTTCACCAAATGGAGCTATTTAGCACTCAAGCCTTGCTGGCCCTGCTGTCACTGAATTGATGAGTCTGAGTTCTGTTCTGAGCCACATTGTGAAGGATGAGACTGTGTTCCATTGAGCCCATGCACAGTGTACTTACTGGTGATGTACATTTTTTAAAAATGGTAATCCATTGTGGATAAATGGATCCTCACTGCTTACCAGAATATTTAATTAATCCAATCACCCCATTCCCAAACTATGGGAGATGAATGGAAGGTTTTCTTGCAGTGAAATCAAGTTCTCATTTATATGACCATCTGTTCCTGTAATAGAGTGCCCTGTGAAGCCTGTACAACTTTGGTGTTGCTGCTTGTTTTTTTCAAAGTACCATGAGCAGAAGCCTATGGGAGGAAAAAATAAGTGGTAAAACCCTTCTGTTCTCTTTGGTTTTTGTGTGTGTTAATCACAGAAAATAAAAATTATTCTCAGGATTTGCATGGGTACCTACAGAATAGAAATTATAAAAAAGTTCAAAATAATTTTTTCAGCTTTCTCACAGATGAGGCTAAAATTACACAGATTGTATCTACTGACATAAATTGACCAACTATACCCACCTTGACTTTAGAGATGTTGGGAACTCTTGGGTGTCTGGAAAAACCTTAAACCAGAGTTGTATCTACTGGATCCCATTTCTTGAGCACTCTTCTCTTGAGTTTAGTTTCTCAATAGTTTTCTTTTCCTTTTTGTTTTATTTATTTATTTATTTTTTGTGGGGGTGGGCAGAGTCTTGCTCTGTCACTCAGGCTGGAGGGCAAGTGGCACAACCTCGGCTCACTGCAATCTCCGCCTCCTGGGTTTAAGCAATTCTCCTACCTCAGTCTCCAGAGTAGCTGGGACTACAGGCGAGCACCACCACATCCGGCTAGTTTTTTCTGTATTTTTGGTAGACACTGGGTTTCACCATATTGGCCAGGCTGGTCTTGAACTCCTGACCTCAGATGATTCACCTGCCTCAGCCTCCTAAACAAATGGAATTACAGGTGTGAGCCACCACACCCTGCCTTCTTTTTGTTTTAATTTATAATATGGAGAGAGTCTATTTCTAAGGATATCTTCTTGCTGCATTAAAGTTTGCAACATGTTGCCTTGGTTGCTTTCTTTCTCTCTCTCTCTCACACACACACACACACACACACACACACACAAACACACACACACACACACACACCCACGGGGTAGTGTAAAAATAGTCTCTTAATCAAATGGGTGCTTTTTCTGATATGATGAATGAATTAACCATGTTTTGTATTTCAATCATCCCCAAGAGTACTCAGCTCTTGGGGGCTCTGTGGCCCCAGAATTGGTTTGGTTAATAGCCCAGCAATTTTCTTCAATAGCTCCATGAAAAAGCCCTGGAAAAGGTCAAAATTTTTTTTCCCTATTAACACTTCAAAAAAGCCAATTAATTGACTCAAAGTGCCTCAGGGAGGAGAATCTTGTTCTCAATTATAACAAGCTCTGTTTTGAATAGAAATTTAAATCCTCCTTTCTATAGAAGCTTGAAGGTGAGGTAGCTCTCACAGATTCTTTTTTTCACAAGGCTGAAAATATAGATGAACTCAGGGAGATTCATCTGTGCACGCCAGAGTCTGTTGTGTCACAGAGAGGGCCACGGGCCACTGATACAGGGACTTGTGTGAAAGAAAGTGGGAGAAGGGAAGGGAGAAAGTGAGAAGGGAGGAAGAGAAAAGAGAGAGAAACCAGCCACCATCTGCCAGCCAACCTTCTCCCAGCACCTTGCATACTGTGCTCTGCTTAACCATAAGCTGATCCCTGTGACACAAAGATTTAAGGCCCTTTGAAATGCATTCAGTGAACAGGAGAGGAGGATGCCTCTTGCATGTTATGTGCATCTTCCTGTTGGCAAGAGTGACCAGGCAACTCATTTGTGGCTTTATCTGCTTTTGTGCACCCAATAAATAGTATCTTACTTGAGACAACAAAAAACATTGATGAATCCCTATTTAATAAGGCCAGCTACTTGGGGAGAGGAGAAAAAGCCTAGCATTTAGCATTTATTTTTTCAAAAGGAGATTTTGCTTTCTCTTCTCATTTTTTTTTATGTTGAAAAACAGAGAAAAGCCACACAGCGAGCGCCCCACCCCCACTCCTTTCATTCTGGGCTTTTGTGTTTGGGGATTGGTTGGGGATAGACTTGCAGTGAGAAGATCACAGCTTGTCTTGGGGTAGGGAGGGGTTGCTGGAGACTGGCTGTTAACCCTGTGAATGCCAGACAACTGAGGGTTAAGCTCAAGACAGGGATTCTTTCTTTAGGACAGAGCTGAAGTAGAGAGAGAGCTGTGAAGAGAACCCACATGTTCTGTCCATAGTAATTTTTAAAAGTATAAATAGTGGCATTTCTGTTTCTAAAGGCAATATTTTATGACTGTATAAAACTCAGAGGAGAAAACAGAGACAAATTATATAACAGAAAAGAAAAACAATTCCAGTATCAATGGCAAGTGTTAATTACGGTTGTTAATGTAATTATCATGGATTATTTTTGATAATATAACATAGTGAACACTGTGCTAGGTGCTTTACATAGTTAGCCTATACTTCCTAAAACTGCCCTAGAATATAGGCATTCTTTTCTCCATTTGACTGATGAAAAAATATTTTTTATATGTAATTCTAATTTCCCTTTTTTGTGACTACTTAAGTACTTAGGTTATGCTTATGTGATCTTATTTTTATCCCACTTAACAAAGTGAGAAGCTCCATATTTTCTCACACCACATTTTTAAATGACTGCATAACCCGACATGTTATATGGTCATTTAAATCTAAATGACACCCTACCTGAGATGAAGCTCATGATATATGTAGCCATTTCTATGTGTTTAGATGTTTATGTAATGCAAAAGTTTTCTTTTGTAAATGAGATGGCATTTTGGATCTCTTTTGCACATTGCTAATTATTCCTTTAAGCCAGGTTTCCAGAAGTTCCCCAGTCATTGAGCATTTCTGAGGCTCTTGATGCATATGCCAAGTAGTTATGGAGAAAGACACAGCAGCTTACCTCTGCAGGCATCATTGTGTGAAAGGAAGACCCAGGCTCTCTCACCACCCTTGAACAGAAGCCTTTTGCTAAGGTGATAGCTACATGTCCAAGCCTATTGCGTGGCATGCATTTTGCCTTCTGCAGCCCACTAAAGGTACACAAACACCATTAGCCAATCTGAAAAAAGAAATTGATGTCTAACTGGTTATTATTTCCTAGCAAGTGTTCTGCAAGTTGGGTATGTTGTTTCTTTAATTTCACATTTTTTAAGTATTGTAATTTTTTTTTAAATGTCCTTTAAGGTGAGCAGTAAATGTGTTTGCTATTTCCCCAAAAGGAAATTGAAGTATACAGAATGCTTATTTGGTCTACTCAGTATCATCCTAAATGTATGTACCAATGCTTAGGAGTTTGCAGTTCACCCGCAAACCTCAGCGATCCAAGCTCCCCTGGATGACCATCACTCACCAAGAAAAGAGCAATAACAGGTACATTTCCAAAATTATCTTCCTTGTTGAACAATCCACACAGGAACACGATGATTCTGCAGGTCTGGAGTGATCTGGAAATCACGGGTGGAGTGAAAATACGTCAGGAAGCTTTTGGGAAGCCGTAGTGGATCTTGGGAAGCCATGAAGGGGCTCCTTTCTGTAGAATACAGCTTCCAGAAGAAGGAGTTGATTTTTTTGTAAATAGGGTCTCAGAAGGCAAATGAAGGGAGAGGCAAGGAAAACGGGCTTCCTCAGTAGCAGCTAGGTTGTCAGAAAAGATACCTTATGGCCAGTGATTTGGTCTGACCTGGTTTGTTTGCCTCACAAAACATCGGGGTATGTTGTTTTCTAGGACCTGTTTTGCTAATCCAGGACTGTTCTCCAGCACTAACTCTAAATAATCCCTTCTGCTAGAGTCCACTTTCTGGAACCTGTTGTGAGTATTGTGAATTGTTCTCCAACCTCTATTCTAGTTATCTCATTTCCATTGAGACTAGCAAAAGCACTTGCTTGAGATTCTGTGTTCAAGTTTCAACTTTAGCAACTCACTTTTCCTTTAGGCCTCCGTTTTCAACGTTTCCCAAACTTGGTCCGTTGTGTGAGCTGGCTGATAAAAGTTCCAGGTAACCTTCCTTGTTCTCAAGGTCCATTTTCCAGGAAAATCTGAGTCATGGTGCTGGGGAGGACACTTAAGTACATCAGTCAATCAGATGATTATTAAATTTAGGAAATAGTAGATCAACTGGATTAACTGGATTAAAATGCAGAATCCCAGGCCCCAGCCCAGACCTACTGAACCAGCATCTGCTCTTTAACAAGAGCCCCATGTGATGTGTGGGACAGAAAACTTTGTGAAGCACAGGGCTAGACAGTCTCTAAAGTCTTCTGCAGATCAGAAACGCAGCAATTCTGAGGTTTTCTTCAATTTTCTAATGTTATTTCCAGCTCTTTCCCCTCTCTTCTTTCCTTGATATGCTGAGGAAAACTTTCTCTGTGATAAGCAGAGTAGGTGTCTTGTTCTGTGAATTTCTAATGTCTCTGCAAGGGCTTCATATGTTGAAGGAAGTTGGGACTCAGGGGGTTAACTGCAAAACACATTACCATAGGACAGCTGCCACGGCATCACATTCTAAAATCTGATAAATGAAAAATGGGCATGGTATCAAATTTAATCACATTTGTATTCAGATGTTGTTGAGAGCAGACACTGATTTATGAACTAGCAACAGACACCAGATTTCCTGCCTATGTTATATACATATGAATGGGTGGACGGATGGATAGATAAACAGACAGTGAAATTATGTTGCAAATTACATGGCACCAGACCTGTTTATAACCTAGATCTCATCAAACTAATATTAAAAACTACTACAGATATATTTTTTTTTCCTGGGCAGTAGCTGGTGGTCTTACTTTTACCCTGAAAAACAGACTTCTTTCAAAGGATTCTCTTTCTTAATTTGTGCAGCATTGAAAATGCTTCTGCTTTGCTCAGTAGATAGCATTATCATATTTATATACAGAAAAATGTTCTTTATGGGATGGAAAAGGATAAAGGGATGTTCAAACCATTGCTGCGTTCTGTTGCGCACCCTCCCACTCCCTGACAACTCCGTTAAAACATCAACAGTACAAGGGGCCACTGTATATTTCTGGGATTACACACCAAGATCTAGGCTTTTAGAGGACCTGTGAAGGGCTGAGGTGGAAGAGGAGAACATTCAACATGGATTAATAATAAAAAAATTAAGCAACTTTCCTCTCAGTTCAGCAAAGTAGGGAGATCTAGGTTCAGTGTTTCTTGATATTTACAGTTTTGAAGGTAAATCACTTGGCTGATGAGGTTCTCTATTTTGGGGCAGATACTGCTTAATATCACCAGAGACATCTAGCCATCTTCGCAGTATGTTTTCTTTACTACGCCTTTTCCTTGTAGAGACTTCCTGTATTTGGCAAATTTAATCAAATTTTATTTATCTTTCAGAGGTCACATAGGTACATTCACTCACTTTCAACCAATATTTCTTAAGACTGTGTTACGCTGTGCACAGGAGACAAGACACAGAAATAGATGACCCATGATTTGTCTTCTTTTTATTTAAAAAAAAAAAAGAAGAAGAAGCTCTGTATCTGTGAACAAGTCAGATAGACACAGATGATTTCAGCATAATTAGGAGGAATCACTGAGCTCAGCCCAGGGAGCTAGACTAGCTCAGAGGAGTACCTGATTCACACTAGGAAGGTATTGGCACAGGCTTCCTGGAAGTGGAGACACTGAATGGAATTCTAAAGGATGTGATACCTTCTACATGTTCTTTAAGATACAGGATGGTGGGTGTTCTTAATGGAGAAGTAGGAGAAAAGGGTTTTCCTGGTGTGAGAAACAATGGAGATTAGAAAAAGCATGATAATCAGAGGACAATTCACAGCTGTGGTATGACTGGAATAAAACCATCCATCCTCCAGATGCCAGGAGGCAGGCACAACAGTCACTGTCCTGTGGCCTTCATTCCTTGGGGAAAACACCACAATGGTCATCACCTGAACAAATGGAGTGGGGAGATGTGGAAGTGAAAGAAAGGGAACGCTGAAGAAGACAGTATCAGAGACCCAGTAGCAATGAAACCTCAATTGGCACAGAGGATTTGGGAAGAAGGACCCAGATTTGAGTATTTTCAGCTCTAGGTGCTGAAGATGTTCATGACCAAATAGACATGGTAGTTGAGGGAAAGAGGGTTTTAGGGAGCCCTTCTCCTTGGAATTCTAGGTAAGTGATGATGCTATTTACTAAGAGAAGACATCCAGAAGAAGGAGCTTGCATTGTCTTTATTTTGATTTTGTTTTGGTGGAATTGAGAATACAATGTATTATTACTGTGGAGGAGGTGGAAATAATGCCAACTTAAACCTTCCCTCCCCTAGGGAGCTCTCCCTAACAATCTGGGCTGGAAAGAGTGTGTTCCTTTAGGAAACAAAGCATGTATTACCCATTGAGAATCCATTATTACTTTGAATTTTTAGTTTTGTTTTCATGTGTTGCTTTATCTTCTTAATTAAATTATCTCTTCTAGGGAGAAGACATCTTACTCTTATTGGATCATGCACAGTGCCTGAAGCATTCTGTTGCATGTAGAAGGTATTGGTGGATGTTTGTTAATTGATTTGTTGAATTTTTTTTCACTGAACACATTCCCAAGAAACAGCCAAACCCAGAGTAAGGAAACCATCTGGCAAGAACCGCTCAAGAGAATGCTTCTTGGCTCTCACATCTTAAAGGTCTTAAAATAGCTAACATTTATTGAACATTTTACTATATGCCAGGTATTATGGGCTAAGCCCATTATATATGTGATCTCATATAATTAATCTTCAAAACAATCTTGTGTCATAAATGCTACAAATACTTTGATTTTAAAACTGATGAAAATGAGATTCAGGGAGATTGTCATTTTATTTGCAGTCAGTAAATTGCAGATGTAAGATTCAAAACCAGACTTCACATCTACCGACTTCAGTGACCCTGAAATTTGTTCACAGAGAGCATTTAACATAACTGTCTTCATCATCTCCTTCTCTACATTAAAAATTATGGGTAAGTCTCTTGCTTTTCCAGTCTTCATTGCTTTTCTAGTCTTAGAAATATTATACAAAGACAAGAAATACAAGAGACTTACTCATAGCTATGTGTCCAGAGCTAGAGTTAGAATTCGCATCTAGATCTTGAGACAGGTAACTTCTTACTCTACTGCGTTGGTTTTAAGACAAATCTGTTGAGGCAAACTTTTTGCTGGGCACTGTAGGCAACAGAAAGAAACTGAGGGTCTGCTATTTGTCTCCAGAGGCCTTACAAACTGGTAGAAGATGCATAACAGAAGAGCTTATGAAGTTAAAGATGACAGCATAGCAGCACTGGTGAGATCCTTTTAGACATAACATGGTAGGAAGGACTGTTTGACAAAGTGAATGCCTGTCTTTCAGAATATACAGGGAGGTGTGATGTACCCATTATCACAAGCAGATGGAATCCCTATAGAGTCGGATCTCATCTACATATCACCTATTATATGTAGTTATTGATGGATAAATACTTCAACAACTAAAGGCAGAAAGAGAGCAGGTGGGCATAGGAGTTAGTAAACATCTCACTGCTATTGTTTTTCAAGGTGAAGCTAGAGAAGAAGATTCCTAAGATGTAGGAGGAAATTATCATACTGAGTAAGAGGGTGCAATTTTGGAAGGTTGGACTTGATGACCTCTCCAGCATTAAGGGTGAATGATTCTTTCTAGGGATTTGGTTTGTTGCCAGAGAGCCTGGCTACCTGCTATTTAGTTGCTTTGTTGATTAGCAAATTTCCTCTGAAATATTCCTCACATTCATGAGCCCCCTTCCTGGGGTAGGTGGACCCAGAAAATGTTTTCTCCCATTTTAGTTGGCCATGTGTTTGAAACTCAGATGGACCTAAGTCTTTCAGCATCATTGTCACTACTGTATGTCTATCCATAAAAAGAAGGCATAAGACTCTCTGTAGTATCACGAAGTTAGCCATTTGGGATTGCAAAAACTTTCCTCTTTCCATTGGAGAGAAATAGTTTAGATTAGATGGTGGAGCCCCTACCACATCTCCCAAAATTTAAATTATAACATGAACAGTAATTTAGGTCTGATTTTAATATTTTGTCATTCTTAAACCTAATAAAAGCTACATCTTCCTAAAGACCCTCCTAATTTTTATTATGGACAGTTCACAAAGACGTTATTGGTGATTCAATCTTGAGTCATGAAAAGTCAACCTTGAGCCACAAAAAGTCAACCTTGAGCCAAGCAGATTGGAGAGTCATACATGCCATTCCTGGGACCATCAAAAATGGCAGAGGTCACACAAAAAGGCAAAACTTTTAAGAGGTGTTTTAAACGTCGTATGGGCCAAAGAGAAGCTGGATTTCCTATTGGAGTCACCTGTAACACACGTGTGACGAAATTGGCCTGTGAGGACAAGGCAGTGAGCAGAGAGGACAGCAGTCCTTATGAGATCAAGCTCTAAGGTGAGGTTGCAGGATCTGAAGGCCAGCTCCCCTGCTTGCTCACTGTATGACTTTAGGCAAGTCATTTTACTTCTGAATGATTCATATTGGAAGTAAAATATATGATTGGTTAAAATAGTTTCTAAATTTATTATGGGGATTAAATGGACCAATATACTCGAAGCTTTTCAGACAGAGTCTGGCGCAAAGTAAGCACTTAGAAAAATGTAAGCTTTTATTATAATAGAAACTATTAATATAATAATTATTCCTGGGTGTAAAATTAGGGAAAATCATTAGAATAGAAAGGAAGAAAGAAACAAGAATCAGAATAGGAGCAAGAGAGATTTCAAGGAAGGGGTAAGGATGTTTGGGAGATACTAGTTTTCCCCTAGACTGGTATCCAAACTAGATTTTAAAATCTTGAGATAGGGCCTTGTCTTTTATGATGGGCAGGATTTCTTTGCTCTTAGCATTGATAAAATGTGGCATGACCAGTGGCTGGTTGAATGATGTATAGCTCCAGCTGGAATCAAGATCACAGTATGCTGACCTCTGAACTTTGTAAGATTGCAATGATTACTCTTCTTCCACTCAGAGGCTCATTAGTGTCAAGCCATGGTTGTCCCTGTTTTGATGAGTATTCACCACCTGGCTACATGTGACCTGGCTTCTGGTTATAACCATACCAGCCTGCATGACTTCCCATAGCATGCTGCCATCAGACACTGCTCTCCCATCTTCTGCAACATGAGATAACTTTTCACAATTGGGGCATGAGGGGCAGTGCTAGTGGATACAACATTTTATGTCAAATCAGGGGTTCTGCAAAATGCCCCTGGTTAATTTAGTCCAGAGTCTAATGTAAAAAGGTATCTGAGTAGCACAAAATTGCATATATAATTGTTTTCCATCATTATTTTATAACTTTCCTCAATATCATCCAGGTATCCTAGACACATTTGGAGAATTCACCTGAGCTACAGGATGTGGTAAGATTTGGTGAGCAGGTGGTGATTCTTACAGAATCCCTCACACATTCATGCACAGAACTTCCCCAGCACACTCCCAGGTAGGACCACTTCCCTCTTCATTGTGCAAAGATTCACCACTGGTTCCAGCCTTCTCTGGCACTTTTAAGATATGCATCAGGTTTTATTCATCTCTGATTTTCTAGCCTCTGGCAGACTACCTGGTGTACCAGAGGCTTTGTAAGTAATAGTTAAATAAAGAGAAAACATTAAAGCAACATTGAAGGAAGAGGGTTAACCAGACTACAGATTTGAGACCTCTATCTCAGAGGGCCAACAGTCATGTTGATGTTTTCATGCTTTCTTGGATATAAAAGTCACACTACACTTTCCCTCTCGGTGACCATGTACAAAGGTTCATTTATAATTAATAGACAAAGTCTTTAATAAAGCAAACCAAATGTCATCTTTCCTTTTTTCTGCAATATGAAGTCATTATTTCCACTGGATGAAAGCACTTTTGACCTATAAAAATAAAAAAGTGAGATGTTAGGTGACTTCAGTGCATAAAAATACTGTTTCTTGTTACCAATAATATATACTCAACCATCGTCTTCATCTTTATCATGGTCTCCTGGGGCAAACTGAATCTGAGTTAGCAGGGTTTAATAAAAGTTATTCTGAACATCTGGGTCATTGTAGAGACACATATTGAAAATTGAAACACTTTATATGTCAACAGATGTTCTAGAAGAAGCCTGTCTATTTTCTCTTATTCATTTATGAGTCCAAGGAGAGGAAAAGTTCTTTGTTCATCTCTCCATCCATGATATTATGCTCCATGCCTGAACCTCACCTAATGCCTACTATGTTTTACCAGTGTTGAAGGAGTACCAAGAAGCATGAACATCATGAGTCCCAAAACTCATATAACCCCCCTGCCTTTTTTTTTTTTTTTTTTTTTTTTTTTTAGTCCTGGGCTCCTTGGCCACTAGCTGCAATATACCCTTCTCCAAGTCACTCCCCTTTGGAAGTCCTTGTTATTTCTAACAGTAGACGGAGACTTTCACCAGATGGGGATTGAGGTCCTCTCAGCTTTATCTATGCTATGAGTCTATCTGGACTGGCATATTAGGAATTTTGTGGCCTTCTGAGCAATGCACTTAATAGAGTTACTATTAGACAAAAGTTTCCTAATATGGTAAAATTTGATGGTCATAAAGATTTGAGTACTGCTATGTATTTTCTTAAAGGAAGGTAGAAATAAAAACCTACTTGTGAATCTATTGAAAACTTATTAAAGTTCCTTGAACTATTTTGTTGTGCAAAAGCTTATCTATAAGTTCTAAGGAAGAAAGAAATTCAATTTAAATAAGACTTCCATTTGGGGGAAAAAAGGAAAGTTTTATTTTTCTGCTTCTTCTGAACTTACGCTAGAGACAACACAGGTCCAAAGAATGTTTTGTAGAATAAGAGACTCCTTGAGCTTAAAGGATCTTTGAATATAACTCTCAATATTTTTCACTGTCATGAGCTTTTTGAAATTGATGAAGCCAAAATCCTTACTATGAATACATATCTCCTAGAACATTTTTTTCAGGATGTTAGGATCTTCCTGGACCTCTCAAATTAGTGATACTAATACTCATAGTCAAGATCCTGCATCTAACTCTGCCAGCAACTGCAGTCACAGACAAATGACTTTCTCCGTTTTGTTTTTTTCATTTATAAAGCAAAATTATTGTATAAGATGATTCATTCACCCTTTCTAGGTAAAGTTTTCCATTTTTCTGTTATTTAAGCTGAATATGCTGTGATTGGAGAATTCCCTTGCAGGATAACTGAACAAGAGAGTGCAGAAAGCACATCAATGCCTCCCTACCATGCCCAACTCAACTGACTCTCCATTTCACTCAGTTACATTGCAGTTTATCATGGCTCAGTAACATGAGCAAAATAAGGGGTAGTAAGATTTTATTAAAGTTATTATGAAAATCTGCCTCATTGGAAGCTTCAAGAAGTACCAGTAGGGATTAGAATGATACAAAGTAGAAAATGACTTGCTTAACTGGATGTATTTCTGAGAGCTGGATGTAACACATTTTGCATCTTCCTAGGAGACAGGAAAAATGTCTAATTCTGTGAAATTCAGGGTGTGGACCAGAAAGATAATTTGTTTTATGCATCCTGTGAGCACAAGTGATGTCGTAGCTCCACTAGAAATAAGAGCCTTTAGGGAATGGGGAAGTCCTATATGCACAAGTTTTGAAATTCAGATGGAAGAGTCTTATTTTAAAAAGGCTTTGCATGAGCCAAATGTATAAAGTTGCAACTTTATTCAACTCAACCAGAGATCCTCTGAGATGAAGCCAACAAACCCCGTCCATGTGACCTTGGCTGGCTTTGAATGGCCCCATGTGGTCCATTGACCTTCTTCAGGAAAAGGAGCCACTGGAGACAGGAAAAGGAAGAGCGTATTCCTCCAAACAATGAACACTTACATTTTCTCAGCTTTCTAGAGTAGGGTGGGATTCGAGGGGTAGAATTTCTCTGCTCTTTTTTAAGGGCATTTTTTGGTTTGTTTTTAAGGAATCATTTTTTTCCTTTCTCCAATTTGAAAATAAATTAAAGCAAAACAAGGGAGGAGAGATGACAAGATTCTCATTCATTTGTTTACCCTTTATTCCCTCTACCAACTACTTTTTGACTATTTAGTTGTAAGCCAGAGAAATAAAGTAGTAAATACAAAGCAGTGAGGAAAACTTATAATAAGCTTATCCACTTGGATATCATGTAAGCCTGTAATCATTTAAATTAGCCAGTGGGAGAAAAACTTATGAAAGAGGTGAGCTGTTCTTAGATTTGATGTCGGAGTAGGTGTCAGCTGCTGGATGAAGGAGAAGAAAGGGCATGCTAGTTGTGTAAATAGCTTGTATAAAGGCCAATGAGTAAGAAACAGCAAATATTGAAGCAAAGCTGGAGAGAATGGTGCATGGAGGTGATGAGACCAGAATAGAGTCTGTCCACAAAGCCATGCGCTAGGATGGAGAGTATGCACGGGACACTCAAGCTAGGGTGTATGAGACGAGACAGGAGAAGAGGAGGCCTCTGGTGAATTTACATCAGGGCTGAAATATGATTAGGTATGTTGCTTAGAAAGATCATTTATGCAACAGTTTCTCGGATGTTTTTGGCGATATGGGACTCAGAGGGAGGGGGCAAGGCAGAAGGCCATTGCTGATAATGTGTGAGCCATATGACTAGGGCCTGGACTTGGGCAGTGGCAGTGACATTGTTGCAGTAAATAGAGAAAGCAGGTCTCAGGGGATTTTAGGTAGTAGGATGTGGGGCATAATAATGAAACATAATAGTGAAAGAAGAGTAGACAGTGGTAGGCAATGCTCAGAAGTATTGATGGATACATGACAAGTTCAGAAAAAATTCAATTGATGCTGACAATGATAGATGCCTAACAGGAAGATGCATTAACATGGAGACAGAGAAACCTTAGTCTTCATCTATCACCACTTCAGGGGGCATGAACCATGTCCTGTAGGTATGACCACATTTCACTGTGGGAAGGCAAACACAACTGCTTTCCATGATGGGCATCTGGTCCTGGAGTCCTAGATTGAACAAAGGTTAGTTTTAGCCCCTAGACTATTGGCTTGGCCACCACACATTGGTTTTCATAAGTACAGTTATTATGTCTTGTTCATCCCTTTACATTTATGCTGGCCATGTTCTTGATATATCAGATCTATTCAATAAATGTTTACCTAATGAATACATTAAGTATGCTCTTAGACCTGCCGTGCCGAACCAGGGACCTATTGACTCCATTATTGCACTAGAGTATCATTTTTCTATAAAACTTGAGATGTGTTTCAAACTTGTCTTTGAAAACCTGGTGAATCGCCCTTGTCTTTATGACTTATCTTCATAGTCCCTGTCAGACCTTCATACAAATGAATAAAATTTGCTTTGAGAACCAGTACTTTCTCTCCTATGCTCAGGTTAACTTTTCCCATATCCCAAGCTTTATTCCTCCTTGAAGGCTCTATTACAATAGTTTTTCCCACTGCACTTCATCCAGAGTCTTTGTTCTTCATTGCTATATGTAGATATGAATGATTGACAACATTTAAAAATGCTACATTTTACTGACAAAGTTTGGATTTTCACCAATGTCTATGCCCGAAATAGAAGACATCTCTTTCTCCTCTAGGCATCCACGATACTTAATATTAGCCTCTGCTCCTTCCAAATGCTGAACTTCTCCAGGGCTGGAACTGAATCATGTTTATCAATTTAATCTTAAGGACTTGATAAATAAATTCTTGCTGAATGAATAGTTGAATTACAGCCTGTAGTCAGCATTTTGAGAGGTCATGTTTTGAGATCTGTGACCTTCCCTGGTCTCCTGGAGTCACACTACCTTGTCTCTGTCTTCATCATTTCTATCATCTCTGTTTCTCTTTCTCATGTTTATCTCTGAATATATACTTAAATTTTTATTACATTATTTAATCAATTTATACTTATAAAATTTGGCCGAATGCATATTTTCTCAACTCTCTTCCTATAGATCCGCCCTTGGATCATCTAAAAATAATGAATGTCCCTTTAATTTATGATGTGAAGAAGAGGAAGCACGGGTCCCAGAGTCAGGGGCCTGCATGGTTGTCCTGGCCCGAATGTCTCACCTGTGTGGCCCTGGGCAAGTCATTCTGATGACCGGTTATGGCAGTGGTGGTTGTGAAGGCAGTTGTGATGATGGAACTTAAATTTCTGTCTGACCCCCAAGATAATTCCTGGGATTTGACAGGGGAAGGATTCCTGAATGAGAAAAGCCATTTCTTGAACACTTCGGTGTCCCTGGACTTCCCCACCATGAGTTTATCTTGGCTCTAGGGCAACACCATGCCCAGATGTGAAATGCAAGCAAGTCTGGCACTGGGAGATGTCCAAATATTCTCGGCTTCCGAGAATGTGGGTATTTGGTAGCAGGAGAGTTTGTCTTTGGAACATGAGATTCTTCTAGGTCTCCTCCTTTCCTGACCCCTGTGAATCTGAAAGACTGTGGAGTTTATTTTCAGTCCTGGGGCTTATAAGTCCTGCTGTTCTGGTCAGGCTCAAATTCCGCAGAACAATGAATCCATTTTGCAGCGTAGGAAAAGACCCACATACCCGGCCTTCATTTCACTACATGTGTTTCTGTTGAGATTGACCACAATCAGAATGTGCTGGACAAAGGGAGATGGAGGCTTCTTGGCCTTTTATAAATGGTAGAGCAGCAGCTGGTCTTGGAAGGATCAACAACTTAACAATATCCAGATCCAGCATGACAACTTCCAAAACCTCAAGTGTGTGAGGAGCGGTGATGAGCAGGGAGGCAAAGACTTTAGTAGCCACAGCAGGAAGACTGGGTTGCAAGGGACAGGGGAATATGGTAGTCGGCATGGAAGCCAGGACACCCTCACCCCGGGCTGCACAGCATCTTCATAGTGTGGGCAAAACCTGCAGAGGTGGGGCTCCTTTGCTGCAACAGCCCCAAGTCCTTCCGCTCTTTTCCTCCACATTCAGCCAAAGGATTTCTTGGGAAAAAATTTCACAGAGAAATAACCAGAGCAAAGTGTTAGTGACAGAGAAATGTGATCAAGTTGTCCCTGTTCTCCTTCATTAAACAGTGCCTTACACTTGTTGGGACAATCCTCCAATAACAGATCTTCTGTAGCTAAAGTAATGAGAGAGATGAATGTATCTAGAGGCTCAAAGCGCCATTCATGGACGAAATGGACCTTCCTTGCCTGGAAAGACCTGATGTCCTTTTCATTTTTTCTTTAAGCTTCACTATGTGTATCTTAGCACAAACCTAACTTGTTTAGCAGTAGATGAATCATGACATACCAATGCTGGGTGAAAATATACAAGATACTTAATATGTTATTTCCAAAGGAAAGGAGTTCACCAATATCTTTTGCTCCTTGACCTCTGAACAAATATTTTATTGTTTTGTTTTTGCTTTCCTTTGTGTGGAGACTGGGTTCTTGCTATGTTGCCCAGGCTAGTCGCTAACTCCTGGGCTCAAGCTATCCTCCCGCGTCTGCCTCCTTAAGTGCTGGGATTACAGTCGTGAGCCACCCTACACAGCCTGAACAAATATTTTCATTGAAGTCACGCACATTTCTGCAGATCTGGTATATTTCCAGGATATCACTTAGTATTTTTGGACTCAAAGCCAGAACTGCAAATTCAGTCAGAAGCAGCCCTGCATTCATGGTCAGAACGCCAGAATTCTAGCTGGGTTTCTAATTTAGCCAGCAGTGTGACTTAGAGCAAATCACATAACCTCTGGCGGATTTTAAAAACTAGATAATAGACTAGATAGTGTAAATGTCTTTTCAACTTTTAGAGTTTGTATGGCCCCATTAAAATTTGTGAAGTTTTATTGTCTATTTATTTGTTTTGTTTTTTTAGAAAAGTTGCTAAAACTGCTGTGAGATTCTGGCTAAGAAAGTTTCATGAGAAGTTTTACAGAAAAATGTGAACGGAAGACAGAACTAGATATAAATTTGAATGGTAATCTAAATAAAAGACATTTTTCATTTTAATGCTTTATTTATTAGTGTCATGGAGGGAATACATGAAGAGAAAGAAAGCATTTAAATGTATAGAAAATTCAGCTTTTTCAAAAATATGAACTATATTACTAATAGCAGTCCTTGGAATTTTGGTGTGCTTGTATTCATCATCCGTGTCTAAAATAATCCCTATCCAATCCAATAATAAAACCCCAAATTACCAAATTTTAGTGTACTTGAGTTTATTTTTATATAACTTTTAAAAAACCTGGGGATTTTTATCATATGCACAAATGGTACAAATGGTGACTTGAAAATGTTTGTAGATGTTTTCATTATTTTGAAAAGGAAAAACAAAACAAAACAAAAAAACTAAGGGTTGAATTTAGTAAAGGAAGATGAAAATTTTCTCCTGAGAACTACAATCAGAGAAGAGATTTTGAACCAATAGTTTTGGAAGAAATAAGGTGAAAAAGAAGACCGGAATCTGCGAACTTCTCTCTGGTTTTTGAAAAATGTGCCCATGGAAGTAATGTGATTTGGCACAAAGATATCACAGGCAGAAGAAGGCCGTATCCCAGGAATAGGGTGGAGGTTTGAGAAATAACCCCTCAAGCTATGAAAACTTTAAATCGTCACTTTGTAAGACCATTCTTACAATATACAGCTGATGTACTGAGTCTCTGGATTATGGTAATAACTGGCATGTGTGATGAATAAATTAGAGAAATAGTTTTAAAACTATTGGTATTAGCTGGAGAACCAGTCAGATAACAACATATGACTTAAAAACTATCTAAGTAGGGATATTGTTTACATCACCTCAGAACAAAGGGCGAAATGGGAATGGTGAAGAAAACAATTCTAAATAATTTTATTAAGCAAAAGACTATAAATGGAAATTAATAGCATAATGCTCATCAATAATATTTTATTTAATTAATTAGGTAATTAAATATATATATATATATATTTTTTTTTTGAGACAGTCTTGCTCTGTCACCCAGGCCTGGAGTGCAGTGGAGCAATCTCAGCTCACTGCAGCCTCCGCCTCCCGGATTCAAGTGATTCTCCTGCTTCAGATTCTCGAGTAGCTGGGATTACAGGTGCGTGTTGCCACACCTGGCTAATCTTTGTATTTTTGGTAGGGACGGGGTCTAACCATTTTGGCCAGACTGCTCTAGAACTCCTGACCTCAGTTAATTCACCTGCCTTGGCCTCCCGAAGTGCTGGGATTACAGATGTGAGCCACAGTGCCAGGCCTATTTATTTAGGATATTTAGGGTCTTGCCCCATCATCCAGGCTGCAGTGCAGTGGTGCAATCATAGTTCTCTCCAGTCTCCAACTTCTGGGCTCAAGCAATCCCATCTGCCTCAGCCTTTCCAGCAGTTAGGACAACAGGCATGCACTACTAGGCAAAGCTTTTTTTTTTTTCAATAGATACAGGATCTTGCTATGTTGATCAGGCTAATGTCAAACTCCTGGCCTCCCAAAGTGTTGAGCTAACAGGTGTGCGAGCTACCACACCCAGCCAATATTATTTTAAACGAAATACAACTCCTCTGCTTTTATCTTTGTTTAGTATTACATCTTTATTGTTTCTGTAAACATAATAAAACATAACGGACTTATATAAGGTTACTCATACATTCTCCAACACTATTTTACAAATACAGTCTGCAAATTAATTTACTACAGAAATTTTGGCTAGACTAAATGAGGGACTGTTTCCATTCTGTCACCCTAAGGAGGATGGTTACTAACTGTGAGACCAATAAATCTGCTATCTGACCAACAGTCTCAAGAACAGTCATGATTTTATTTATGTATGTACTTAATTAGCTTGATTTCACCCTATTTTATTTTCTTCTATTTTATTTTAACCAATGTCATTAGGGAAAATGAGGTTGAGATTAAAGGCAATTTTTCTCTGAATAGTTTTCTCTGAATAATTTTTGTACACAACTTTAATTGAATTATTTCTTTGCCGAAAATGGAATTAAAGTGTGTGACTTTTTATCATGAAAAAGTCAAAAAAATTAAATAATTCAGCATATATGTTACTGGAGATGAGATAAAACTGTACAGGGAAACTTTTATAAATAGCCTGCATGAGAGAAGCCAAGGTGGATCTTACAAACATCTGAAAGTAATAACCCAGACTCAAATATAAAAGTAAACAATAATACATCCCTAGTGAGCCCCACCTCCCACTTTGGCTTGGAAATTGGTCCTCTAGGCTCTGTATTTTATGAACCATTATCCTAAAAGATATACTGTAAAAAGTAGTATCAGACTTAAATTCGCTACTATTAAAGCTGTTGCCTGTTGTTAAAATGCTCCCAGCAGAAATTGGTAATATCCCTTTAAACTTGATATAGTGCATACTGAGATTGCTATGCTGATCTTCACTCAACAGTTTTCTAGCATTAAAGCAAGTGTTTTGATAAACCTCTTAAATTATTACTTTCTAATCAATGCATGTTAAAATGGTGGAGATTCCTTTTTTGATCAATGAAAGAAAGAATGACAATATGAGATCTTTTTAAAATTGCCATTTTGTATGAGTCTGTTCAGTCATTCAGTGAGTTTTCTAATGGAAAAGTGCATTTGAAAGCCAATCACTGAAGTTAAGGAATTTGGGAGCACTGTGATAGGTGCCATGTAAGACACAAAGATGAATATGAATCTAAAGAGCTTACCCCCTACCGGGAAAATCAAACAAATGCCAGTCAAACATCAAGGCCCTATAAAATTTTAAATTGCATAATTTAATTGAGGTTGGACTTCTGGCTATTGCAGAGTAATAAGATAGGCAAACCCTCTCCCCCAAAAGCAAGTTGAAACTAAACAAATTGTCAAAAACAATCATTTCAGAGCTCTGGAAATTTTCTAAATCAAAGCAACACATTCAGAAATGTTTATTTATGAAAAACTCCTATAACTTTGGGTAAAATAAACCATATGATGTTCCACAAAAAATTATAAATAAATTTGAAGGAATTGGAGTCATGCAAGGTATGTTCTCTAAACAAAATGGAATACATTTGAAATCAACAAGAGAAAGAAATTTGGGAATTTCCAAATTTTTGGAAATAACACAACTCACTTCTAAGTAAGAAAAAGATAAATGAAGATATCGAAGAGAAAATTAGAAAGGAATTTTAATTGAATGAAAATAAAAAACATAAAATTATGGTTTGTAGCTGAAGCAATGTTCAGAAGGATATTTATAGCTTTACACACACACACACACACACATATACACACACACAAAGAAAGATCTCAAATAAAGAATCTAAGCTCTACATTAAGAAACTAGAAATGGAAGAACAAATTATATCCAAACAGAGTATCAAGAATATTTAATAGAGGAACAGAGTGAAACTAAAATAGAACACAAAACAGAGAAAATTAATAAAACCAAGCATTGACTTTTAAAAATATTTTTTAAATGATAAAACTTTAGCTAGACTGACTAAGAAAAAAAGGAATATTTTAATCAGTTTAAATGATGACCCCTCTTTCATCCCTGATAGTGGTAAGTTGATATCCTTTCTGTTATCGACTGAATGTCGGTGTTCCCCCAAAATTCCCTTGTTGAAATCTCATCCTCAGCGCGATAGTATTTAGAAGTGGGATCTTTGAAAGATAATTAGGCCACGAGGGTAGAGCCCTACAACATGGTACCATAGACTGGTTGGCTTTGAAACAGGAGCATATTTCTCATAGTTGTGGAGGCTGAGAGTCCACTATCAGAGTCCCAGCTGATGCTGTGATTAGAGTCCCAGCAGGTGCTGTGAGAACTCTCTTCTGGGTTGAAGACGGTCAACTTCTCCCTATATTCGCTGGTGAAATAAGAGCTACACAGTTCTCTGCCCTTTTCTTATAAGGGCACTTATTCCATTTATGAGGGCTCTACCCTCGTGGCCTAATTATCTTTCAAAGATCCCAATTCTAAATACTATCATGCTGAGGATGAAATTTCAACAAGGGAATTTTGGGGGAACACCAACATTCAGTCGATAACAGAGAGGATATCACCTTACCACTATCAGGGATGAAAGAGGGGTCATCATTATATATACATTTAAAACATATTGAGACACCTTTTTGACAAAAATATGACAACATATATTAAATGGAAAAAAATTCCTAGAAAAATATAATTACTGAAACTGACTCAAGAACTGATTTATAGAAAAGATGAATAGACCTATTGGAAATAAAGACATTGACTCTGTAATGTAAAAATCTCTTTGGAAAGGAAAGCCCAGGTGTAAATGGCTTTACTGGTGAATTCTACCAAATATTTAAAGAGTAAATATAAATACTAATTGTACTCAAACTATTCCAGAAAACAGAGAAGGAGAAAACACTTCCAACTCACTTCATAAGATCAGTATAACTCTGATACAAAACCCCCAAAAAGACACTAAAAATAATAAGAAATAATATATATCGGTAACCCTCTTGAACATAAATGTAAAAATCCTCAAAAAATTTAGCAATGTAATTTCAGCAATATGTAAAAATGATTATATTTGAAGACCAAGTGAGATTTATCTCAGGAATACAAAGTTAGTTTAACATGTAAAAGCTAATCAATGTAATACAAGTATTGATAGAATAAAGGAGGAGCACAATACATGATTATCTCAATAGATTCAGAAAACATTTGACAAAAGGTAGCACCTATTCATGATAAATTTTTTTTTTTAAATGTGGAATAGAAGCTAATGTTCTCTAAGTGGTACAGGGATATGGGAAAAACCTGTAGCTAATATCATTCTTTACAGTGAAAGATTGAGTGCTTTCCCCACAATATAAGGAATGCAGTGAATATTTCTTTTCTCACTACTCCTATTCAAGTTTTTACTAAGTTTCAAATTAAAGGAATCCAAACTGGAAAGGAAGAAAATTGTATTGGTTTACAGACATGATAATACATGCAGAAAATCTTAAAGAATATGTATTTTAAAAAGCTACTAGAATAAATCACTTACTAATTTCATATAATACAAAATCAATATACTGTATTTTTTTGTGGATGACTTGATAATGTTTGTAGAAAATTCTAAAGAATATCTTAAAAACCCTACTAGAACAAATAGATGAGTTCAGAAATTTCACAGGATGCAAAATCAACATAAAAAAAATTTATTTCTACATACTAACAAAAAGAAAGAAATCAATTCTACTTAAGCTAATAACACAAATAATAAAATACTAAGAATTAATTTAACAAAATAAATACTTTTGCATTGAAAACTACAAAATATTGCTAAGAAAAATCGAGAAGATGTAAATAAGGACTCAATAATTTTAGGATAGAAAATTTCCTTTAATTGATCTATAGATTCAAGGCAATCCCCAGCACAATCCTAGCAGGCTTTTTATGTCACCCACACTAAAGTGCAGTGTTTATTCACAGGTGCAATCATAGTGCACCACAGCCTTGAAATTCTGTGCTCAACTGATCCTCCTGCTTCAACTTTCCCAGTAGCTGAGACTACAGGTATATCTGGCCTAGCAGAATTTTTATGGAAAAACTGACAGAGTAATGTTATAATTTATGGAAAAATGCAAATTACTATGAATAAAAAAATGAAAAAAAATTAGGGAACTTGTACTCCCAAATTTTTAAATTTAATATCAAGCTACAGCATCAAGAAACACTGTGGTACTGGTTTAAGGATAGACCTATATATCCAAGGAATACAATAGGGAGGCTGGAATTAAGGTATCAAGGAAATCTAATTTGAAAAGAATCATGTTTTCGATATATGATGCTGGACAATGAGATGTCTTCATAAGAAATATAATCTTAGATCCTTAACTCACACCATATACAAATATTATCTCAAAATGTGTCATAGATCTAACTGTTAAAATGAAAAATATAAAGTGTCTAGAAGAAAATATAGAATGAAATCTTTGCGATTTTGGATAAAACAAAAATGTTTTAGATATGATATTAAAAACAGCATTCGTCAAACAAAAACTTGGTAAATGAACTTAATAAAGGTTCTGCAACTAACATGACCTTAAAATAAAAATTCATGGCACAGACAAGGAGAAAATATTTGCAAATCAAATATCTGATAAAGGACTTATATTCAGAATGCAACTCAACAGTAAGAAGTCAAGCAACGGAAGTAAAAAATGGGAAAGATTTTAATACATATTTCATATCCCCTCTATATACATACTTATACATATTTAATATATACTTATGTATATAAACATGTATATATAAATATATACCCATGATTAATAAGCACATGAAAATGCATTTAACTGCACTGTCATTAAAGGAGTGCTAATGAAAATCACAATGGTCTTCATGAGAGACCTACTAGAATGCTGTACTAAAAAACTGTGGATACTAAGAGTTGAAGTGAGTATAGAACAGTAGAATACTAAAAAATGCTAGACAGAAGGTAAAAGAGTCCAGCAACTTTGATAAATTATTTATATATTAATATTTCTTAAAAAGTTAAACACATAATATATGACTCAGTAATTACAGTCCGAAGTATCTGCCTAAGAGAAATAAATACAGGTGCACAGAATGACATAGCAGCATTATTCTTCCTAACTCCAAACTAGAAATAACGCAATTGTCCATCAACTGATGAATGGATGAACACATGTGACCTGTGTGTACATGAAATACAGAATACTGTCCAGGAATAAAAATAAATGAACTACTCATGCGTACTGCAACATAAATTGACCTCAAAATATTATACTAAGTGAATGAAGTCAGATTTAAAAGACTACATAATATGTGATTTCATTATATGAAATTTCTAAAAAAGCAACTCTAAAAACAGAAAGCAGATCAGTGATTTGGTAATGTAGGTGGGAGCTGACAGTACGAGGCAATTTTGGAGAATATTGGAAATGTTCTAAAAATGCCCAGTGGCGATGGCTGCAGAAACCCATTAAATTATTAAAAATCGGTAAAAATTAAATATGTAGTTTCATATCTTCATGCTTTGACACATTTTACATAGAAATGTCCTTCTACTCACCTGTGTTTCCCTCATTAACTCTTATTCACCCTTCAAAACCAATCTCAATTGTTACATGATTTTCTAAGGTTTCCCAGACATTTCAGAGGTACTTGATAATATCTATCTTTCTGTACCATGTTCATTTTATATATATATTTGACTCCGTCATTGGACCAGGGGCTATTGAGGAAAGACTCCTGGATATCTTATTTATCATGGCAGTCTTGGTGTCTGACATGTTGTTGGCATTTAAAGATATGCTACATAAATCAGACTATGATAGCTACAGAAATTCAGGTTAAATTAAAAAAGGAACTGAACATCCATGGGTCATGTATTAAAATCAGGATTTTTAGATACATTTACTTATATAATTCTCACAAAAACCCTTTGAAGTAAGGATTTCCATCCTTGTTTTGCAGATGGGAACACTGAGGTTCAGAAAGATATGTAATATATTCGTTGGCAAACTACTATTACAGATTGTTAGGGGCACAGTTGAGCTTCTGGAGGCGGAGACCAGGGTCCGCGAGTTGCTTCCCTGCATATTAGTTACAGATTGGTCAAGGCATGTGACTTCTCCCAGCCTCAGTTTCTTCATTTTTAAAATAATTGTCATATTACCATATAAAAGATGCACGTTATGTATAATATCATACAGTGTTGTGTATTATGTTTAAAATAGCCACTGCTTGCCAAAAGTGTTGCTCAACAGCAGTTAGCTATTCCTATCATCACTGCAGTCATTTCTTGTGAGCTTACTTGCAGGTCTCTCTCTCCCCAACATCTCTCTTAGTTTTGAGAAGAATGCGAAGAAGAAAGGAAGAGTGAGCCTCTCTTTCCCATCGTTACCCTCCATTGTCCTCTTGACACCCTGCTTTCACAGAGAAAGAGTTTGAGACCCTCTCCCAGGAGCCAAGGAGAGGGGAACAGCTGGCTTCACATCATCTTTCTATTCAACAAGATACAAAAAGCTGAAGCCAGGATGATAGAAAAGCAACAAAGAAGACACGGTCCTTACTCATTTCCCTTCCCACTTCAGAGCAAATGTGAGAAAAGATTTCATGCAATGCTTTAGAGAGGGGATGCCTCAGACAATCGGTCATCAGTGAGGAAGAACTGAAGCAAAACCTGCTGAGCTGTGAGGCTGACTTGCTTCTCAGGCAGCGCTGGGATGATGTATTGTCCTTCCTGACTTGTGACAAAGAGAACTATTCGGTGCTGGGGTTGAGCTAGGGATATGATAGATATCTTTAATTATATGATAATCAGAGATGAGCTAATTAGATATCACTTGATAACTGATCAGTGGCAGCATTCATATAACTGTTTCTCATTTCCTCCTCACATCAATTTAACAGATGGTGCCTGGTGTTCGAAGGGAGAACTTGTGGGCAGAGCAGGAAGCGTGAGTATGGTTGAAGGATCAAATATTTGGTTCAGGCATCAGGGAGCCAGCAAGACTATGATGCTGGGAAACACAAGTGATGTACTGTTGGATTTAATCTACTTGGAAAAAACCTAGGAAAACCAAAATGTCATCAACTAACACCTGAAATGCCTCAGCACCATCTGTCTCCAACATTAAACAAAACCCACGAGATTCCAGGAGAAAGAAAATAGGAAATTTAATGATGAACTTAACCTGAGTAACTTGATAAATGTTACCTTTGTGGCTAGCCATTCACCAGCAAGTCCCTAAAATGACCTGAAACCTGAAGAGTGTTTCACCCATGAAAGGGTTTGCTCTCTCTGGGCATGGCTACCCAGCACATATGTTAGTCAACTTTCTTTCCCTTGCAGGGCCCCTTGGAAAACTAGTTTGAATCATTCATTAACTCAGCTCCACTCCTTCCCTTTCCCATGGACCATAGTTTCTTTGAGCAATTAAAACTTATAAGACACCAAAATTTAGCAGTGAATATGCACTTAACAATATTGAAACTCTCTTTCACATTCACCGACCCACTACAATCTGCCACACACTATACTAGGCACTGGGTATAAAAAATTAGCCATACTACAACATGCCATTGTAGTATTTCTTTAGAAATGCTACAGTTTTATAAATTAGTAAGGCCAAATCAATGACTGTGGAACATAATTGTAAATTGGCATGCACTATAAGGGGCCTCCGGATTTCACAGCTGTGAAAATGGGAAAAATGTGCAAGGAAATAGAGTCAATGTCATTGACGTAGGTTTGTGATAGCTGCGTTTGCTTTGTGGTATGACCATTTATTTTATGTAGTGAAAACCAAGTTTTTTAAAGAGAAAAAAAAACATGTCATCACGGGGAATTTAAGTGCCTGTTTTCATCAATGGCTTTTCAAGTTTAGTCAATTCTACTTTTTACCAACAAGCCTACGTGGTAGTTAAAAAAAAATTGGCACAAGTAGACTCTGATGAGTTTGTATCAATTTTATTTTTCTAGAATGAACTAGCCTTTGAATTAGCTGAATAAAACTCAAAATAATTACAGAAGAGAAACCCATTTTTGTCACCTCTACCTCCTTGTTTCATCACAGGGTTTTTTTTTTTTTTGACATATAAAGTCATTTAGAAACAAACAAGCATGCATTCTCTAATTGTATAAATATGAATGAAATCTTTTCTATATCTAATATTTATAACATAATTATATCTGAGCATGGAAGAATTGATGCTTTTTTTTGCAAAAAAAAAAATTTACTAAGCATCTATAATATTCCAGGAGTACTGGGTACATGTTAACAGAGATAACCTCAAAATGTCATAAGAGCTTTGATTCATGGATTGATAAGAAGCATTTAAATGTTTCTCATATCAAAGAAGTTGTATTATTGAAGTTTATTCTTAAAAAATATTACACTAAGTTACATCACTGAGAGTATTGCTAGATACAGCCAAAGTAGAAAACTCTCCCTAACCGCAGGAGAGTCACAGCAATTAGAACTTTAGAGAAACTATTTGATCTACGTAGACCTCAGTCTCCTTGTTTAGAGCACAAAAACACTAGAATTTATGCTAAACAACTTACAAAGATATGTAATATAATAATTTTGTAATTCTATGGTCTATGTTGGAATTTTAAGTGACAATAAAGCACAATATTTTGTTTTTAATAAATATAAATGTAATAATATTTTGGGGTAAATGACTTTTCAATTAAGTGCTTACTAGTTTATTTAAAATCTTAAAAAATTTCAAACCTTTTAGGCATGATACCAGGAACTTATGATGAAAGGAGGCAAGGAATATGAAGATGGGGAGAATATCTCAGGAGCTGGGCACGCTTTCCGTTTAAACCATATGTACTCATCTGCATGCATACATCTGGCATCCAAAAAAGGGAAATTTGACGTTTTTGATCCTGTCTGCTGAAAATCCTTGCCCTCTCTCCACTTTTTCTTCTAAAACTCTTTTTCTCTTTCTAGGTGTATCCATTTTCTAATTTCATCTTATTTTCCTGCATATGTGCTCATGACTTGGACCTGATATGAGATTTTGCTTCTCCCATTTTTGCCTCAATATTACCCCTTGGATACATATCATGGTCCCCTGGCTCCAACCACTCTGCAGATTTCCCATGCAAATCCCCATCGTGCCCCGATTCCCAGGACCAAGCCCCTGCCCACCTCAATCTATTTGACTCACACCTCTTTTGGACCATTGAGTCCTCTGATGAGTTAAAAGCAGCCATAAATTCTTAGGTGATGAGAAGGGTAATGAAGAAGACAGATCTCCTTCCAGAAGGGGGCTGCATTTCATTTGGAGACATTGCCATAAACACATAATAGGTGGAGAATTTGAGACCACTTGCTTTGAGTACAGTTCTTATACAACATATCAACATTTGTGGGATGAAGCTTAAGAAGTGCTCACGTGGGAATTTATAGACTTACATGTTTACATTAGAAAAAAATAGTTTTCAAATTAATGACATGTTTTCATCTAAAAATGGTGGAAGAATAAGAGCAACTCAAACTGAAAAGCAGTGGAAGGAGGAAAATAAATATGGGAACAAAGATCAACAAAAGTGAAAACAGTACAGGAATAAAAATAGATCAAATTTGTTAATTTTTAGATCTAAATTTAGATCTAAATTTGATCTATATTTAGATCATACCCAGAAGTTTGTTTCATGAAAACTCATCAAACAAAAATTATGAAGAAAAACAAGAGAAAACACAATATACCAAGTATTTGGAGCAAACAAGAAAATATTATAACATAGTCTATAGAAACTTAAAAAAATTATATTGCATCACAAATAACTTTATATTAATAAATTTAACAACCTATGCCAAATGATTTAATATATTAAAAAAAAACAATTTACCAAAACTGGCACGTGAAGAAATAAAATCCAAATGTTTCCTTAACTATTAAACTATCAAACATGTATTAGGAAAAAGCAGAACTCTCCATTATGATAGATTCTACCAATAATTTAAAGTAGAGGGAGGCAGAGCAAGATGGCTGAATAGAACCCTCCAGCAATTTCTACCCCCCACCATACCCCAGGAATAGCAAATCGAACAACTGTCCACTCAATAAAGCAACTTCATAAAAACCAAGAAGCAGGTGAGCTATTACAGTACCTGGTTTTAACATCATAGCAAGGAAAGAAGAAGCTCTGAAGAAGACAGGAAAGACAGTCCTGAATTGCCAACACCACCCTTCACACATTTCCTCGACAGCAGCCTTGTGGTGCAAAGAAAGTCTGTGAACTTGGGAGACGGAGAGTGCTGTGAGTGTGGGACTTTGCATTGGAACTCAGTGCTGCTCTATCACAGTGGAAAGCAACATAGGTCAGAATTCGACCAGTGCTCACAGTGGGAGCATTTAGACAAGCTCTGGCCAGAGGGGAATTGTCAATGCCAGTGACCAGAACCTGAGTTCCAGCTAGCCCCACCCCCATGGGCTAAAGCACTCTGGGGTCTTAAATAAACTTGAAAGGCAGTATAGGCCACAAAACCTACAATTCCTGGATAAGTCTTACTGCTGTGCAGGGCTCAGAGCCAGTGTACTTGAGGAGCACATGACCTACTGAGACACCAACTGGGCTGGCAAAAGGAGTGCCTGCATCATCCCTCCCCAACCCGAGTAAGTGCCGCCTACAGATCTAAGAGAGATTCCTTCCTTTCACTTGAGGAGAGGAGAAGGGAAAGTAAAGAGGACTTTGTCTTGCAACATGGATACCCAGCTCAGTAACAGTAGAATAAGGCACCAGGCAGAGTCCTGAGGATCCTATTCCAGGCCTTGGCCCCTGGCTAACATTTATAGACACAGCCTGGGCCAGAAGGGAATCTGCTACCTGGAAAGGAAGGACCCAGTCCTGGCAGAATCCATCACCTGCTTACTAAAGAGCCCTTGGACCCTGAATAATTAGCAGCAATACCAAGGCAGTACTCACCATGGGCCTTAAGTGAGACTCAGAGACATGCTGGCTCCACGTGTGACTCAGAACATCCCCTGCTGTGGTGACTATGGGGAGAGACTTCTGCTCTAGGAAAGGAGAGGAAAGCAAAGAGGACTTTGTCTTGTAGATAGTGTGCGGTTGGGCCATTGTGGAGAGAGTACTAAGTGGGCTCCTGGGGTCCCCAATTCCAAGTCTTGGCTTCTGGATGAGATTTCTGGAACAACCGTGGTCCAGAAGGAACCCCACTGCCTTGAAGGAAGAAATCCAAGCCTGGTAGCTTTCACAATAAGCTGAATGAAGAACCCTCGGTCCTTGGGTGAACATTAGCAGTAGCCAGACGGCACTTACTATAGGCCTGTAGCGGGAGTGGCCATGGGGAGAGACAGCTTCTGCATGAGAAGAGGAGATGAAAGAGGGGGGAGAATTTTGTCTTGCAGCTTGGGTGCCAGCTCAGCCACAGTAAAGTAAAGCACCAAGTGAATTCCTAAGGTTCCTGACTCTAGACCTGGGCTCCTAGATGACATTTCTGGACCAACCCTGGAATGGGACAGTAACTCGCCATCCTGAAGGGAAGGACATAAGGCAAACTGAATTTGGCACCTCCTAACTGAAGAGCCTTTGGGCCTTGAGTGAAAATTGACAGTACCAAGACCGTACTCACTGCAGGCCTTAGGCAAAACCTACTGCTATGTTGGCTTCAGATGTGGCCCAATGTAGTCCCAGTGTTGGTGGTTACAGGGGTGCTATGTCACACCTCCCCAAGCTCCAGGCAGCTCAGCATGGACAGAGAGAGACTATATGTTTTCTTGGGAGAAAGTAAGAGAACAGAACAAGAGTTTTCCTGGTAATCCAGGGAATTCTCCTGGGTCTTACCCAAGACCACCAAGGAAGTATATCTACAAGTCTACAAGAGTCATAGCATTACTGGGCTTGGGGTGTCCTCTAATGCAGATACAGCTGCAGTGACCAAATATTTAGATCAAAACACTAAATTCCCCTTGAGTACTTTGGAAGCCTTTCCAAGAAAGATGGGTACAAACAAACCCAGACTGCAAAGACTAAAATAAATACCTAACTTTTCAATGTGCAGACATCAACAAACATCCACAAGCATCAAGACCATCTAAGAAAACATAACTCACTAAACAAACTAAATAAGGCAGCAACGACCAGTCCCAGAGTGATGGAGACATGTTATCTTTCAGACAGAATTTAAAATAGCTGCTTTGAGGAAGCTCAACAAAACTCAAAGTGACACAGAGAAGGAATTCAGAATCCTATCAGATAAATTTAACAAACAGAAATAGTTTTAAAAAATCAGTTTAAAAAATTCTAGAGCTAAAAAATTTATTTGATATACTAAAGAATGCATCAGAGTCTTTCAACAGAAGACAACAGAAAATAAAATAATAAAAAAAGAATAAAGCACACCTCCAAAATCTAGAAAATAGCCTCAAAAGGAAAAATCTAAAATTGGCTTTGAAGAGAAGGTACAGAAAGAGAGATGGGGGTAGAAAGTCTATTCAAAAAGATAATAATAGAGAACATTTCAAATCTACAGAAGGATATCAACATTAAAGTACATACAGAATGAATGATGTTGGGAAAACTGGCTAGCCATGTGCAGAGAACTGAAACTGGACCCACTCCTTACATCTTATACAAAAATTAACTCAAGGTGGATTAAAGACTTAAACGTAAGACCTAAAACCATAAAAAAAAAACTCTAGAAGAAAACCTAGGCAATACCACTCAGGACATAAGTTTAGGCAAAGACTTCATGATTAAAATACCAAAAACAAGGGCAACAAAAGCCATAATTGACAAATGGGATCTAATTAAACTAAAGAGCTTCTGCACAGCAAAAGAAAGTATCATCAGAGTCAACAGGCAACCTTCAGAATGGGAGAAAATTTTTGCAATCTATCCATCTGACAAAGGGCTAATATCCAAAATCTACAAAGAACTTAAACAAATTTACGAGAAAAAAACAAACAACCCCATTAAAAAGCAGGCAAAGGATACGAACAGACACTTCTCAAAGAAGACATTTATGAGGACAACAAACATGCAGAAAAAAGCTCGTCATTGCTGGTCATTAGAGAAAAGCAAATCAAAACCACAATGAGATACCATCTCATGCCAGTTAGAATGGTGATCATTAAAAAGTCAGGAAACAACAGATGCTGGAGAAGGTGTGGAGAAATAGGGATGCTCTTACACTGTTGGTGGGAGTGTAAATTAGTTCAACCATTGTGGAAGACAGTGTGGCAATTCCTGAAGGATCTAGAACCAGAAATACCATTTGACCCAGGAATCCCGTTACTGGGTATATACCCAAAGGATTATAAATCTTTCTACTATAAAGACACATGCACACGTATGTTTATTGCAGCACTGTTCACAATAGCAAAGACTTGGAACCAACCCAAATGCGCATCAGTGATAGACAGGATAAAGAAAATGTGGCACATATACACCATGCAACACTATGCAGCCATAAAAAAAGGATGAGTTGATGTCCTTTGTAGGGACTTGGATGAAGCTGGAAACCATCATTCTCAGCAAACTAACAGAAGAACAGAAAACCAAACATCGCATGTTCTCACTCATAAGTGGGAGCTGAACAATGAGAACACATGGACACAGGGAGCAGAACATCACACACTGGGGCCTGTTGGAGGGTGGGGGGCTAGGGGAGGGATAGCATTAGGAGAAATACCCAATGTAGATGACGGGTTAATGGGTGCAGCAAACCACCATGGCATGTGTATACCTATGTAACAAACCTGCATGTTCTGCACATGTACCCCAGAACTTCAAGTATAATAAAAAAAGGAAAAAAAAAAAGAAAACCAAGAGCAAACCAAACCTAAAATTAGAAGAAAAGAAATATTAATAATCAGAATATAAATAAATGAAATTGAAACTAAAAATATACAAAATATCAACAAAATGAAAAATATTTTTTGAAAGATAAACAAAATTAGCAAACTTTTAGCCAGACCAAGAAACTCAGAGAGAAGACCAAAATAGATAAAATCAGAGATGTAAACGGTGACATTACAACTGATATTGCAAAAATTCAAAGGATCCCTTGGAAGCTAGTATTGGCAACTATATGCCAATAAATTGTAAAATCTACAGTTACTAGGGAGGCTGAGGCAGGAGAATCATTTGAACCCAGGAGGTGGAGGTTTCAGTGAGCCGAGATCACCCACTACACTCCAGCCTGGCGTCAGAGCGAGGCTCCGTCTAAAAAAAAAAAAAAAATTGTAAAATCTAGAAGAAATGGATACATTCCTAGACACATACAACCTACCAAGATTAATATGTGAAGAAATCCAGAACTTGAACAGACAAATAACAATTAATGAGATTAACAAAGCTGTAATAAAGAGTAATAAAGAAGGTAAAACGTTAAAAAATCAAGAGTTTTCTAGGAATGAAAAGCCTGGAAACCAATGACTTCATTTTTGAATTTTTCCAAAGATATGAAGAAGGACTAATACCAATCCTACTCAAACTAGTATGAAAAATAGAATTGGAGACAGTACTTCTAAACTCATTCTAGAAGGCTAGATTTTTTTTTTCCTTTTTTTTTGGGACAGCGTTTCACTCTTGTTGCACAGGCTGGAGTGTAATGGCACAATCTCGGCTCACCACAACCTCTGCCTCCTGGGTTCAAGCCATTCTCCTGACTCAGCCAACTGAGTGGCTGGGATTACAGGCATGTACCACCACACCTGGCTAATTTTGTATTTTTAGTAGAGATGGGGTTTCTCCATGTTGGTCAGGCTGGTCTCGAACTCCTGACCTCAGGAGATCCACCCGCCTCGTCCCCGCAAAGTGCTGGGATTACAGGTGTGAGCCACCACTCCCGGTCAAGGCTAGTATTACCCTGATACTAAAACCAGAGAAGGACACAATAAAAATAGAAAACTACAGCTCAATAGCCCTGATGAACACTGACGCAAAAATCCTAAACAAAATACTAAAACATTGAATTCAACAACACATTAAGAAGATTATGCACCATGACCAAGTGGGATTTATCCCAGGGATGCAGGGTTGGTTTAACATATGCATATCAATCAATGTGATACATCATATAAACAGAATAAAGGAATAAAAACATATGATCATTTCAATTGATGCTGAAAAAGCACTTGATAAACTTAACATCACTTCATGATAAAAATCCTCAAAAAACTGGGCATAGAAGGAGCATACCTCAGCACAATAAAAGCCATATATGACAAACCACAGCTGGTATCATAATGAAAGAGGAGGACCTAAAATCATTTTCTCTAAGCTCTGCAACAGGACAAGGATGCCCACTTTCACCACTGTTATTTGGTGTAGGACTGGAAGTCCTAGCTAAAGCAATCAGAGAAGAGAAAGAAATAAATGGTATCCACATTGAAAAAGAATGCCCACTTTCACCACTGTTATTCAGTGTAGTACTGGAAGTCCTAGATAAAGCAATCAGAGAAGAGAAAGAAATAAATGGTATTCACATTGAAAAAGAAGAAGTCAAATTCTCTTTTTGGTGGAGTTTTTATTTTATTTTTTTTCAAATGTAAGTTGAAATGTTATGATCTTACATTTGAAAAAAAAACATAAAGACTCCACCAAAAAACTGTTAAAATCGATAAATTCAGTAAAGTTGCAGGATAATGAATATACAAACATCAGCAGCATTTCTAGATGCCAACAGCAAACAATCTGAAAAAGAAATCAAGAAAGTAATCTCATTTATAGAAGCTACAAATAAAATAAGATACCTAGGAATAAACTTAGAAGTGAAAGATCTCTATGATGAAAAGTAAAAAATATTGATGCAAGAAATTGAACAGGATACAACAAAATGGATAGAATTTCATGCTCTTTGATTGAAAGAAACAAAATTGTTAAAATGTCTATACTATTCAATGCATTCTACAGATTCAACACAACGTCTATCAAAACATCAATGAAATTCTTCATAAGAATAAGAAAAAATTCAAAATTTTACATGGAACCACAAAAAAAAAAGACCCATAAAAGCCAAACCTATCCCAAACAAAAAGAAAAAAAAAAAAACTAGAGAAATCACAATCCTTGACTTCAAATTATGCTACAGAGTTATGTGTAATCAAAACAGCATAATACTGCATAAAATAGACATATAGACCAATGGAACTGAATGGAGAATCCAGAAGTAAATTCATACATCCACAGTGAACTCGTTTTTGACAAAGATTTCAAGAACATAATTTGGGGAAAGGAAGTTCTCTTTAATAAATGGTGTTAGGAAAACTGGATATTCATATGCAGAACAATGAAACTAGACTCATTTCTCTTGCCACGTACAAAAATCAAATCAAAATGAATTAAAGACTTAACTCTAAGACTATAAGACTACTGAAAACATTGGAGAATCTCTCCAGGACATTGTTCTGGGTAAAGATTTCTTGAGTAATACCCCTCAGCACCACCAAAGCAAAAATGGACAAAGGGGATCACATCAAGTTAAAAAGTTTCTGCACTGTAAAGGAAACTATCAAAAAAAGTGAAGAGACAACCCACAAAATGGGAGAAAGAATTTGGAAACTATCCGTCTGGCAAGGAATTAATAATCAGAATATATAAAAACTTAAATCGATAAGGGAAAAATCTAATAATCTGATTAAATCAGTCAACAATAATTTATTGTACATTTAAAAGTAACTGAAAGAGTATATTTGGAGTGTTTGTAACATAAATAAATAATAATTTTTGAGGGAACGGATACCTCATTTACCCTGGTGTGATTTATGCATTATATGCCTGTATCAAAATATTTCAGGAACCCCATAAATATATACACCTACTATGTACTCATAAAAATTAAGAAACAATTTAAAGTAGAAATAATTCCAGTCTTACACAGTGTCTTTCAGGAAATAAAGCGGAAGAGAAATCTCACTCCAGTTCATTTTATGAAGCCAGTGTAAATCTGACACAAGCATTTTGAAAATGACTTTTCAAGAGAAGACATTTAATGACCAACATCTACTGAAAACATATATAAAAAATCCTTAATTAAATATTAGCAAACAGATAAGTTGAGTTTATTCCACAAATGCAAGAAGGTAAAACATTCAAAAATCAATAATTGTAATTTGCTACTTCATTTGAGAAAGTCAAAATATTATCATTTTAATAAGTACAGAATATGGTGTGAAAATAACTCTACTACTATTCATGATAAAACCTTTCAGTCGACTAGGAATTTCCTCCACCTGATAAAAGACATCTACCACAAATCTAAAGCTAACGTTATACTTAATGGTGAAATGTTAAATGTATTTTCCCTTCTGCCATGATTGTAAGTTTCCTGAGGCCTCTCCAGCCATGCTGAACTGTGAGTCAATTAAACCTCTTTCTTTTATAAATTACCCACTCTCAGGTGTGTCTATTAGCAGCATGAGAATGGAATAATACAATGGGGTTTTGCCATGTTGGCCAGGCAGGTCTCAAGCTCCTGGCCTCAAGAAATCTGCCTACCTTGGCTTCCCAAAGTGCTGGGATTGCAAGTGACAAGTGTGAGCCCCTTACTGTCTTTTCAAAAACACCACACTTACTACTTTTTTTTTTTTTAACTATACCATATAATCGACTTTTAAATATTATGTATCTTACTCATTGTCCGTCTCCCCCTTGCCTCCCACTGTCAGAGTACAATTTCCAGGAGGTCGGGCACTGCTTTGATTGTCTGGTTCAGTGATATATCCCTAAATCCTGCAACAGTGTCTGGAACACAGTAGTCGCTCAATACGTTTTTTTTTTGATTGAATGCATTTGTGAATGAATGGGCTAGACTTGGGCAATAACATATCCCCTCCCTATCTCATGAAGAGGCAAAATCACTATAGCTTTGTTCAAAAGGAAGCTGAAATACCCACTTTTGATTATAGCCTATGATGAAATATGCAAGTTTGATTACAGCCCTACAATAGATTTGCACTGACCCAGATTGGGAAGCCTGAGTTGATTAAACACTTAGGGAAAATAGATCCATTGGAAGACCTGTCCCCATTCTCTGTTATTCTGTACTTGGCCTCCATTTGCCAATTCGATTTGATGAGAGGGAGAAGAATCATATCATTGGAGAGTATCTTGGGACCTGGAGTTGCAGCCTGTGTTTTCACTCAGCAGAATTTTTAATCCACCACTTCTAGGAGCAGTAGAGATCCTGCTGAGCTGCAGGAACCTAACAGGCATAAACAAGCCCTGGTATAAAGATATTCATGAGGTGATTTGCTCCAGCACCCAGCAGCGCACCACATTTCTCCCTAGGCGTGCAAAAGCTTGAAAGCCTGGGCCACCATCGAGAATACCAAAGGGCCAGCCAGCTACTTTGTCCCAGAAAGGCAGCCCGTAGGAACAAAGGAGCCTTTCAAGCTGTCCTGGTTTTGGAAGTAGGGAGATTTTTTTCATGAACAAGGCTGACAACACTGAGAAGGTGACTGTGAAGCTGGGCACCTGTCTTGAACCGTAGCATCAGTGACTTCATGAGGACTTTGGGTAGGGGTGGGCTCTGTGGGTGATTAACACACTGGTCCCCTGGCAGTCAGACACCAGCTCATTAACTCTTAGAGCTACACTTTCCGAAGGCTGCAGTAGCACTCCTTTATATTCATATATTCTTTCCCCTGCTGTTCTGAGAATACCCAAGCTGCAAGCTCTTGCAAAGGATGCTTGTATTAAAGCATTATTTTTGTTCCTACTCCCTGGAGCTTCCTTTATGATTTAGGGTATGGAGCTTCTGTCGTTGCTGCTCAAAAGGAGTTGTGTTCAGAGAAAAGACCCCAGAAGCATCTTCAGTCTGACATGACAATGCTATGAGCTGCTATCTGAAGGCCTGTTCCTATGTGTGCTGCCAAATACGACACGGATAAGGAAAATATAGATTGTTCATGCAGGTGCAGGACTAATTCACAGACCTCTGGGACCTGGACACAGAATTTCCCATGCAGCCTGGGGAGTACACAGCAGCAGAAGCATCAAGAAACTAGACTGGAGGGATGAAACCGAACTCTGCCTGATGGGACTAGGCTGAACTCATTATTTGACAACTGTTTCCTGGGTGCACTTCCACTTCAGGGCTTGGGCTGGATGCTGGGGACAAATGGATATTGCCTCCTAAAGCTGAATGTTTGCATTTTGTGCATTCCCTACCACCCAGTTTGATCTTATTCTCTGTGACTTCCCCCGTTGAGTCATAGGCACTTGCCTCAATCCTGCGGCAGAAAGATCTGATACGTCTTATTATTCATGAGAGGTACAAGATGGTAGCGGTTAGTGTTGTGGATACTGGGATTGGACCTATCCTAGTTCTAGTTTGGCTGTGTGACCTTGGATGTATTGCTTATCTTACTTATACCACAGTTTTCTCATCTGTAAAATGGAAACAGTAACTGTCATCTATGGTTTTTGTACTATTTAATCTTCATAAAAAGTACTTCAGACTTTGTGTCATACAATAACCACTCAATAATGTCAACTAACATGTTCTAACTACACACTTATTGCTACTGGAGCATAGAAACCTACAGCAGATTGATTAAAAGATTCAGCAGAAAGAGGAAAATTATCTTCTGTAATAAAAAATAAAAGAAAAAATATATCTGGCCATACCTCCACATATTCAGGTCTACAGACACAGCCTGGCAGTTAGCATTGACAGGAGGAAATGATGCCCTCCTTCTCTGGAGATACGTTCTCCTTTTATAATGCTGTTGGAGGTAAAGCCTAGAAAACTATTGGAATAAACGACACGATGTCCTCATTCAGGCTGGGTACAGCTGGAAGGATGAGCCCTAGGTTAAAAAGAAAGCTAGAAAAACACTAAGAAAAAGATAATGGAGAAATTGATGTCCCAAATTGTGTAGCCATTTGGAAAGGAGATAAAACAGATCTGTATTTCACACCATATATTTTGAAATTAGCTGGACCCAGCTGTACATCTTATGAGCCAGTTATAAGTGTAGTTACTTTAACAGTAAAAATGGTAAAATATACTAATCACGTAAAGTAGTGAAAATTGCAGACAATAAATACACAACGTTTAACCAAGTATACTGCTGCTGCAGAGCTCATGGTCTGAGATGCACACAAACAATAAACAAACAGTCACATGCATCTTAGGTGTTTGAAGGAAGAGGAGACCTTTTCTGAGGTAGCATATTTACAAAAGAACTAGCCCAAATTAAGAGTCAGTTTGCCTGACTGAGAGCTGAACAAACTCACTGTCAGAATGGGGCATACATGGCACGTACTATTTTGTTCCCTATTCTAGAGGCTGCAACCCTACCTAAAAAGAGAGTTTTGATTTATTCTGCTGTTACATAGATCAACACCTTAATGAATAGTTCAATGTATATAAATCCCATCATGTACTTCTGAATATTTTCTTAGACTCCATTCCTAGAAAACCAATTTTCTGTGCAAGGAGGAATACACTGCTATATTGCTTTCTTGAACTCCTATGCTATTTTACACCCAATGGCAGGTCTTAGGAGTCATGTGTAAAGAAAAATTTATAGTTTTTTTTAATAAGACGATGGAGAACAAAAGCAAATGGAAAGACTTGCCCATATATCACATCCAGCAAGAGTTAATATTGCATTTTCCTATTTTAAAATATTTTAAAATTTATTCTTCACTTAGATGAACATCAAGTAGCAATGATATGTATCAGAATTATTAGTTATGTTTTCAATAACGTTTTCATCATAACAAGTTTACTTGGGCATACAATGGTTGGTAAGTAGAAGTGTGGCTAATCATTGTATTTTATGAACATTTACCTTTGGTCTCTTTGTGCAAAATATTTTAAATTTCTTTCAATGATGAACAAACAAGTGAATAAAGACAAACAAGGAACCCCAGTCAATCAGCATTGATCCCGACTTATACAATTGTGTGGATTTCTGTGGTGTATCATTGCTTTCTCTTGATCTCAGACAGGTTATATGTTTGTTTAGTTTTCCAAGGGAAGCACACAAAGGCTTTTGAATCATTTAAAAACACACTTGGTATACACTGTGATCATGTACTATTAAGAACTATGGGATATTACTGTGCCTTTCCATTAATAATTTTTAATATTTTACAACAATATATTAACAAAATAACATTTTCTCATGAAATTTTGGCAGCATTATCCAATTTATCTCTAAGGTATGTTACTTCATAAAACCTCTGGATTTAATAACCAATTGTAGCAATTAAATATTTTTCTTCTGCTAGTAAATTTAATAATAGGATGTCATTAAATAACTAATAGGGATAATTTGTCATTTTCTATTTTTTGAAACTATATTTGTTTCATTTTTGGGCAAAAACATAAAAGGGGATTCGGCTTCTCTGAAGATGAGCATAGACATATTTATTTTCCCTATTCCCCCTGCTTGGTAGAACTAAACTCTGTGGACATTGTATATAAAACAAACATAAGAAAACTGAAATGTGGAGAAAAGAATGGATACCAGATAGAGACCTCAGGACCCAAGAAACGACACAGTTGCGAGGTCCCTGTTTTTTTTTTTTAATTTATTTTATTTTGTTTTTGTCTCATATGTCCTACATTTAGAGTTGAAAAAGCCGGCAGGCTAGAAACACAAAGCACAGATAGAAAATGCTGCAACAAAAACTCATCCTCAAGCCAAAGGAAAAAACAAGGACAACATGGCAACATGGAAAACTTTTAAACAATAAGTGTTCTACTTTAGCAAACACCAGAAATGCTGTGACCACACATACAGCCATACCAGCAAAAGCTGAGTGGGGAGCCTAGGCTTCTGTATTCACCAGGGTCTAACTGTGAGCCCCAGTCACTGCCTCCAGGATAGTGTCAGAAAAAGCCAAATAGGGAGTGGGGATTTTCAGCCACCAGTATGTAACTAAGTCCTCCTCCTTCATCATGGCGTCAGTGAAGATTTCCGTGCCCAGTCATCAGCAGTGAGGTCCCCCTCCCCAACTATTGGGCTGGTGTCATCGGAAGCCTAGTGGTGAGTCACCAGCTTAATGAGGTCATACCCTTCCCACTCACATAAGCAAAGGCCAGTTGTGAAGCAGTAACAGGGCAGTCCTAGCCTTCGTAGCCATGGAGGCATCAGCAAATGTACACTGAGGAGCCATGACTTCCATCTGAACCCAGTAGTAATGATGAGCCCATCACCCCTTGGGTGTTGATGGGGGCAGAGTGTGGCTCTCAAGTGGCAATAATGATCCCATTGTTCCTTTCCCTACTTCTGGGCCAGAGTGGTCTCAGAGTAAGCCAGCTAAAAGAAAAATTTTAAACAAGACCCAGAGTCTCATTATATATATCCAAAATGTCTAGATTTTGATAACAATTTTACAAAATTCATCACACCAGGACCTAGAATATTTTAAATCTAATGAAACAGGAAAAATAATAAATGTCAACATAGAGATGGCAGGGAAATTAGGATTGTCTGGTGAATATTTTAAAGCCACCATAATAAAATTGTTTCAAAGAGTAATTATGAACATGTCTGGAAGAAACTTAAAATTAGAAAATCTCAACAAGGAAATAGTAGATATAAAAAATGAAAATTTTAAAAGTAAAAATGCAATAATAATAGTAAAAAATATTTCAGTGTGTGGGCTAACCAGCAGAATGGTTCAAGAAAAGAATTGGCAAACTTGAAGATAGAACAAGAGAAATCACCCAATCTAATCAACAAAAGGAATATAAACTAAGAAAAAAATTAAAAAGTAAACAGAAGAGATAATATTTATGTTATCAGAGATGAGGAGAAATGGTGAGGTTGAAAATATATTTGAAGAAATAATGGCTGAAAATTTCCTTAAATTTGACTAAAGATGCAAACTCATAAATGCAAGCAAGATGCTGAGTGAACCTCAAAGAGAAATCCACGCCAAGACAAATTATTATCAAACTCCTGAAAACAGAGATGGATAAAAAGATATTGAATTAGGTGAGAGAGAAATGACGTATTACCTATAGGGAGAAATCAGTGTGAATGGCAGCAGATTTCTTATCAGGAACTATGGAGGCTGGAAGGAAAAGGCACACTATTTTTCAAGTGCTGAAATTAAAGATGGTCAGGACAGAATTCTATATTTGGCAAAGATATTCTTCAGTTAAATAGGAGAAATAAAGACATTTCAGATGAAGAATACTGAGAGGTATTCGCTCTTAGCTAATGGAAGCTTTGTAAATGTAGATGCATTTATAAATGAAATCATTTCAGAACCCTAAAAAAGAAAGGAAAACAACAAAAAGAGTAAAAAATAGGAATAACTACATTTTTTCCCGTCTGCTTTAGTTTCCTAACTTGTTTGATGTTTGTGACAAAGAAGACAACACTACCATGGTTTTACATATGTGGAGAGGATGATTACAGTTTTATAATTCGAAATCAGGAAGTAAAATGTCACCAACTTTGTTCTTTCTCAACATTGTTTCAGCTATTTGAGGTCTTCTGTGTTTCCATAAAAATCGTAGAATTGCTTTTTCTATTTTTGTAAACAATGCCATTGGAATTTTGATAGGGATTGTGTTGAAACTGTACATTATGGGTAGTATGGACATTTTGATCATATTAATTTTTCCAATCCATAACTATGAATATCTCTCCACTTATTTGTGTCTTCTTCAATTGTTTTCATCAATGCTTGATAGTTTTCAGGGTTGAGATTTTTTGCCCCCTTGATTAAATTTATACCTAAATATTTTATTCTTGTTGATACTATTAAAAATGGAATTATTTTCTTGATTTCTTCAGATACAATAAATCCTGACCACTTAACACCGTTGATAGGTTTTTGGAAACTATAACTTTAAGCAAAAATATATACAGTAGGTTCTTAAATAACACTGATTCCTTCAACATCAATTAAGTATAACACTGGTAACCACAAATGTGATTAACCATGAATCATTTTGCTTAAAGTTGCAGTTTCTGGTAACCTATTGACAATATTGAGGATTGATTGTAGTTTATTGTTAGTGCACAAAATTCAACTGACTTTTGTATGTTGATTTTTTTTAATCCTGCAACTTTACTGAATTTGTTTATTAGTTGTAAGTTTTTTGTAGTGCCTTTAGGGTATTTTACATATAAGATTGTATCATCTGTAAACAAATAATTTTGCTTTTTTAATATGACTTTTATTTCTTTTCTTGCCTAATTTATCTGGCTACTACTTTCAGTGCTATGTTGAAAAGAAGTAGCAAGAGTGGCTATTCATGTCTTGTACCAGATCTTAGAGTAAAAAGCTTTCAGTTGTTCCCTATTGATTATAATGTTAGTTGTGGGACTTTCATAAATGGCCCTTATTGTGTGGAGAAAGTTTTCTTCTATGTTTTTATTATCAATGGTGTTGAACTTTGTCAAATAATTTTATTTTGCATGTATTATGGTCATGTGATCCTTATATTTCATTCTTTGAATGCGGTGTATCATACTGATTGATTGGGTATGTCAGGCCAATCTTGAATCCCACGAATAAATCTCACTTGGTCATAGTGTATAATCTATACCATGTGTTGTTGAATTTACTTTGCAAGCATTTTATTAAGAATTTTTTCATTTATGTTCATTAGAGATATTAGCCTGTAGTTTTCTTTTATTCTGGCATCTTTGTGTGGCTTTTGTATCAGGGTGATGTCAGCCTCATAACATGAGTTTGGAAGCATTCCCTCTATTTCTATTTTATGGAGAAGTTTCAGAAAGATTAATATTAATTTTTCTTTGAAAGTTTGGTAGAACTGAGCAGCAAGCCATCAAATCCTGGGCTTTCTTTGTAACAAGGTTTTTTATTACTACTTCAATTTCTCTTTTATTGGTCTGTTCAGGTTTTTTTTTTTTTAATTCTTTTTGACTCAGTCTTAGCAGGTTGTTTGTTTCAAAAAGTGTATCAATTCTTTCTAGGTTGTCCAATTTGCTAACATGTAATTGTTCATCATAGTCCTTTATGCACGTTTTTGTTTCTGAGGCATCTGTTGTAATGTCTCCTCTTTTATTTCTGATTTTATTTGAGTCCTGTCTTTCTTTTCCTTTGGTAGTATTACTAAGGGTTTGTCAATTAAAAAAAAACTTCTTAGTTTTGTTTATTTTTCTATAATCTTTCTATTCTCCAATGCTTAGGGAAATTAATGTAACTGAGGTTATCTTGTTGGTGAGAGAAGAGCTAGCATTCCACATGCTACTTCCAAATATCCCGCTTTTGTCTTACTATCTCCTCTTATTGCCTCTTATTGCAATATGACATTGACAACTATAAGGAGAAACGATGCCAATACATGTAAAACTATAGGACAGTAGAGAGGCAAATAGGGTATTGTGGAAGCAAAAAGATTTTCTTGAATTTATTTAATACTAGGTAGTATCTAGGAACACAGAGTCACACAGGAATTTCACTTTCCTCAAACACACATACTCATAAACACCCACACAGATGCAGCAATGGACAAACGGACAAGTTTTGTGTTTCTTTGGTAATACAATAGAGCTGTTGTGTCCTTTCTTCCTTCTTTCTTTTTCTTCTTCTTTCCTTCTTACATCTTTGCTGTTATTTTTCTTCAAAGAGGCACCAAGACATAAAAACAGTACATTTGGTTAGCATTTTCTAAAGCAGAGATTAGTAGATGAATACCTCATGCCTGCATGCAACTGCTGAAGTTATAATTAGCCACAGGTGGGGTTTATGCTGTTGGCTGTTTAATACTAGAGAAGCTGGGGTGAGCAGCCTACTTCCACATGGCACCACAGCTTCTGGTCCCAGCATGACCATCATCAAACGTCTTTATTTTTGTCCTGGGGCTGGGTGGCCAGGAAACATGTTCTCCTTGTCTTGTCCTTGAGAGCTCATGTGATCACTAGGTGGCTCTGGGATGGCAGGGCGCCAGAATTTTGACATCATTTTTGGCACAAAATTAACAACAAAGGAATTTCTCCAAATCTTAAAGGTTTCAAAACATAAGACTAAAATAATGTCACACCACTTATTGGAAAGTATGCTCTTCCTTTTGTCTCAATTGATTTTTTCATAATTGTGTGAGAATTATGAATTCTTTCCTGTCTAGTTTTGTATGTTCTCCCTCAATTATAACAGTACACAGCAAAATTTTATTATGTGGATTGTTGTTATAAACTATAATTCAAATACATAGTTCTGTCCAGAAGTAGTGCAATCTCTTCTCCAAAAACTCTGAAAGACCTGCTCTGACCATGTTTAACCAAAAAGTAATACAGACTGAAGAGCTGGACAATTGATTGAATTCCAGGGAGGGCAGAGACTATTAAAATCTATTTGAATAGAAATAAAACAGTAATTAAAAAGTTAATTTATTTTGCCCTGAACATTTTTAAAGAGACCAAAAGACTATGGTAGCAGCATTACCTAATAATGAAATCTGTTTTGACATATTTTCTAAGTTTAATCTTTAAAATTAGAGTTCTCTTGACATTTACGGTTGAAGAGTTAGAGTAAGGGCATAGAATGGAGAACACACCAGCATCAATAGCTCCTGGCTTTATCAGTAGTTTTTGATAGAGAACCAAATAAGCCTACCATGGAGGTTGTGCCAATGTAGCCATATAAAGTTGCTTGAAAGGGATTGCAAGGAGATTTGGTGCTCTAGTCCTTACAATATGCTCAGCATGCTAAGTTTCAGCTACCAGATTTAACCCCAAACTTTCCCAATTTGGATTCCTTTTATTCTCACTTGATTATTTGGTGGGCATACACAAGCCAATGTCAATCTAATGAGAGTCCTCTGAACCTTCCACCAGCAAGACCTGTGCTCATTTTCCCCAAAGGTTTCCTCTTGGAAATATTTTTTTCTATTCAACTGCATCTTAGAATAATAAGACTTTTATTATCTTATGTTTTATTCATCAACAACTATATAACTGTCAATCAAGGCTTCTGATCAACACAAGATTCTCAATGCTACCAATATAAGGTTGTACAGCAATAAGGTATAAACTGGAGCTTTTTTTGTGTGGTTTGATTTATTGGGGTTTAAATGCCGGTCACTAGCTTTGTGCTGTTGGCAATTTATTTAAATGCTCCTCTCTCTCTCTCACTTGTAAGATGTAAATACTGATATGTTGACCTTGCAAGATCGTTACAAGGGTTACAGAGGAAACCACTGTAGTCTGTAGACTCTTTGAAATGGAATAAACAGTTATGGGAAGAGGGAAAACCCAAGAATGGACTGTCAGTGAGTAGAACAGCTCATCGACACCATGCTCTCCTAGTTGTCCTGAAGTTGATATTCCACATGGTTTTTGGTAATAAACTGCCTCAGGGATGTGGGGGCTGCACCTGGGATGCCACATGCCAAATGATCACAACACCAAGACGAAAGCACAGGGAATTTACTTCCTCCTAGGGTGTTAGATGCTGTGCAGGGCCATCTAGTGACCCTTACACCCCATATGTTCATTTCGGAATTAGAGAGGCTGAGGATCACATACAGATAGGTGATGATGACATAACCTGAACGTAGTCCTGGACTTGAAGATAAAAGTTCTTGTTGCAAACGTATACCATTATTAATACAAAGAAATATGTGATGAAGCCTATTGCAGCAAATCTATTTGCGACATTAAATTAGGAAAATCACAGCCACTATTTATTACACCTCTGTTATGTTCCAGGTCTTCTTCTAAGTGCTTTATGTACATTATCTAATTAGATACATTAGGCTCACAAAAATTTTACTTTTCAAGTGGGAAATGGAGGCTCATTAAGATTAAGTGATTATTTTCCCAAATATGCATAGTAAGAAGAGGCCAAGTTGGGAATTAACACTAGGTGATTTGATAAATTGCTTCCAACCTTCCAGAAGACTATGTAATAAATGACATGGGGTTTAGGAAGTAGTTCCTCCCTTATATTTTCATGGCACACCAATTACAGATACATTTTCACATCTATGATCTATTACATCCTTTTCACTGTGAAGCCACTAAGACCCCCAAAATTAAATTGTGCAGTTAAATGGCTCTTAAGAAAAGGAAAAAGGGAGGGACTTGAACCCAAGCTCTCTGAGGCCAGATGATATGCGATTTTATCTATATGACATGGCTGCCAAAGGAAACAGTTATCCCTTCAGGCTTGGGTGGGGACTGGAAGTGTTTATAGAGTTGGTAAGAAAAAGTTTCACAGGCCAGGTGTAGTGGCTCGTGTCTGTAGTTCCAGCTCCTCAGGAAGTTGAGGCAGGAGGATCTCTTGAGCCCAGGAGGTCAAGGCTGCAGTGAGCTACGATCACACCACTGTACTCTAGCCTGGGCAATGGAGTGACACCCCAACTCTAAAAAAATAAGAAGGAAAAAGTTTCACAGAGAGGACGGGTTGGAATTGTCCCAGAAGGTACACATGGGATTTTATTAGCAAAGAAATAGCAAAGGAAGATGTATAAGGAAGAGGCTTCCAATAGAACACTTCGTTTGAACCAAACATTATATATGGAAAGAACCCTTTTGTATTTATGTTGTGAAAATGCCCACACCTGATATTTTTGTAATGAGATTCTTTCAATATTTAAGCAATACGGTGTTTTGGATAGTTTTCAAAATGGCTGTGATTTGCATTTTCCCATGCCAATTATGAAGAGAAGTGTCTAACACAATGAGTATGCCTCAGGTAAGAGTTTCCCCATGCTCTCTCTGACATGTACAGCCAGGCTGCCTAAGCGTTTCCATGGAAGAACCTCCAGGCAGGGTAAGTGAATGTTTAGTCCTGACCAGCATGAGTGTCAGCATAGGATTCTGTGGAACTACAGAGTGCATGAGAGTTGTCAGATTCAAAATTCTTGAGTACTTATATTTTATCATGTTCAATTACGAATTTGTATATCCTTTTATAATATTCTCACATTTTCTTTAATATAAAAATATATTTCTAATTATCATAATTTAAATTAGTCACTGTGTCCCCCTGCCCACACTGTGGGAATCTACAGAGGGAGTGGCCCTTCACCCCAGTTTGAGAAGCCCTGTTGTGTCCACTGTTACGGTCCTATCCTCATTATCTGACACGTCCACCCCAGAGCACGACCCTGTGGGAGTGTGACTTATCACTCTTTGGATAGAACATAAAATTTGTGTGTTTTTTTGGTAGATGAGAAATTTTAGCAGAAAAAAATGAAAAAGCCAAATGGCATTGTAACAATATAGTTCCGACGTGTGTTTTAATGAACAGTAGAAACAATCTAACATGCACCTGCCAAGATCTTTCCATTGGTAACTGTTACAGAATTTCTGAGAATCAAGTTGATTTCTAGTCTATGACACCAAGTCTCTTCAAAAGCTCTACCTCTTTCCAGATGGTGGCTGAGACACATTTTTAAGGCTTGAAGCTAATCCCAATTTTCTACGGCCTTCATTTCAAAAGGCTTCCTTTAAAGGAAGCTACCCACAGTTCTCTTTGTTGGCCTGGAGGCTGCCTGGCTTCCATGAGCATGAGGGGAGGACACTGAGCATGCCTAGAGAATCCCCTGAGACTCCCAGGTGGGGCCACACTCTCTAGATGATGGAAAACCTGTGTGAAGGATGCTTAGCCAACACGGAGCCCTCTGTTTCTGCCCTCCAACACCCCCACCGCAGGCTGAAATCCCAGCCGTGTGTCCCAAGAAACTAGTATGTCTCAAGAAGAGCACTTGACCAGTGATTTTTGTTTTCAACTCTCATGTCTATCAGGTAATATGCTCTCTGAGGAACACTGAAGGTCATATTTATTAATTGTGTCAGTGAATTTTGTTCAACAACCTTGAGGTACAGCAAATGAACAGAAGGTAATTGCCCTCTGCAAAAAATGAAGGCATGGTGTTTAGAAAACATACATTAGGAGAGCAACAATAACAATAAAACTGACACCAGGTGAGCTAGGTGGGTGTAGAGTGTGTTGGTGGAGCATCTAGAACTTTGGACGTAGCCCTTCAGAGAAAGAACGGGAGCTGCCCCTCTACACCTAATGCCAGGCAGCAGCAGGGACCGGCACATGGCCGGCTCACTCGCCTTGCTTTGTAGTGAGTTTCATCTGATCCTTGTCCTTATCCAAAGTGAAGTTTGGGAGATAAGTTCTTTGTCTTTGTTGTCAATGTTCTTCTGCAAGGTTTGATTTAGGAAAGAAGTCTAGGGTAAACACGCAGACCAAGATAACACGGAAGGAATTAAATGCACCTGCCCGAACAGAAACCATCAGTTTGGGCAAAAGCCATAAATTCCGTTAGAGAGAACATGCCCTTTGTAAATAGAGGCATGGAGCTGCCCAGAGCTGGGGTGTTCGAGCAGGTTGACCACTTTAACAAAGAATGTCAACTTTTCTTTGGTTTAAGACAATGGGGTCATTTCCCACATCACCTCTCAATTTGTCGATTTAGGTTTTCAGAAGAATTGTACCTTACACAGTCAGAAATACTATTCCCAGCTCTTCTTATCTTGTGGCTTTGCCTCTTCCAAGCTCTGACATGGTTATATTATATTCATTAACATTGGATCACCAGCACTGACAAGTGTGGCTGTAGCTAACTGTGACAGAGACTGGGAAATGGGACTTTTCCAGGAGACCAGCAGGACTAGTAGATGCAAGCTGATGAACACGTGGACCTGTGTGAACACGTGGACCTGCCTGTCTCTGCCACATCCCTTTCCTGAGAACCATGGGTGCTCTGGTATCCCAGTAGGTTGCCAGACAAGTAAGACACCACAACTGAGAAGCACAAGGAAGTTAAAGTTGCATGGGCAATGAGAGGCAGCAGATGGAAAGAAGTAACTCAGACTCCATTCCCTTCCTCCTGCATACCGGCCTGAGACACAGTAGCTCTGTACGAGTGCTCCAAGATCAAATGTTTTCTGCAAAGCTCTGGTCAGCACCAAATAGAAATTTATTTTTTGATTATGAGACTTTCCAATCTGGACCGTGAAACTCTCCTCCATCTTGTCATTTGGGGGTATCTCACACTGTTCCTCCACACTGTTCCATGCTGAGTCTGTTTTGTTCCAGTGCAGATTAGAAAAATCCAGGGGTCCAGGTAGATTTGGTGGGAGATATTAAGGGGTCCAACTTGCAAGAGCAAATGCCCCTTTTAACTACAGTTTATTGGCCAGACTTAGTACATAGTCACAGACTACTGCAAAGAAGAGTGAAGGACAGGAAATCTACCCGTGCACACAGGAGGCTACCAGTACTGGAGACTGTTAGATGCAGAGTCATCTCTTCTACTCATACCCAGCTCAGCATTGTCACACTTCCCTGTGGAACTCTATGGTCTTTATTTTGCTGAATATTATCAGGGATACTTTATTATTAAAATAATTTTGAATAAATGTCAGAGTACACTGTGGAGCTACATTTCCAATGATCTACTTGCATCAGACGTTTTATTGTCAACAACATGACTACAGTTTATATAATATTTCAATACTTAACAAGATGGCAAAAAAGAATTATTATAATTTTTGAGGCCACAATGAAGCAGTTATACATACATACAGAATTCACAAGAAAGGTATTTTGCTAAAACTGGATACATACACACTTCAAGAATTAATTGAGTCATGAAATCTGCCTTGGTAAGTTAGACAACTGCAATGTAGCTTAATTGTACTGGCAACAATGGTCAGCGCTTACTGAGCCTATGCTACATGGTAGGCATGTGTAAAACACTCATTTATTACTCAAGACAATGCTGGATTCTATTGTTATTTCAACTTTATAGATGAAATTGAATTTGAGATAGGTTAAATTTCTGGCCTAAATTCTGACTGCCAGCTTGTACTACTCAAAACTGCTCCACATTCTCCCATGTTGTTAAAGAAAGACACTAGACATTTCTATTATTTGGGCTAATTCAGTGTAATGTCAGCCTAGACAAACATAAAGATGTGCACATGTTTTTCTCAGACTTGATGATATTGCAAGTAAAGGAGATTCTTAATGAATTCATTTTCTAATATAGCCTACAACCTGGAAAAGTTCCTGTAAGCATGTGAATTCAAATTCATGCTGTTAAATTCTTTCTGGTTCTTTGTTAAATTCTTTTTCTATTCATTGTTTAGTAAGGCTTTAAAACATAGGAGTTGCACGTCATCTTGTAAATGCTCTGTCCCTCCCTCACTCAGGTCATACATTGATTGCAATCTCTTACAATATTTCCTCCTCAAACTGCTGTGCTTCACCTCAGTTCTAGGACAGTGGGAAAATACTTTCCTTAGTCTTAGTCTTGGTCTTGGTCTTAGCTTCTGCAAAATCTAGAAAATTTTGCTATAGAGTTTTTGAAATGCCCCTTAGATGTGGAAATCTGTAAAGTGCAGGGCTTAGCAGATACACACACACACACACACACACACACACACACACACATACACACACATCACATATATAATATATACATTAGATAGATAGATAGATAGATAGATAGATAGATAGATAGATATAGATAATACATGGGTGGATAGATAGACAAATAGATGGATGGACAGATAGGTAGATAGATGATAGATGGATAGATAGATGGATGAATGGATGGATAGATGAATAGATGGATGGATGGAGAGATAGATAAATGGATGGATGATGGATGGATAGATAATAGATGGTATAAATTATATATAGATGAATAGAGAGATGGCTGGATGGATAGATGACAGATAGATGGATAGATGGATGGATGAATACATACATAGATAATAGATAGATGATACACAGATAATAAATAGATGATGGATAGATTAGATAGATAGAGTGATAGATATAGATGATACATGGATGGATAGATAGACAAATACGTGGAAGGATAGACAGGTAGATAGATGATAGATGGATAGATGGATAGATGAATGGATGGATAGATGAACAGATGGGTGGATGGATAGATATATAAATGGATAGATGATGAATGGATAGATAATGGATGACATAAATGATATATAGATGAAAAGAGAGATGAATAGATGGATAGACGACAGATAGATGGGTAGATGGATGGATGGATAGATAGATAATAGATAGATGATAGATACATAGATATTGATAGGTGCCATAGAAAGTAATGGCAAAAACTTCAATTACTTCTGCACCAACATGACAGCTAGATAGATGATAGATCAATCCTGGTCATAGCCTCTCTCCACTTACTGCTTTGGAAATGCTTACTTCTTAGAGTTATAGTGAGGGTGAAAACAAGCAATTGCTGTGTGTGGCCTAAGGAAGGTGCTTTCCAAATGTGATTTATTTATTTCCCTCTCTCTGACTTCTCTTGCCTTCTTATAGAGCTTTGTACATCTCAGTTCATCCACATGTTTTGGTGTACAAAGCTCTTCTTGGTAGCAAAGAGTTATACTGAATCCAATTATTCCATTGTCCTGGAACAAACACCTTTCCCTTCAGATAGTCATTTGAGTATACATCTTCTTTAAAATGAATTATATTTTCATTTTGGGAAAAAAAACATAGTTAAAAGTCATGCTAGGACATGGATGAAATTGGAAATCATCATTCTCAGTAACCTATCGCAAGAACAAAAAACCAAACACCGCATATTCTCACTCATAGGTGGGAATTGAACAATGAGATCACATGGACACAGGAAGGGGAATATCACACTCTGGGGACTGTTGTGGGGTGGGGGGAGGGGGGAGGGATAGTATCGGGAGATATACCTAATCTTAGATGACGAGTTAGTGGGTGCAGCGCACCAGCATGGCTCATGTATACATATGTAACTAACCTGCACAATGTGCACATGTACCCTAAAACTTTAAGTATAATAAAAAATAATAACAAATAAAAATACCTCAAGATACTTTGAGGTGATGAAATAGCAGATTAGTAAATCCATGCTCTAGTTCTTACAGTTAAGAATGAACGGCCTCTTAATATACTGATGGGGCAGGAAAATACATCCTCTCCTTCCCATGCCTCCAGCTCCCTCACCCCCATGTCCCTCGCCTTCTCTCATGCATGCCTTTCTTCCCATGGGGCAAAAACATAAGACAAGACACTGTTCCTCCTGATATTCACTAGAGGAATGTGGGAATGGCAACGTGACCAATGCCCCAGGAATTTTGAGCATACCTGTGCCAGGGTGCTCCCACCCCACCCCATTTTTTTAGGGAAAGCCAAAAAGGCATCTTTACAAAAGAACTGGTGAGACCTTGATGTGCCTCCTTTCAAATTCTGCAGTAAAATTAAGTCAAGATACCTCCTCAGGCCATTGGTGTCCTTGGTGGGGAGAGGAAGAGTAATATACATGCACTTCTCTTATAGCTATGGTAATTACTTGAAAGCAGAATGGACACTGAGTCTGAAATTCCAAGACGCTAAACAGGCTTCCTCATCAGAACTGATTAACCTGCTGTCAACCCCCTGATAAGGAGTGGTTCTTCACCTTGTCCTACAGTTAATGGCCTTTGAATTTTCCATAATTAGAAAGATACATTTATTTATTTAGTGAATAAGTTGCAGTGGGCCTGATATTTTAACATAGGAGCCCAGACATTTTTGCTGCTAGGCAATCCCTTTATGTTAAATAATAATTCAAAGTTTCTCTTTCTTTTTTGTTATCAAACATATCTATTAAGTCATAATTCCTGAATAGGATATGTTCACAAACCACATCAAATAGATATTTTCTTAGTAAAGAATGTGAAATAAAGCAAACCAACAACATGCTGTTTATTTATTTGCTTCATGTAAGCATTTTTGAGTCATATTCAAATGGCTTTTGGAAATAGTTGAAATAGGTCTCTTGTTTTTGCAACTGTTCTACATTGAGATTCAGGTTGCCTACTTTCAAGAAGAATTGAGATCCTCCTAGAGAAAGGCCACCTTCAAGATTTAAGGAAGAAAGAAGGCCTGGGATGGGCGTTTATTGCTCTACCTTGCCGTATTGCTCTACCTTGCCGCCTGTACCTAAAGCTTTCCCATGTTTGTAAATTTGCCACCTCATGCATCTTGATGAAAAGCAGAGCTGATCCTGCTAATAATGACACAGAAAATGCCAGGCCAGGCCTCCTTCCCCAGGACCCCTTGAGACAGGGGCATTGGCCTGGATTGAGGTTCTGGGCATGAGATGCACCCTCAAAGGACAGTTGTATATGGGTGTGGGACCCAAGATGCTGGGACCATGGATAGTTCTCTTTTGGGCAGTTTTAGCAAAATTGCATTCTAGATGCAACTGTGGAGCTGTAAAGAGTACACTTGCAGCTTGCTGGTGGGGCTTCTTCTGTTTTCTCAGCTGTCTAGTTTCCGCATTGGAATTTTGACATGATGGCGATTGTGTAAATATTCAACAGAGTAAGAACCAGGCTTACCCGGAGCCTAATTCTCTGGCTCACCCAATGCCTTCTAATAAATCCCTCTGCTTAAATCATCCAGAGTAGGCTTCTACTGTTTGCAGCGAAGATCTGTGACTAAGTACATAACCCAAGTTAGGACAATGGGACTGGCCGAAGAAGACAAATATTCTAAACTTCTAACTTGGTCTCCAGCCACATATCCTTCTGGCTTAGCCATTTCGACTGGTGACTAAGTCCAAAAGAAAGGTTTTTCAGTTAAATCCTGAGTAAATGTTAGGTTTCTCCCTGTGAAATCTGGTGGTTTGATGTTGTTAAATTCTTCTGTATCTTTGTTAATTTTCAGTCTAGTTGTTCCATCAGTTGCTTAGAGAGGAGTGTTAAAGATTGCAATGATTATTGCGGATTTATTTTTTCTCCTTTTAGCTCTATCATTTTTTGGTTCATATGTTTTGCAGCTTTGTTGTTTCATGCATAGACATTTGGGATCACTGTCTTTTCGGTAGATTGATCCTTTTATCATTACATAACATACCTTTCTGTCTCTGGTAATTTTCCTTGCTTTGAAGTCTACTGCATCTGATATTAATGTAGCCACATCTGCATTTTTTGATTAATGGTTGCATGATTTTTTTTCTATCTTATTAACTTTTACCTGCCTATATCATTATATCTGAAGGGAGTTTAGTATAAACGTCATGCATTAGGATCATTTTAAAATCCTGTTTGTCAATCTCTTTATTTTTACTGGTGCATTTAGACCATTTACATTAAATGGAATTAGTGATATGTTATGGCTGAAGACTACCATTGTTTTATTTTATATACAGACACATGCATGTATACACACACACACATATACACACAAACACACACTTGCATATGCACATATGTACATGCTGTGTAAGAACACAGTACAACACAGTGTGTGGAAAGAACTCTGGCTTGAAGCTTTCTGGCTTTCACACTTAATTATTTCCATGATTTTGGCAAATTTACTTACAGTTAACTTTGGCAAATTTACTATATATTTGATGAATGATTATTAACATTTCTACAACAATTAAGAGTAGACTCATATAAATTACTCAATACTCAAACAGTCCTATAAGACAAGAAAGGATAGTTGGTAAAAGTGCAGCTTCTCTGGTGGGATTCCAAGGCCACTGAATTTGAACGCCTGAGGGTAGAACTCAGATATTTGTGTCTGTCACAGTCATCCCAGATGATGACTTGCTCAGTTAAGTTGTAGGTCGGACACAGCTTCTCCTGAGTAGTTTAGGGGATATCTTCATGGTTTTCACAGCAGCCCTTAGGTAGCCACAGCTTTCTTTGTCTGTCTGTGTGGTCTAGAAATGTGTCACTCTTCTCCAGACTGGGCATATTTGAACCCCTGGATCCAGCTATAATTGAAATCTATGTATCCTTAGATTTTCTATAAGTATACAGATTACCCTATAATTCTATGAATTATCAAATTAACATTTTTGCTTAATTGAGTTAGGTGTCTAAGGCAGCTTAAAGAATCTGGCTATTACAAGACAAAATGTGCTCCAGTATTGGGAGGTCTGTCCTGTCCTATGTCTACCCACAAATCCATAAAACATAAAAAGTTATTTCTGTCCTCATTTACAGAACTTTTCTCCTATTCTTCATGGTTCTGCTGCCTTGACCTACACATACAAGTGCAATCCATCTCCTATGTGACAGCCCATTAGGTATCTGAACACCTTGTCATGCCTTCTCTAAGTTTTCTTTTTTCCAGGCTAAAAATTCAAAGGAGTTCAGAAAAAAATATTAATATGTGTTTATGTGTTTAATGTTGAAATCTACCTCTGAATGTATCCTACATGTTGAATTACCAATAAGAGAAACTGATTTATTCTTATTAATCTCTTTCAGGTTACTTAGATATTTCAGTCCTCCTTTTTGGCTTCTCCTGCCTGAGACAAAAATATATATAACTTATGCTTGGCATAGTGGCTCACACCTGTAATCCTAGCACTTTGAGAGGCCAAGGCAGGCAGATCGCTTGAGCCCAGGGCTCTAGACTAGCCTGGGAAACACAGGGAGACTCCGTCTCTATAAAAAATACAAAAATTAGTCTGGTGTGTTGGTGCATGCCTGTAGTCCCAGATACTCAGGAGGCTGAGGTGGGAGAATAGCTTGAGCCTGGGAGATGGAAGCTGCAGTGAGCCGTGATTGCACCACTGCACTCCAGCATGGGTGGCAGAGTGAGACCTTGCCTAAAAAAAATGTATATAACTTAGGAAAGTTACATAGTGAGAAATCATATATCCGTCACAGAAATCTGGAGAGTGGCAAAGTTTTGGCTCTACAAAAAGTCATTGGTCCTTTTTGGCACGTATGCTCATTAAGAAACAGAGGTTTCCAGTTCCATCAAAATAAAAATGCATTTTATTCTTTGTTTCCTCAAGGAGAACACACATGTTCCATTTGATTTCGAGATTTCTACTGAAGATGGTTAGTGGACTGCTAGGGCTACATAATAATGAAATTCTCCATTTAAATCTGTCAGTTACCTGCATTGGGTTATCAGATGGCTTTACCAACTTGGGGAAATATGTCATTTATGATGTACAGTGCCTTGGTCAGAGTCTTTTGCAGTTAACGTGTATTTTTATAGAGTACCTCTGCCTTCTTATTCAGACATAAAACTACTAACAAGGAAAATGATCACAACAATGCAAGAAAAATAAGTCTTACAATGACAAGGACTCACCAAGTAGTGGGAAACATGCCAAGCACATTGGATCCATCATTTGATTTAGAAAATTTAGTAACCCTGTGAGTAGCTGTTATTATCCTCAATACACAGATGAGGGCACAGAGGATTCCAGAGCTAGAGTCAAGTGGCAAAAACAGTCCTTATGCAGGCAGGTGGAAGAGCCAGGGTTCAAATCTAAGTGTTTCTCACACCCATACTCTCACATCCTACTCTGCATTTCTCCAGTTGTGGGGTTATTGAACAGCTTTTCAATTTTTTCATTCTGACTTCAGCATATAGGGTGGAAAATCTGCCCCCCTCCTCCATTTTTTATCCTACTTCTATTCTCTTTATATCTGATTTAAAAATTAGCAGTAATTTGGGATCACTGTCTCCTGTTTTCACCTCACATCCAAGCTCAACTCACTTTCATCTGTCAGTCTAAAGCATCTGTGTCAATTGAGGTCATCAACAACTCCCCAAAGGTCTCAATTCAAGCTCTTTTCCTGGGCCTCGTTTTCCATCTCTTGGCCTGACCTTTTAAAAAAATGAAGGTCTTCAAGGGCTCGTTGGTGTATTATGAAGTTTCCTGTGGCCGCTATAACATATTTCCTCAAACTTTGTGGCTAAAAACAAGATAAATTTATATCTCAGGGTTCTGGAGATGAGAAGTCCAAACTCAAGGTGCTAGTGGGGCTGCGTTCCCTCTGGCGGTTCTGTGGAAGAATCTGTTTCCTGCCTCTTCAAACTTCTGCAGGGGTCGGCATTCCTCGGCTCGTGGTGGCATCTCGCTTGGCTGTCTCTGTGCATCTGTCTCAACACTTCCTCTGCCCGTCTCTTATAGGACAGGTGAAATGACACTTAGGGCCCACCTTGATAATCCAGGATGAATGAAGTCCTCCTTTCAAGATCCGAAATCAAATCATATCATTTGCCTACAAGGTAACGTTCACAGGTTCTGGGGACTAGGACATGAATGCAATTGGGGGTGGATGGGTGTTGTTCCATGAGGCCCCTTACACCCGGTTTCTGTCCTTAGTCATATCCTCCTATCTCCCTACTCTTTGTAATTATTCTAGTTATTCCACCCATATCCAAAGCCTCAACTATTCCCTACGTCTTGAACATTCTTAAATTTATACTTTAGCAGAACTCTTCTGAGCTTACAACAATTCTTTTGCATATACACACATAGTTAATTATAGGTTTACAATGAAAAGAAGTCTCTGATCTTTTTTCTCAGCAGAATCATAGTTCTACTCTTATTTTCCAACTTCCTATTATAGAACTTAGGAGTTTCGTATCCTCACCCCCATTTCCCCTTTCCTTAGTCTAATATGCCACATTTTAAAAAAATCAATAATGTTTGTGCTACTTTACTATTTAAATATTATTCACAGGTTGGATATTAAGTGTATTAAAATATTATTTTCTTTCTTGTATAATGTATTTTTTGTTACTGGAAGCCAGTAATCATCTTGTTTATTTAGTTAGATTTTGTCTAGGTGTTTTTACTGTTGTTGTTGTCAGCTATTATTTAATTTAACCACAAATTCAGTGCCAGAACTATAAATCTTCTCTTACTATACTCAAATGCATCAAATGTGCCATTGACCTTGTGTTAGCCTTAAGACAACTTCCCATAGGTCTGCTGAACTGCTGCGGTCTATGGATTTCTCTCCACTGTTGACTACAGTTTGCATCTTTGTTCCCCTAAAACTCATGTTGAAATTTGATTCCCAATGTTTGGGGTAGAGTTTAATGGGAGGTGTTTGGGTCATGGGGCAGATTCCTTACAGTGCTGTCTTCGCTATAGTGAGTGGGTTCTCACTGTGTTGCTTCCCATAAAGCTGATTGTTCAAAAGAGCCTGCTCCTCCCCTCTGCTCTCTTGCTCCTCCCCTCTGCTCTCTTGCTCCTCTTTAGCCAAGTAGTGTCTGGATATGCCAGCTCCCCTTCACTTTCTGCCATGAGTGGAAGCAGCCTGAGGCCAGACCTCATCAGATGCAGATATCCAGTCTTCTAGCCTGCAGAACCCCAAGTCAAATAAATCTCCTTTCTTGATAAATTACCCAGTCTGTTATTCCTTTATGGCAACATTAAATGGAATAGAGCACTAGCATCTTAGGGTTCTATCTTCTCTTCTAGGCTATATCTATATGTTGTGTTATATTATGTAATTTATCTCATGTGTCTCTTGGGTTTATTTTCTCATTTTGGTGGAGTATATCTTCTTTCAGCATGAAACATACAATTCTTGAAAGGCTATGAATCTGAAAAACCTCTCAATTTTCTTGTTTCATTAATATTTTGAATGGGATAAAAATGTAGATTGAAAATCATTATTTCTCATGCTTTTTGAAAGCAATACCTAACTTTTAGTGGTGGTGTTGTGGAAACCTGAAGCTATTCTCATCCAAAATCCTCTGTCTTCTGTTTTCCTTTACTATCAGGGAGAATTTAAGGTCTGTTCCATTTTCCCTTGGGGTTCTGAAATTTCATGGTGATGTCCCTTCCTTGGCTGTGTGATCCTTTCTTTCAGCTGTGCTGAAAAATAAGGGGGAGCTGTCAATCTGAAAATTTTTGCTCTTCATTTTTGTAAAATTTTATTTTCATTTTTCTTTTATTTATTCCCTTTCATATTTCTATAATCTTCTTCTCGAACTCATTCTTTGAATACCCTGAACTAATGTTTTAGTTTTATTATATTATTTTTTTCTATTGCTTATATGATATGCTTTCTAGGAGATGTTATCAATTTTGTCATCCATTCTTTCTATTTATTTTTTTATTTCACCATTTAATTTTTAATGTCTGAGAGGTATTTTCTATTATCTATAGGGGAAAAAGTTCTCAGCTCTTTTTACATAGATGCAGTAACTACTTTTATATTTCTAAGTGTGTGTACACACATAACGTACACATACACACCCGCACTCAGAGCAGCTGCCATCAGTGGATGGCTGAGACAGGACCATAAGGTCTGGAGCCCTTGTCTTATCATAGGACAAATTCTGCAGGACCATCTTAACTCCAGTACTCCCTGTAGGACATTTTTGGAAGGACACCATCTCCCTAGAGCCACTCCTACTTTCTTCACTCCCTCCTCTGCTGGCGTGGATCCCAAGTGCACCCACGGTAAGCTTCTTGCACGCACAATCTGTCTCAGAGTTGGCTTCCCTGGGAAGGGACCTGCGCACTGAAGAGCAGCAACTCCCTGCAGCTGCAAACTCTGAGACCAGGTGTGATGTTTCCCATTTTCTCACCACAGCTGGCTCACACATTCTAATGTCAAATGACCCCCTTCCTTCTGTCAGATGACTTCCTGCTGCTCATTTCTCATAGCCAAATCTTCATCTCCATGGATTGTTGCAATACATTGCTTCCCTGCCTTAGTTTCTTCCTTCTATGATTTATCTCCCTTCTATGGGTAGTCACTTTGGCGTTAGGTAAACATGTATGATGCCATTAGGTAAACAGGTATGATGCTGCGATTTATCTGCTCAGGTGCCCTGGGGCTTTGCACTACTTTGATATAATCTCAGCAATTTAAATAATATCAAGAACCATCACAATCTAGTTTATGCCCTTTTGCCTTTCCAATGTCATCTGGGGACATATCCTCATCTGTTTTACATTTTCTACATATTTAATATTTCTTAAAATATTGTAAATCTATCATTGCCACTTTCAGTTATTTGGCTTCACTCAGATGCCATTCTCTTTCCCCTTCTCTCTACTGGAAAAATTCATGCTCTTCCTTCAACATTCTGCTTCAACACGATCTTTACCCTGGAGTGTTCCCTCCCTTCCTTTGATCCAGTGAGTGGTCCCATCCTTGGTGTATCTGTGGCCTTTTCTAGGTACATACCGCTCTCAGAGGGATTTTCTAGGTACACATCAGTCTTATATGCCAGTCTGAATTGCTAGTTAGTTTTATTTATCTGGCTTCTCTCCTTGACTAAGATATTTGCAATGGCTGACACTATTTTTTCTTTAAATAAGCCCCTCACTAACAAGATGCTTGGTACAGATTTGGTGACCAATGAATGTTGAAATGATAAAGAAATAAGTGAATCAGTGTTGTGATACTAAGTTCATTTGTTGTTAACTTGAATACATTTATAAAGCATTTAATAAAATAGTAATTAAGATACAGCTTTTATAATTATTTACACATTTAATAAAAAAAACTTTTAGAGATTTCAGGCTCCGATTAATATAACTGAATATGAAAGTGAGGAAAGGCCCTGCTTCTAAGAACAGGCATGTGTTTAATTATTATCATGCTGGATGAATACGAGCAGTTAAACTGCATCGTCTATCTACTCCCTCTTTTCTCTTATTTTCTTTTTCTCTTATTCTAGGATAAACCTTTGGTGTTTGTCCTGCTCATGTACCTCTTCAGCTAGACTGAATCTAGTCATTTTCATATTATCTCTTATTTCCATGACTGAAATCAAAATTCCTAGAGAAATGTTCTCTTAAGTGGGGCACTTTGACCCATCGTCATGTGGAGGAAAATACTAAAACTTTCATTTTTATGCATTCACTTATTAATTTTTTCATTTCATAAAAATATATACTATTGAATAGTTGAAGGCTTCAAAGAAATATGTGTAGCATATATCTATAATTTATACAGCACATTATTAAGATAAATACTCCTGACCTTACCAACCCAGCTAAGACCTAGAAGACAGCCAGTAGCACCAAGTGAGCCTTTACATCTATCTCCTCCCCCGCTTTCTCCTGCAAAACTTGACTAGCCTCAATTTTGTGTTAATTATTCCTTTGTCTTATAAAAATAGTTGTGCCACATATTCATATTCATTTATATTTTATTAAACAATATCTTGCTCCTTTTTACTTGTTTTTGAACATTAAATAATGTTATAATGCTATATGGACTATTCAATTATTTGTTTTTTTCCACCCAATATGAGGATTCTAAGATTCAATATTTTTGTTACATATGGCTATAATTCATTATTTTCACCTTCGTATAATAAATTTTGTGAATATATTATAATTTATTTATTACTTCTCTTTTTATTAGATATGTAGTTGATGTTCGTTTTTTAATTAGAAGCATTGCTTCTATGAACATAAGAATCAACACATCTTTTAAGAACTGTAATATCTTTCAATTCAATAAATCTTTGAATTTTAGTACATTCTTACATTTTCTCCTCAAGTGTACTATGTGGATTTTGTTAGAATTACAAAGGTTTCATGTATATTGCTATTACAAATGCCATTTTTAATTTTTAAATTTATTTTTCTGTTTGTTTGTTATAAGTAGAAATTCAATCGATTGTGTAAATTGTGTTTAATATTGTCCACTGATGCTCATCTTCATCCCAAACATTCTAGGTTATTGCAGGGACTGGAAAGCTAGATGCCCTGCCTCCTAGGGTGCCTTGCCAGCTCACTGGCTTAGACTGTGTGCCTGAGTGAGTCATCTGAGTCTAAGGGAAGCAACGCATCACTTGCTTCCACGGAAGCCACAGGCAGTGCAGTCTTCTTCTGTCAGCAGATGTGAGCATCTGGGTATCTACCAGAAATTCACTGGCTTTGGTGCTTCATGTGGCCAAGATTATCAGCATCATTTTCCGGGTTCCATAAATTACAGTGAATTCTCTGTTCTGTCTTCCCTGGCCCTTCAAAGCCTTGAGAAGCCTCTGTTGTTGGCTACACTGTGTATCCAAAAAAGATATATTGAAGTCCTAATCCCTGATACCTGTGAATGAACCCTTCTTTGGAGATAGGGTCTTTTCTGATGTACTTAGTTATGAATAGGTCATGTTGAAGCATGGGAGTGCACAGATCCACTATGACTGCTGTCCTTCTGAGAAGAAGAGAAGAAGTACAGTGACAGAGACACAGGAAAGAAGGCCTTGTGAAGACAGAGGTGGAGGGTGGAGTGATGCAGCTACCTTCTGAGAAGAAGAGAAGAAATATAGTGATGGACAGAGACACACAGTAAACAAGACCTTGTGAAGACAGAGCTGAAGGGCAGAGGGATGCAGCTATCTTCTGAGAAGAGAAGAAATATAGTACAGGACAGAGATACACAGGAAAGAAGTTCTTGTGAAGACAGAGGTGGAGGGTGGAGTGATGCAGCCAGAAGCCTTTGAATTCCAAGGCTGGCTGGTAATCACTGGACACTGGAGTAGGCATGATGGGATTCTCTCATAGGACTTAAGAGAGAATGTGGCCTTGCTGACACCTTGATTGTGGACATATAGCCTCCAAAACTGCAATAAAATAAATATTAACCGTATTAAGCCACCTAGTTTGTCACTATTTTTTATAGCAGCAGCTGGACACTAACACAGCCTCCTATTTCCTGAATTAAACCATTTTCTGTTTTAAATACCAGAGCAGATGCTCTTTCCCTGATTGAGTCCTGTCTAACATATATTGCATTTGTGACTTCCAACGTACTAAATCATTTTATTAAATTTAATAATTTGTCTGTGGTATCTTTTTGGTTTTCTCTTTCAGAATAATATTATCTTTCTTATATTTTGACTTACTATTTTCTCGACTGACTGCATTGGTGAGAACCGCCAGTGCAGTGTTGAATGGATGCATGGTAATACACACACTTGCTTTGTTCCTGCTTTTGAGGTTAATTATTCTAATATTTCAGGATGAATAACAATGTCTATTATAGATTTTTGGTGTCTACATTTTGCCAGGTTAATGATATTGTCTTTATTCTTGATTTGCAAATAATTAAAGTGAACTTAAATGGGTGTTTAAATTTACCAAGTTTTTGTTCTGCAACTATTGAAATAATCAAATTTATTTATTTTAATCATATCATATGAATTATTTTCATGGATGCTTGAATGACAAGCCACTTTTATTACCTTATATGGTTTGGCTCTGTGTCCCTACCCAAACCTCATGTCAAAATGTAATCCCCACATATCAGGGGAGGGACGTAGTGGAAGGTGATTGAATCATGGGGGTAGATTTCCCCTATGCTACTATGATAGTGAGGATCTATTCATCCACTGTTCAAACTTGGACATGCTACACAACTTATCTGAGCCTCAGTTTCTCCTTCAAACTAGTTAGAGAAAATTAAATGAGGTAACACATGAAAAGTCATTAGCATTGTATTACTTTATCTGCATTGTATTACTTTATTTGCCTACTGAATGATGTCATCCCTCTCTCTATATGTGTGTGTGTATGTATATTTATAAATTTTTGTCCTATTCTCTTTTTTGAGTATCAAGAATTAAACAATCTCTCTCTCTCTTTCTTTCTCTCTACTGAAACAAAGTTTTTGTCTTCTAGCATGTTAACAGATCTCATGCTCTAATCTCTTTAAATATTCAGGCTCAGATTGTGTATTCCAAATTATTTAATATCTTCCAAATAGATTAATATACTAATGCATTTGAAATATGTCATGATGAGTGCAAAGAAAACATATTGACTAGCCCAGACTGCACAGCATTATACAAACAAGACATTTTATCTTCTCTGATTTAGCATTTTCTAGAGAATTACTGTTTGCCAAGCATCGTTCAGTGCACCATGGGTATGCAGAACTAGGAAGAAAGAAAGTTGGCCTTCAAAATCCTAAATTTGTGAGGAGGACAAAGTACACAGATATGAACCAACTTGTGAGTACTTTACTGAGTATACTCAGGTGAAATATCAGTGAAAATTTTGCAAGCTCCTAAATTTGTGTTGAGTTGAATAATTGTTCAAAACAACTAACAAATTATGATTCCTAGGAATCAGCAGCTCTTTTGTCAGGTAGGTGAGGTGGGAATGACAAAACTGTGCAATCAATTCACCAAGAAGCCCAAAAGAGTCCCATTAGTAAAGGTCAGAGATGAATATTTGACCTACATTTCCACACCAAACAGACCTGAGACTCAGCAAACAGAGACGTTTTCCTGCAGAAACAGCATAACAATGCATAATGCTTCCAGGCACTCCACAGACAGGCTCCCAGTGCTGCCAGACACAGTACCCAGTGCTGCACATGTGTTTATTTGCATGTGAGAAGATTAGTCACATGTTTCCCAAATCACAGGTTTTAGTTTCTGAAGTGCGCGTAGTAGATTATATCCCTAAATTAGTATGGAAAGCAATGCTCTGTGAACACACCAGATGAGAGATTCAGAAATTCATAACTCTTTCATTCCCACTCAATTATCTCTGTGGTTTCTATACACCGTGCATGCCTCATGGATGGCTGTTCACCTTGTCAGGGATTCTTAAAATAATTTATAAGAATGTCACGCCAATGAAGGAAAACACTTGAATGTTATTTTTAGTGGTTGAAATCCATTGTTTTACACTTGATTGACTGCAAATAGCTAAAAAGAATTTCTCCAGAGTAGAAAAATAAATTTACTTAAAAAAAAGGTATGGAGTATATAATTTCAACGATAAAGTGAATTTACGAAGGCAAAAGGATAAAGTCATAAAGATGAGCACTTAGCAGTAGCAAAAATTGCTAGCTCAGCAGCAGAACAGAGTGCGTTTGCTCACAAATTCACCTGGTATGGCAAGGATCAGTTTAGAAGAAAGAGGCAGCTGCATTGAAGGGTTTCAGGAGGTATGTGTGCTGGGGCCAAAGCCCTGGGAGCTTAAGACTAAGAGAGCTGTATTCACATGAGAATAAAGTAGACAGGATCAGAGGTATGAAGAGGTCATGGGAGTTAAGTTTATATGTTCGAACAATTTATTCTTTGGTTTTGTTTGCCTGGGTTTTAGTGACCTTGACACAGACCAAATGTGGAAAGATGGACAGAGGATTCATCTGGGTTTTTTGTTTGGACCAAGGGCAGATGATGAACCATAGGGATATGTCTAGGTCTTATATGATGGATTAGAAAATAAGGACGGACACAAGAAAAGTGATGAAAAGTAATGTTAATCCCGGGCTTGGCTTAGTTAATCCTCACATTGACCCTGGGAGTAAAGTGTGATTACACATTTTCATATTGTGGGAACTGAGTCAAGTCAGAGAAAAGATGTGATCTTTGGATCACATAGCTGGTAAGTGAAGGAGCAGGGCAAAAAGCCAGGTGTCACTCACCCCAAGTCTTCCACTGTGCCCCTGCTTCTCCACTCTGAGCATAGGGCATGAGCCCTCTGTCTACAACAAGTGCTAGATTTAATGTAATGTGTCTTCCATTCAGCAGGGGTGGGCTAGGCGATTGCTGGATGGCCGTAGAGCCTTTCTAAGAGAGGCCAGTTCTCACTATCAGGTATTTCAGCAACAGGAAATTGAGTAACAAGGAGTCTGGAATTATAGAACAATTATTGCTAAATGCAGGTTGGGGAAGGGCTTGGTCAAGGAACCCATGGACACAAACAGGAACAAAAACAAAAACAAACAAAAAACTTGCTTCCAAGAGTAGAAGCAGCCACCAACCAAAGAGATTTGATAGCACCTCAGTAAGATTTGGAAAAGAATATAAGGTTTTTCTAGGCCAACTGCTCCTACCAAATGCGTAAACCTTCTCCATAGCATCCCTGGCAAGTGGTCAGCTAAAACCTGCATGAGGACCCGGGCAAACATTTCACCAGGGAGCCCACTCTCCTTTGGCTCCTTTGCGGTTAGAAATTGCCTTCCTCACACCGGGCAGTAAGGAATGTTCTCCAGCAGGCATCCTTGCTCCCTTCCCTGATGTCCACAGTTGAATTTAGGCTCTGGAATAGGATAATAATTACGAATATGAATTACACAGCCTGAAGGAGAAGTTTGGAGCTACCAAGTGGCAATGAACCAGGAAAACTTTTGTAAATGGTCTCATTTTTACAGAAGAAGGAAATGCAGATCCAAAAGGATAAAAGAATATGTGTGAGTTTATAGAGTATGAGCTAGGATTAAAATTAAGATTTTCTAGCTTCCTGATTTTTTTCTATCTTCACTCACCCCCAGGATCATCACAGGTGGGAGTTGAGTCTCAGGAACCATAAAAACTTGCTCTTATATCATTCCAGACTGATGAAAATATACCCTAGATAGTAAATCCTAGGTAAAGCCTTCCTAAGAAGACATTCTATCAGCCAGTTCCAATCACCCATCCCAAGTATGATAAACAGTTGCCAGAGATATTTTGCTTATTCCTCATGCTATAGTTTACACTGTTCATTCTCTGGAATATGATTCATGACCATTCTGCAGATGAGGGCATCAGACGTTAGATATAAGTTAACTGAGTCATTTTCTCTTTAAATGAAATGATGCTCCCTCAAAAATCTTGCTTGGCAAACCTATCTGGGACACTCTCATATCCCTACAAAGTTCATTTTATCGCTCTCTCTTTTTCTTTTCAGTCTGGTAATAACACTCAATAGACTTGTAAAGTATGTCTATCTTTCCATAAGTTGAATGACTCTTTAGTTGGTCTTACTGTCTAGATACAAGTTTATAAATATTCTCATGTCTATTCTTTTAAATAGTGTTTTGTTTCTCTTTCATCCACCCTTTTTTATTTTTTTAAGAAAGATGTATCTCTGTAGGGATTATAATATATTTTAGCTGGTAATAGAGCCTTGGAAAAATTGGAATTCTTGGCTTTTTTTGCATTCTTATTTAAGCTTTATGTCCTTAATTGATTGTTGGATAACAGGAGAGGTCAGTAGGGATAGACTTTACCACTTGCTAGAGTATGAGCAATCTGGAGGATCACATATAATGTAACCCATAGAAATTTTGCTATTAAGCATTACTACTAAATATTACTACTTAATTATCAGCACAATTAAAGGAAAAAGGTACATCTTTTTTTTATAAATTATGAAACATCTTTCCCACTCCTTCCCTGTCCCATCTTACCCCTTTTTCATTCTAATATCATCATCTCCAGTACACACTCATTAGTTGAGGGAGGTGTGTAGTGACAAACAAGCAAAAGAAAAAGAAAAGCTTAGTATTTCTAAATACGTGGTTGTACAAAGACATGATATCTTTTACATTTTGTCTAGGGAGAGGAGTCACATGGGTCTCCCATGCATTGTCAGGTGACATTTTATTCAAGCAAAAGAACAGTGTGAATACTGGACAAATGCAGGTTAAATACAGATAAGCAATAAATTAATTGTATACAATTATTTCTGAATATGACATGGGACATACTTATATTAAAAAGTTACTCAATTATTGTACCTGAAATTCAAATTTACCTGAGCATCCTGTATTTTTTTCTTTTTTTTTCTTTTTTTGTGAGAACAAAGTTTCACTATATTTCCCAGGCAAGTCTCGAACTCCTGAGCTCAAGCTATCCTCCTGCCTCTGCCTCCCTGACAGCTGGGATTATAGGCATGAGCCACCACACCCGGTCTCCTGTATTTTTATTTGCTAAATCATCTAACAATCTTAAAAATGAGCCAGCTGATACTAGAAAGTTAAGAAAAAAGTGTCAGTGGAGACAAAACATGTCCTTATGTACATCTGGTATTATCATCAGAATTTGATATTATAACCTAGATCTTGAAAATTCTCAAAAAGCTTTTATAAACATTATCTACAAACAAGATAAATTAACTATCCCCATTTTGCAGATAAGGAGGCTGATGCTTACAGTGGTCCAGAGATTGGCACAACGTAAAAATGATCCTAAAAGATGAAACTGAAACTAGTATCCGGGTCTTCTGATTCCCAATCCATATTTCCGGGTTGACATAAAAATAATTAATTGGGTTATAAATAATCCAATCCATCTATCTATATTAGTCACAATCGCCAGCCCTGGGCAGTAATTATATGTCTTGGCAATGGCTACCCTGTTTTGAGTTGAAAAAATGACCAGGGGAGCACCCCAATCCAACTACGTCCAGGAAGCAATGTGAACCGTATTGGAAGCCCTGCATTCATCTGCATAAACACAATCTAGCTGCTGGTTGGTGATGTTGTCTCACTATTTCTTAAAAAATCTACAACTTTTAATACAGTTCATGTATTTCCATTTTTCTATACAAGTGGCAATATAATTTGGTGTCAAGGAACTACATGGTTGTTAAGAATAATTCATAGACTATTGGTTTTTTAGCCATGGAAGGATGAAAGTAATGTTATGACACTTCCATTCACAGATCTGAGGAGTATCTGAACAGGATTTTTTATTTGACTGCATTTGCAAGGCTGGCACCCACAGAGACATAGACTTTTCATTTAAAATTCAGCCCTTCTGTGAGATGCTGAGTGATGTTCTTGGAACCAGACAAAATTGACCGGAATTTGTGAAAAGGTAATCAACTATTCCTTGCCTACTGAAACCAGTGAATATATGTACACACTGCTTTGAGAATCTGTTCTTTTTGTTACAGAACAGATGTCTGGGAGGTTTTTGGCAGGCCCCACTCTGTCAAACAGTCCGGTTTTGACAGCTACTTGCTTGAGGGATGGCTGAAATGCAAAGTATTTCTGATCAGAATATTATATTCATCTGGATGTTAATTACTGTGTCTGCCTTGGTATAAATAATTAATTATGCAAAACCCACACAGCTGCTGCTGGACAGAGTTAAGTGACTTGCTGTCAAAGTCTCACAGTTCTGGAAGGAAAGGAGGATTTAGTAAAACATGCGCTGTAACAGAGAATATAGTATGAGGATTTTCTTGTCAGGATCCTTCTTTCGTTGAATAAAAGGCCGTTATACCTGAGCATGGTGTGTGTGTGTGTCTGTGTGTGTGTCTGTGTGTGTGTGTGTGTGTGTGTGTGTTTTAAATGAAGAAATAGCTTCCAATTTACTTAAGTTGGCCCTGAAAGCAACTCTCTTTTCTAGTTATTAAGTAGTTTTCTAGGAATCGACGTACCACATTATTAGAGAACCGTTACAGTTGAACTCCTAAATCTCTTCTTTTTTCATCATATTCATAAGTCTCAACAGTTCAAATTATCCCATGGAATTGGACATGTAGATCACACTGAGGTAGGTGAGCTTTTTGTTTGCTTGCTTCAAAAAAGACACTGATAGCCCCAGCTCATTTTCTTCACTTGCAGATTTATATGAGTATCACTGATCTGGTCACTCATGAATATGTGAATGTCTAGACTGCTGAGAAGTGATACTAGTCCGTTAAAAAAGTTAATCTCTACATTAATTAATCCAAGTGCAAATGACTTTTTTTAATGTTTAAATACACCTAGAAGTTTAATTGATGTAGGATAGGTGCTAGTTCCATGTGACACTTTTTGGCAACACAGCATTGCAGGTAGCAGCAGTGATAGGAAAAGGGGAAAAAAGCTGCCTCTCAAACCAAGGCGTTAGAAGATTTATCAGATGGTTTTGTTTTGTGCAAATATTGATATTACTGCAATGAAGCAAAGTGCTAGAGATTATAAATAATTTTGGTAGAGACAAGGAACAAAATATCCTTTTAAGGAGGCAGCTGCAGCGCAGTGGAAAGAGTGTGGTTTGTGAGGACGTAGGCCCAGGGTTCCAGGCTCTGTCATCTGTTAGCTGGTTGACCTAGGACAAGTCACATAATGTTTCTGAGCCTTTCTTCTGCACTTACCCAGGGTTGCTGACAGAATCAAATGATAATAATTGATATGAAAACACTTTACAAACTGTAATATTATTTAAAATTATAAAATATCATTCCACATTCAGCAACTCATTGTTGAGTACTTAGTGCTTCTATTGAAATGTCTACTGTTACAATTCTTCCTTTTCAAACTACCTCTTTATTTATTCACCCAGCAAGCTTCTATTGTTTCCCATTATCGCACCAGACACTGATTTAGGCGTGGGGAATTGCTGGGAATGAAACAACAGAAATAGTCCCTACCATCCTGGAGCTCACAGCCCAGCGAGAATAAACACATAAAAGTATGTCAATAAAATAATTACAAATGCTGCTAAGGAGCAAACAAATTGAGATGGTGAAGTGAAGGAATGAATGTGTAATTTTAGAGGGGCGATTGGGAAAAGTCTCTTTGGGGAAACACACTTAATTCTTGCGCAGATAGCCAAATGAAAAGATAAACCCAGACGTGGTAAAATCTAGGAGAAATATCCTCAAACGGGTACACGCTCTGCGTATGGAAGGGCTGAGGGGACATCACTGGTTCATGAGGAGACAGGAAGAGAGATGAAGTTCAGCTCCCTCCCCTTGCAAGATCACCAAACCGAACCCAGCACACAGCAACTCTCTGATTTTCATTCACAGAAGACACACCATGTGGCTGTAATCAGTTTGATTTTCTTGACAGAACAATTACATTGCTTTTGCTTGAAGAAAATTGGGGTTGTACAGAAAAGTAAAGGAAGAAAAAAAATCTCAGCACATGTGCCTTTAAGGAAATGCAAGTCTGCAATATTTTTAGTTTTCTCCCCTGTTGAACTTTGACTTAATGAATGCTAAAGACTTGTCACACATTATAGGACAACCCATCAAAGACACATGGCAAGTAAAGAAAATTAGGGTGCATTCTTTAAATCCATATACATAACACCTTTAATAAGATATCAAACAAAATGTCTTATTTCCCTACACTCCAGTACCCTCTTTGCATGACATTAGTTGGATAATTGTTTACTGCTTTCCTGTGTGTTGATGGAGATGTTGCATACTTGCCCAGATGTGTGAGCTCTGCATAGACAACAGGGTGCAGACCTCAGGAATAGGGGAGCCTCAGCACACTTTGCATTTCTTCCAACCTGCTCAGTATGGGCTATTCATTACATCCCAGCCAGTCACCCAAGGCTGTTCTCGGGCGGACCCCCACCATTTATTCCACCATAGTTAATGCAGAGTTTTTCCCTTGAATTTAGAACAATCCCATTTAGTTATGACGGGCTACTGTGGCCTGAAAAGTGGCTCAATATTGTAAATACATCAGCATCAGCAGCATCTAGTAGAAACAGTTATTAAGCTAAGGATGACAGATACGTAAAGACAGGGTAGAGTCTAGAGCAAAAGAATGGAACTTAGAGCCAATTTCCTAAATTTTTTATTTCCTCTATTTTTTCACGTTTTAAAGCTAAAAACATAAAAAAAATTAAATTCAATACTAAATAATACATAAGTTCTTGTAATGATAAGCGACAATTCTCTAATTGTGACAATTCTCTAATAAGTGACAAATCTGTCACTTCCAAATCTCCCACTGTTCATATTTTATTTTAGTTCTGGTTATCTTTACAGAGTTAAATAACGTGCTTTTAATATTGTTTTAGATGATGACTATTAAATTCCAGCCATGAAAGATGGAACTTTAGCTCATTTCACTTATACATTCAATTCTTCAACACTAATTACCTCATATATTATTCAAAGTTCTGAGAATATAAAAGTGAAAAATAAATATTATGACTCTGCTCCTGTGGGAGTAGACAAGAAATACACAAATAGACATACAATATAATTTTACATAGTGATTAGCTCTGTGAAGAACATTAAAGAAGGGCAAAGAAACAAAAAATTGAAGGAGGTTTCTACTTTAGATACGATGGTCAGGCAAAACCTTTCTGATAAGGTAACATTAGCAACCTGAATGAGGAAGCAAAGTATTTGGGAGAAGCGCCTCCTTGAAAGAGAATTCTAAGGAGGGAATTGCTTTGGATGTCAAGGAGAAGCAAGGGTTTTGGGGCTGGAGTAGGGAGGCAGGCAGTTTGGTCACTGCCTGGTGTGTCAGTGATATGGCTCTAGGTTGTATGAACTGAGACCTACCAGGGGAGGCAACACACTCAATGGCCACCTGTTCAGCTATTCAGTTTGAGGACAAATATCAGGGGGTTGAGAGCAGAAGAGAGAGATAATCTGCCTTATTTACAAAACTAAAACAAGTGCACAAAACTGAGTATATGTCATAAGACTGTAGCTCTATGGATTTGCATGAAGTGAATAATAGCCAGATTGAGAAATCTGAAATTAATAGAAACATGAATTCCCTCTTGTGCTTCCTCCAAGTCAGTACTCACCATCTTCACAAAGATAAGCACAACCATGAATTCTGTCGACATAAATTAGTTTTGCCTAATTTTGAACTTTTTGTAAAAGCAATCATTAATATGCACATATTTGTGTCTGACTACATTTATTCAATATTATATTTCTGTTGAAATATAATGTCTAGAGATGTGTGGTAAAATTTCCAGTGTTGAGTGTGGATTTCCTATTATGTCCTTTTAATATTATCAACCATTGCTTTATGTATTTTGAAACTGGGTTAGTAAGTGCATACACATTTGGAACCATTGTATCTTTCTACTGATTTCTATTATTATTTTGAAATGCCTTTCATATTTTCTAGCGGTTTTTTTTTTTGCTATAAAGTCTATTTTGTCTTAAATTATGGTAGATATACTAGCTTTCTTTTGCTTATCTTTTTCCTTTCTTCAGTTTTTACATTATTGCTGCTTATATTTAAATGTTCTTCTTTTAAGCAGCATCTATTTTCTAATATTCTATTTTTAATTGGATTATTCATTGTGTTTTCATTAAATTTAATTACTATTTTGAGAGAGTTAAACCTCTATCTACTTGTCTCATTTGGGGTTGTGAGTTAAAAGAGCATTTAGTTCACTATCATGAACCAGACATTCCTCCATTGGAATTTTTGTATAAATATTAACTAGCCTATGTGACATAAAACATATCGCAAGCATATATCGTTTTTAGTTTCCTCATCTGCACAGTAAGGTAGGTAATACCACCTGTACACAAATTATTAAATATTGCCATATTTATCAAATTAGGGAATTAATTTAGTGTAAAGCATGTGGCAAATATTAGTTATTATATGCTAATTTGGAGTAAAAATATTTGGAGTGCTTTTATCATGACTTCTATTAGATTTACCTAATTACATTTTCTTCACATGACATATCATTGATTCATGGCATTAACAGATTTTTAAAATTACAAAACACAGTTGATCTCGCTATCTCTGGGGAAAAAAAGTCAGTGCAAAATGTACACACTATGAAAACAAAGCACTCTTTCCCAAAGAGTGGAAAGTGGTATTGCTGTCATGCTCCTGAATGCAAAAATGGGAGTTAGTCACGTAGGAGCTGTGCACCCACTGGCAATTCTCTTGTAAGGCATTTAAAGAGTTTGGGGATATATTCACTTGGAGTCTTAAACTGAACAAAAATACATATGGTTTTTTTAATCAGCCACTTCTGAGTTGTGATCAAAGAGAATATAAAAGAGCCAGGATCAAGAAAGCTATTTGTTGGCCAAAACAATATAAGCCAAATAAGTCATAATTAAACTGGACTAGATATTAGGACCTGCATGTTAAACCAAGAAAACCAATTACAGAAATAGAGAACAAAGAATAGTTGTCTTAGCATTAGATCATGCAAACAGATTTTAGAAGTTTTAGATGATCATGTAAAAATAACTATGTTTAAACAATAGATTCTAAAAAAAACAATGTGAACTGAAGCTGAATTACTCTGAGCCTCATGTGTAGAAGGAGGGCAAGGATGAGCTGCTGGGTCTGCAGTTTCCCAGAGAAAATGTGACCTGTGTCTCTCAGTGACATTCACAGAAGAATGCTCAGCACCATGGAGGAATTAAAATCATTTCATGAAAGAAATGGGTGCAGAAGTGTCTTCTCTATCTTGGAGCTGAGTGAACAAAAGCTAAAGCAGTAGATGTCTTGGAGGAGGCACTGACTTTCTAGGATCAACTGAGTGGGATGAGATAAAAAGGATAAATTACAAACTTCTCATCTTTCTTTTCAGTTGATGATGAGAGCCAACAGCTCAGAGCAACGTTCAAACGTTAACTTCCATTAAGACTTTGTCAACTACCTGGTTTCCAGAAAACAGCACTCAAACCCAGTGTTTAAGAGATGTGGGTTTACACTCTATTTATGTCTTACAACTTGATTGTTTTGTTACTCTATACTTTTTCTCTGAACCTCAGCCTCCTCGTCTGGAAAAATAAGGAGAATATTTCTCACATGGCAAGGTTTTGGTAAGAAAAAATTGAGCTAAGGCATGTGTAATGGAGATTATATTTCTGAAAGAATCGCCTTCCATTTAAAGCTCAGCTATGGGGCAGGAGTGGGTCCAATGGAGGATGGGACAGAGGGAAACTGTCAGGTAAATAGGCAAGGACAAGAGTGGAAGGTGATGAAAGCAGATTTTATTCAGCCTATTGCAATAGGGGAGAGAGTCCTGGAAACCAAGCTCTTCCTAGGTTTTTGCAGGAGTGACTGAACATTTTAAAGGGAGAACTAGGGAGTAGGAATGGAACTAGCCAGGACAGCAGCAGAGGCAGGGAGGTAGAAATTTACATAAAGCAGGAAAGTGGAGATGGTGGTTGGTCAATGTGATTAGTCGTTTCTTAGGGAAGTTAGGTCCCTGTCCTCCCACAGAGACTGGGAGACGCGGCCCTGTCTTCCGGTATTGGCTGGAATGAACAGCAAGTTTTTTGGGCGGCCTTGGGGTTTCCCAGGCAGGAATTTAAGAGGGAACTGAAGCTGTTGTCCTAGAGACATGGCCTTGAGCTATTAGACATTATGCTAGTGTTTTCAAGTCTCTTAATGTGTTGGTAGGTGAGAGGAGTGGACAAAAACATTTGTATTGACAGTCTGTAGTTCTTATAGGCTAAGTTTGAGGCTGGTTGAGAAGAGGGCTCAGAGGAGGCTGTCTTTGGTCAAAACTTACCCTGTTCTAGTGCCACATAATTGAAGAAAAGGTAAATTGTCATAGTAAATATAGATTTTGTACTGCAAATTAGACATAAAGTTAAATCAGAAAGTGAATTCTGAGAAAAATAAATAAGATTGCCCATTGTTCACACTTTAGCTGAAAAAATATAGACTTTGGAAATAGATTCACCAGGACTTAATTTTCTTCTCTTCTACCCTTTTTAAAATTTGTGCAATATTCCACAGGACATATTTTCTGAGACTAAATTTCCTAATTTGAAAGAAGGAATCTCAATATGAGGAAATAAAGTAAACTTATCAAGATACAAGTTCATATATAATGGAATTGGAGGTTGGCTTGGACCCTCAGCCTAGCTTCCCTGCTCTCAGACAGTGGTGGGTGGAAGTTGTTCAACAACCTGGGAGAGAGAACAAGATGGGAGTGGTGGTGAGAGTAAGTTCTTGAGAAAATAACAGTCTCCTCTAGGGAGGAGGGGAGGTGGAGAATTTACTGCTGCATCCTAGTATTAGGGTGCTGCAAAAGTAATTGTGATTTTTGCTATTAAAGGTAATGGCAAACATTAGTATCCTAATGTTTTAGAATTAAAACATTAGAATAATATTTTGCACCAACCTAATAACAAAGTATTAGGTTGGCGTAAAAGTAATTATGGTGACTGCAGAGGTGACTGCAAAATTACCTCTCACCCATTGTAATAGGCTGACATATTAGCCATTTACAGGACCATGAATCATTTGCATCTAGGCAATTTTTGCCTCACTCCAAAGCTGCATCCACATCCTCCTCTCCTGGGTATTTCTACCACTCCTAGCCTAGACCTGGCTTCCTCATCTCATGACATCATTTTTGATACACCTCTTGCTGGTCTCCAGACTGGCTTATCTTCACTCTAGTCTTATTTTCCAGATGTCATTTTCTCAGGACTCCTTTTCCCTCCCCCATGTGGGTCCTGGAGGAGTTCTCTAATGACATGTCATGTGACATCTAAATTCCTCAGCCTCCAGTAAAGTCCCTTGATAACTATAATGTCTGGGTCTCCAGCTTTATCTCTAGACCCCACTAATTGTCTCCCCTTCTACCTCATGAGTTGGCAAACTTTTTCTAAAGAGGTCTTGGTAATATTTCTAGCTCTAGAAGCCATATGTTGGGACTGTTCAACTCTGTCATTGTAATGTGAAGTCAGCCACAGACAATGTAGAAACTGATGGGCCCCCTATGCTCCAATAAGACTTTATATAAACAGGTGGTGGACTGGATTTGATCGTCAGCCTGTGTTCGCCAATCCTTGTTCTTGTTAAACCCTCTAGGGTAGTTGGTTCTTGCTTTCTTACTTCACGTGCACAAAGACAGACACCTGAGGACATAAATGCTTCCACCTCTGACCCTTTGAAATGGCCTCTCCCATCCTATGCTGCCGCTGCCCCTTCTTTGGGTCAAATTCGCTTCATGATGCAGGAGTGTGTCTTTCCTTATCATGAGTGCCAATCAGATACATAGCTTGGTGATTAAGAAGCTAGATTCTAGAGCTAACTGCTTGGATTTGTTTCCTGGCTCTGCCACTTAGAAATTATCTGGTCTCAGTTGCCTTATCTGAGAAATAGGGGTTGTGTCTGTGAGCAGGTAGGCCCCTCAGCATTCCTGATGGTCTGGGGAGGCCTCTTTTGCTGTGTCTGAGGCTGTGCTGTGGCAAGGATGTCGCAAGCTCTCTCCAGGTGTTCTTTCTTTGCTCTGGAGGCAAGTCTAGGCTGTTTCACATGATGTTGGAGGGGTCCCAGTGGTAAGAACAGACAGGCCCTGACCTCCAAGGACTTTTCAGGCTTCTGCTTATATCACTTTTCCTATTGTCTCACTGACCAAAGGCAACCTCAGAGGCCATCTGAGGAAGGAAATGTAGGGTGTGCATACCATGGAGGGGATTACAATGCCCACGTCGCAAACGTATTACCAATGAGATATTAATGGGCACCCAATGGGATTGTTTTGAGGATTAAATAAATTAATATGAGTAAAGCACTTAAAGCAGTATCTTGAGTACTTAGTCATAGACAAGGGTTTGCCATTGTTTTCAAGTCCTGAGGTCTCTCTCAGTTCTAAGATATGTGATAGTCATGACTTTATCCCAGAGTGCCCATCCTCTCTGTTTTATTTCAGTTCTACCATAAATTAGTGGAATGATTTTGAGCATGCAAGTAACTTCTTCTATTGGTTATAGCTTCTTTAAAAAAATCTGTATACATTTTTTTAGTTATGCAGTAATATATGAATACATGGGTATTATGGCAAAATGAAAAATATAAAGGAATATAGAATAAAAAAGTATGACACCCATACCCATCACCTGCTCTTTCTTCATTCCCCAGCTCTATTAAGTTTATCATTTAACCTTCCTTAAAGTTACGTATGTGTATGCATATTTACCCACATATATAATATATATACAAATCTATTTCATATGTATGTAAAATATGCATGATGTAAATTTCACATACTTGAAATTTTTGGGTTACGTAATTTATAAATTGCATTACATAGCTCATTTTACCTAAATAAAGTCATAGTCCATCTAGTATACAGTGAATTGTTTTTCTCAATTAATATATATTGCAGGCCTTATAATATATAATCTGAGACATATTAAAAAAACTATGCTGTTTTGTAGTATGAATACACCTTACTTTATTCAAATATTCCCTATTCCTAAGTATTCAGGTTATTTCTATTTTTTTCTTAATTATAAACAGGACTCCACATATCTTTGCCCACATTATGAGGATGTAGATAGATATATTTCTAAGTAGACAACTTGCCAGGTTGAAGTTATGCGTGTCTTAAATTTCAAGAGACCCTGCCAAATTTTCCTTCTCCAAAGCTACATCAACTGTTCATAGTGGACTTATCTATCAAGTGGAAGCTTTGGAGTACATAATTTCTAAATTATTTATCAGGTTTGTAACTCCTACATTCTAGTAGAGACCTTGGCACCAGAAATACTATGACATTAAACACCCTGTATTTACCATCATAGAGTCCACCAGTAATTTGAGGTCAGACTCAGAAACCTCAGTGAGTTGCTAGGCACAAATAGCAAAGAGCTCATTTCCTCTGTGCTTCAGTTTTTTATTTTACAACATCTTCATATTCCGGATTGCATGGGCAGTAGCTTCCCCGAGCTGCAGGAATCCCAGGTTTGTCACTGTCCCTCCGTGTGCTTGTGTAGGGTCACACGTGTGTGCACATCCAGATGTTGCATGATCATGCACTTGTCCCTGAGTGCCAACAAGGAAGCCCACCTGTCTTGCTCCATCGGTGTCCTCCTAGGAGCCTAAGCCAAGTCATTTGGGTAGTTTTCATGAGGTGGTATGTGTGAAAGCATGACTGACAGAAGTAATAAGTTAACATTTATGAGAGAATTCTCAGTCCTGGAGCAGTAGTAGGCAGACAGCCAACAGAAATTGTATTGAGGATGAAATATTTCCTAAAAATAGTTCTCCCAGCTCAGCCTAATGCAATTAAAGTTAGTGATGTACATAATATGAAAACTGGGAGCTCTTCCTGCTAATAACCACTGTGGAACCAAGGAAATCCATTTCATTAATTTAATATACACTTTCAGAGTCCCCTGGTAATAGAAGTATAATTAAAATGATATGCTTTGATAGGTTTTTCTTTCTGAAATGAAACTTTGCAAGTGTAGGTTTTGAAACACATATGAAATATATATATATACACACACACAAACACACTGTAATTATTATTCATTGTACATTTATTTTGTATTCTTCCTCTTTCACCTTCTTTCTCTAAAACATTTCCTTAAAATTGAATCCTCCTTAAATGCTATAGACACATTTTCTGATACAAGAATCTGGGTAAAGGAGAGCTATAGATAACATAAGAATTAATTGCTGAAAGCAGAAGGTGAAAAAGGTTTTGGATTGATTTTAAATTTATTTAAGATTTCCACTCTACCTACTTACAGATAGACTCAGTTCAGCTTATCAATTTAAAAAACACAAGACTTTAAAATCAAAAGGAGGACTGATTTTGAATTTATTTAAGATTTAAAATCTATCTACTTATAGACTCAGTTCAGCTTATCAATTTAAAAAATATTTAAAACCCACAATACTTTAAAATCAAAAGGATGAAAAATAATTACAATAGGGAGACTGTAAGAAAATGAACTTCAATTTAGTGAACAATTAGATAAGTTACCCTTTCCTGTAATTTTCCATGTTACTTTTCAGAAATTTGTTAGACTTGGTGTCATATAGACTATTTTAATAAAAAGTAACTGCTCTGTTTGGAATTTATTGGGAAATAAATTAAGGGTTATTACTTCTTTAACTCTATTTTAAGGTACATGAAGTTAGTCTTTCTATGTCCCCATGAATATGAATGAGTTTTAATCAATTCATAAAAAGAAACCCAGAAATTATGTCCCTTTTTTTAAGAAAAAGTGCTAATGAAGATATTTTTGAAGAGAAAGAATACTGATGTGTTGTTAAGTTTGAACTAAGATATATAATCTGATGGGAGGTCAGAATTTTGATATAGAACAGTGCTGAGCATAATTTCCTCTATCAGTATCAGCAGCAGTGCTGGGGATGGGCCATTTCTACTCCACTGTAGCTCCCATCAGAGAGAATTGAGCTTTCCTCAGAGTCCTTACCATTGGTGGGACAGTTTGGTCAAAGTTGAGTGGTGACGGAAAGTGAACGTTGGCCTCACTGTCAGTGGAACGGTTTCCTGGGAAAAGCAGAGAGGGAAAGGACTCCTTTCCCATCCTCCAGTCTCTCCTTACTTCGTTCTCAGTACTAAAGAGATTTGATAAATCTCTGCTTTTGAAGAAAACATCCCTGCAGTTGGAAAGATTTGAGGACTGTTAGATTAACGAGGAAACATATCCGTGAGAAGGTTCTGGTTTACAAACATTGAATTCTTCCAAGCCTGTTGGTGTCGGCTGAGCCATTGTGACTTCAGAGATGTTTGCCTATTTGGGGTGAAAAGGAGGGTGTTTACACAGAGAAACAGACCTGGCTTTGCCCTATCACGTCTTCTTGCCTACGTTATCAGTCAACTGTGTGCTCACTCTTCCGTGGGCTCTGTGTGGAGGTAATGGGGCACAATGCCGGCTTTTGAAGAAAGGATCTGAATGTAGATCTTTTTAGTTTAAATATCTATGTTTTTAATCACTGTGCTTAGTAGTCAGAATCCTAAAGTCATAATCCACTATTGTAGAAGGAAACAGAATCCTAGAGATTGTAGACTTTAATGGTTTTCAAATTGTTCTTTCTGCAGGTGGTTTCCTCACTGGTTCCTCAAATAATGCAGAATTTTACAACTAAATTCCACCAAGAAGGAGGAGCTAAATTGCCCCAGAAGCTGTTTTCTTTTCTTTGCATTTTTTACACTCTGATGGCCCCATGTATATTTTTTGGAGGAGTATTAAAATGATTGATTTAGTTCTGTCCTTCCTTTCTTAAATAAAATGAGAAGGTCCAGTGATTAGCTGCTGGTCCCCAAGCTAGCTGGCAGCTCAATTAAGGCTGACGATTACTGTCACATCCTCTGGCCCAGCGTTTTTCTGTTGGTGAAGAAGCTCATACTACATACGTAAACATTTGTTTTATGTCTGGGTCTCTACTCAGTACAAAACTTTATTAGTCAGAGTTTTCCAGAAAAAAAAAAACCAGAGATTTAGTACAAGGAATTGGTTCATGCAGTTATGGAGCTTGGGAAACCCCACAATTTGCTGTCTTCAAACTGGAGACCAAGGAAAGATAGTGTAAATCCTAGAATCTGAGTTGGAGTCTTGGTCTGAGTCTGAAGGCCTGAGAGCTTGCAGCACTGTTAATGTAAATCCTAGTCAGAGCCCAGAAGACTGATGCCGCACTTAAGCAGTCAGGCAGAAGAGGAGGCAAATTTTCCCTTCACTTGCTGTTTGCTGTACTTAGGCCCTCCATGGGTTGGATGAGGCTCAGCTATATTGCAGAGGGCAATCAATATTACTGAGTCTACTACTTCAAATGCTAATCTCATTTGGAAACATACCATACAGACATACCCAGAAATAATGTTTAGCCAAATATCTAGGCACCCCATAATCCAGTCAAGTTGACACATAAAATTATCCATCACAAAGCCAGACTGCTGATATCTGCATGCTGCCCTCTGGAATGGCCCCAAAATGAATCAAAGGCACTCTTTTTTTTTTTAGCAATACAAAATGTGGTATATAAGTAAAATTAATCACATTGTGATATGTCCCTTTGTGATTCATGAAGTCAAAATGAGATTCTTAGGATATAAATGTGAACGGTAATAATAAAAAAAAGTAATTTTGTCAAAAGAATGATTACAACTCTGAAAAAATCTGTAAAAGGATAACTAGAAGAAAACAGATAAACAGCAACTCTTTTTTGTTTTCATTTTTTTTAGTGTTGAACTTTTTAAATTGATTTCTTTTAAGGTTATTACAATGTTATTTGTACAACAAAATATTGGAAATAAAATATGGTTTCACAAGTTACAGATATACAGATACCTGCTTTACAGCTGACATACTCAATACCACTCATAAAGAAATGTGCATTATCATATAGAATTATTTTTAAAAATTCAAAAATGTTTTTAACTTTTATTTTAAGTTCAGGGGTACAGGTGCAGGTTTGTTACGTAGGTAAACTTGTGTCATGGGAATTTGTTGTACAGACTATTTCATCACCCAGGTATTAAGCCTAGTACTTAGGGCTCCAGTAACCACAACAATATGGTATTGTACATTCAAAATTTAAATAAATCCTATAGCGTTTAAAGTTCTAGTCTCATGAGTTTAAATATTATCAATTCTGCTGAAAATGCACCCATTTCCATCTCCTGTTTAATTTCACCCTTTATATTGCAGATTATGCCTACTTGAGCCCTGTCCTGGGCTTTTTCTCAGATTTCTGAGAGTTAACATGTTCAAAGGTTGAATTCTCCACTCCCACCCCCAGCCTCACATCCCTGAGTCTTCCTCATCCGAGCAAATGGCAACTCCACTCTTCCAGATACTCAGGACCTAAAACTTGAGGCTACACTTTTCCTAATCCTCTGTTGTATCCTGTGAGCAAATCACCAGCAAAGCCTGTTAATATACATGTTTTCAAAATATATTAGGGTTATGAGACCTTCCCACTCCCTTTATTACTAAACCTTCAGCCATCATTTTCTGGCTTTACTATTGTGATAACCTCTCAATAAACCCCAGCTTTCTCTCTTCCCTTCGTGTACAATGTGGTCCCACAGAGAAAATACTCACATTTTGGCCACTTTATATTCAAAAACACACCCATTACTCCCCTTCTCACTTGGAGCAAATGCCTCCAAGCCCTGAAGGCCATTGTCCCTCTCCCTTTACTACCCCATCCCCATTCCTTTAATCCAAGTCTCCAGCTCTGCTTGCAAATATCCCACTATGCTGGGATCCCACTATGCTGCCTCCCTTGTGACTGCACAATAAATGCTCCCCCTGATACCTCAATGGCTTGTTCCATCCATTTCTTTCTGTCTCCACTGAAATTTTGTTTCATCAAAACTGCCGATAAGAAGCACCCTAAAAAAATAGCAACTGCACCACCTCACTCTGCATTCCCCTTTTCCTGCTTTGTTTATAACCCTTAGCAAACCCGACATTCTATTTATTTATCTATTTATTTAACTATCTCTCCTTATGCAAATCCATGCTCCCCAAGAAAAGGATATATTTTTTCCTATTATGTTCCTAATACCTGGAATAATGCTTAGCATATAGTAGTACTAAAAAAATACTAGCTATAAACAATAATTCTCTTTTTCTTCATTTCAGTATTGTTTGTCCGATAGTAAGATCTAGTGATTTGCAGGTATCCGAAATGCCACATTCCATATTTAAAAACCTGAAATCCAGTTGACATAATTTTAAGATATATTATATCCACAATTTCATGAATTTATCATTAAGCTTAAGGATTAATCATGTTTGGACTACAGATCCTTTACATTAGATTTTTTGTTAAAAATTTCAAATAAAATTTGCTGATTATATCTGCCAAATTCAATAAATTTAGTCATCATGGACATGATACAGTATATAATTTCTCTATATATATATCAAATAAACTTACTTTTTAAAACGTGGTTTAAAAGATGATGAATATAAATTGACATAGAATTTAACCTTGTGCTGATTATATCTTTCATTTGAATACTAATGTTAAATTAGCATGGATCTATTTTCTGTTTGGTAATTTAGAAAGGCTTTATCAATGTAGAAGTGTGTTTTCTCTTGATTGAAAACAATTCCAGACTTTTTGAAATAATTTGTGAAATGCCATCTACAGTATTAGAATTTTAAATATATATTTGTCCCATGTGACAAATGAGTGGTCACATAGTTGTATTTCCTGTATAAATAACGTATCTAATGAATAACAGGAGTAATAAGGAAACTTGAAAAATTGTATCTTGCAGCTATCTTGCAGGTAGAAATGTTGCAGGAGAGAGCCACGTAAATCAATTCATCTGGGAATGACATGTTCTAAACCAGTGGTCTAAAACTTTTACTAGCAATTAATTAACCTTGATTAAGCTATTGCCACATTATAATTTTGTGAAATAATACTCCTGTTGTTTCTTAATTTTTCATGTACTTGTTTCATTTTGTTAATTTGAATATAAATTTCTTGATCATTGGAACCATATCATACCTCCTTTATGTATTTCTAGATCGTTCAACACAGTATTTTACACATGGTATTTTACACAGTATTTTACAACCACAAAATTATTTGGTGGTCCATTAATTGGCCCTACAAAAGAAAGAGAAATTTATTTGCAAATAGACTAAAATCCACTTTAGGCTCAAGAGTCCAAGGACTGTGTCTACTTATATTGAACCCAGTACTTAGAAAAATTCTTGGCACATAGCAGGCATTCAATAATGTGTGTTCATCTGCACCGTGGAACTAGTATAGATTATTTATTCTCTGAGTACCACAAAATAAAATAATCCTTACTGAACAAGTATTGATATTCACATAATTATTACAATAAAAACTTTTGCTTTCACTGTAAAAATTTTGCTATTACAATAAAATCTCATTGCAGCAAAGTCACATTACATTTGAATCCTCATTTCTGGGTTAATAATATCATTTATTTACATTATTGTCTGTGAGAGTAACCTGTACTTTGTGGAAGAATCAAGTACTTTGCACAATTTTTGGCAAATCCTATATAGTTTTTATCATTGTTGACAATTCATTAGCATTACATGATAATGCCTATTTTAACGATTACAGTTACTAATATTGTAGCACTTCTACTTTTCTGTTCATTGAGTCCTTTTGTATAGTCCGCGTAGCTGTATAATATTTCTCTGGAATTTCCATGTTTAAAGAGACTCAGTCCTTTCACAGTGTCATTAGAATAGTTACATTGGGAATGCTATTGTCAAACATCTACTCCCCAACACACACCCCTTGAAGTAGTTTCATGCAGAAGAAAGCAAGATTCAGAACTGTGAACATTTTTCCCAAACAGGTTTAGAATCAAATTCTAATTGAGTTAGCTAATAGTCACTAGACATGAGCATTATATTCACTATGCTCACAATTTTATTGTTGATTTTATTTTTTATTGTTAGGTAAAGGCAGGGTCTTTCTCTGTTGACCAGGCTGGAGTGGAGTGGCATGATCATGGCCAACTGCAGCCTCAACTTCCTGGCCTCAAGTGACCCTCCCACCTCAGCCTCCTCAGTAACTGGAACTACAGACACAAGCCACCAAACCTGGTGAATTTTTGTTTCTGCAGTTTTAGAAGGGACTGTAGCCAGGCTCACTGCACGCTCTTGCATAGGCCATGCACTGTACACTGCAGGGGAGGCCATTTATACTGTAATATTTTTAGTGGCACCCTCCTCCCCCCACTGTATGTAGAATACAACTGTACATCACACAAAGAGGTCCTAAATCTGATCCATGTTTGCCTCTTGGGTTAACATGCTCTATTTCACAAAACTCAAGTATTCTCACTTGAGTTTCTCAACTACAGTTAAAAAGGCCAACAGGTGAGCACCCTACCCTAGGGCTACTGATTAACTAGAGTAATCAGAATGTTCTCTTGGAAACTGAGAGAAGAATGCAGTTATTATTGGTAGTAGAAAAAGGAAAGAAAAATATGCTGAGAAATGTCATCATATAGAAGACAGAGGGAATCTCATATGAACCTATGCAAGTGAAGGTTATGAAGAGTCAGAAACAGTGAGTCAACAGCGGAGGCAGATTGTTCAATAGAGAAGACTGGAAAAGATCACAAAGAAAAGAAGACATCGTGATGGCCCTGGTAGAGAAAACCGGGTAGTAATTCCTTTAGCAAAAGTCTCAAACAGGTGAGTTCATACTGTTGGGCCGGCTCTCTGTTTGTCTGAAGCATTTAATTTTCATGCTTTTGGGTAAGTCTGGCATTTGCCAGTGCATCACAGCCTCGTGCTCTTCTATTATCTGACACCTTGACACTTCAAACAATTGCATTACCTACCTGACTCTTGAGGGATTCCAATTTATGCTCAAGTTCGGCTTTCATTCCAGAGCAAATCTCTGGCTTCATTTTCCATCCAGTCCAGCTGTGTTGCAGGTCTTGTTCAGTTCTTGTGTGATCCCAGCATCTTTACCATGACACTTGTTTTCCCCAAGCTATTTTGAGTGAAATTCTCTTCAGTGCAACATCAGCCGTCCTCAGTAGAGCGTCAGATCTTCTTACATTAAGTTCACAGCTCATTTTGCAACACAATAGGCCAACTCAGCTGCTGAGCTATTTACTTGAAGATTCTCTTCTACTTTACCACTAATTACACGTGTATTAAATTTTAACCTGCCTGGCAGCCTTAACAGTCTGAAAACTAATATTGACTAGTTGTAGATTAGAAGACAGGAAGGAAGGAAATAAATAAATAAACAAATAGGGGAGGGAGGGAAAACAGGAAACAGGAAATAATAGGATCATGACTCATAGCATTGAGATCTTCTGTTCCATCTAATGAGGCCATGGTGTATTAAAAACTTCAAGGAACTGGGCATGGTGACTCACGCTAGTAATCCGAGCACTTTGGGAGGCCAATGTGGGAGGATCACTTGAGCTCAAGAGTACAAGACCAGCCTGAGCAACATAGCAAGACCTCATATCTACTAAAAAAATACAATAAATAAAAATAAATAGCTAAGCCTGTAGTTCCAGCTATTTTGAAAGCTGAGGCAGAAGGATCGCTTGAGGCCAGGAGATCAAGGTTGCAGTAAACTTTATGATTGCACTACTGTACTCCAACCTGGGAGAAAGAGTAAGACCCAGTCTCAAAAATGAATAAATAAATAAATAAATAAATAAATAAATAAATAAAACCTCAAGGAGTTAGGCTTCTCCATTTTGTTTATTCTTGTAGTTTTTTTTTTAATAGATGACAATATTTTGTCGGATTTGTTTTTTTCTATTCAAATGTTCTCCAAGCATATTCATCATAAACTGGAAACCTTGGACACTCAGGTGTTCTCACACTTCCAGGTTTTTCTTAGAGAAACTGCCTTAAAAATTCAGAACCTTCAGAAAGACATCCATACAAAGGGGAAAGGTGAGCTTATGTCCTTTTAGTTTCTTCAGATCAGGGAAAAGGCATTTCAGCCAAGGTTAGTGGCACAAATTCTGTGACTCAACATCACTAAACATAAGAGAAATGAAAATTAAAACCACAACAAGATACTATCTTATACCAATCAGAATAACTGTTATTAAAAAGTCAGAAATTAACAGATTTTGGTGAGGATGTGAAGAAAAGGGAATGTTTATATGTTGTTCAAGGGAATGTAGATTAGTACAACCTCCACGGAAAACAGTACAGACATTTCTCAAATAACTGAAAATAGAACTATCACTCAATCCTGTAATCTCACTACTGTCTACCCAAATGAAAATAAATTATTATATCAAAAAGACACTTGCACTAGTATGTTTATCACAGCACTATTCATGATATGAAAGATGTGGAATCAACCCTATGTGTCCACCGAGGTATGACTGAACAAAGAAAATTTGGTATAAATACATAATGGAATACTCCTCAACCATAAAAAGGATGAAATCATGTTTTTTTTCTTTTTATAATGAAACTGAAGGCCATTATCTTAAGTGAAACAACTCAGAAACAGAAAGTCAAATACTGCATGTTCTCACTTATAAGTGGGAGCTAAACAAGGTATATGCATGGACATAGTGTGTAATCATAGGCATTGCAAACTCGGACGGGTGGGAAGGCTAGAGGGGGTGGTTGACGAGAAATTATTTAATGGGTACAATGTACATTATTCAGGGGATGGATACACTAAAAGCTCAGACTTCACCACTTCACAATATATCTATTTTGATACATATTTTGCTACATAGATATATTGTGAAGTGGTGAAGTCTGAGCTTTTAGTATGCACTTGTATCCCTTAAATGTACACACACACACACACACACACACACGCACACACACACACAAAGTGTGTGCCTGTAGTGTTCTGGGAATAAAGAATAGGCAGAAAAAGAATGTCTGAAGTAGCAAAGAAACATCAGATGACAGATGTTGGAGGTTGCTTCAAGTGTGCTTTGACATTTTACAAGTTTTATCTGGTCCTCAGTGGCAACTGTGTAAAGATGGTATTATTTCCTTTTTGTACATGAGAAAATTAAGATTAACTTTGTGTATTTCAGAAGACCCTGAGCCAGACTTCATGACTGTAAGTCTAGTGGTGTTTCCACTATGTCCGACCTGCTTTTCAGTATGTCAGGGCTGTACAGAAGATAAGACAGATACAGCTGGTTGGCGTCGCTGCTTCTCCTTCATTGGATTTTGTTGTGGATGGTGTGGTATTCATTCAGCCTGGACCGCTGCCTCATTTACTATCAATTTGCTTTTTGTCTTCTCAGCATACTTTTTTTGCGTCACTAACCACTGGATTTAATGATTTTCAGAAAAGAAGATATAAATAATATCCAGAAAACTGTTTAAGAAACTTTAAAGAACTTACAGTTGCTAATAGAAGAAAGGAATGATCTGAATTTAAAATGCCAATTATTGACAAATTGACTTAGAGGTGAGACAAACCAAAGACAGTGAACCAAAACATCTGCCTGTTAGAATGTCATCAAAAGCACTCTACTACAGCTCTCTAGAAATATTTTGCCAACAGTCGCCCATAGCATCAACTGCATGGCTGTCACACATGGATGGTAATATGTTTGATGGAAAGAAGCCAGCAGATACAGTGAGAGGGTGTGATGTTTCTTTAATGGCAAGGGATGTTGAAACTTCGTAATATAATTACAGGAGTCAGGAGACGATGCAGCGTGCTCTCAGACAGTCGGCTACCAAGATTTCTCGATGTTCTCTATGGAAAGCTAAAAATGATACCACCCACATGAAGCAAGAATTTTTTCGGGGAAAATCACTTTTGTCATTCTTGAAGCAACTCTGTTGTACTCCTGATTGTTCTAAGGACTCAGTTGCCATGGAGGATTTGCATATAACTCACGCTGAACAACCTCAACAAATCATAGGTGTTTTACACATTGAGCAATATTAGGAAAATTAGAGGTCAGTTCCTGGGGCTCCTTTCTCAACTTCCCCAGCCAATGGCTCCATCGGAGGGTCACTTTGAAAGCAACAAGGTAGAATCTTTTAAGGTGGCTATCTACCTAGGAATAAATCAATTTACACTGCAATTTACTGCTGTAATTGTGCATTCGGAGGTTTGACAGTTTGATAGTCTCTAAGGGTTTTGTCAAGTAAGAAGAAAAAAGCTAAAGAAATGGAAAATTACTATTGTGTGGACAGGACAATTTGCCCCATGAATCTCCTTTGCTGCTATTAAAATACGTTAGAAAAAAGGAAATGTTTTAGTTTGGCTTCATGGCAAATGCTATGATAACTAGAATCTGAAATAAAAGGTTGATTATTGTTGATAATCAGTAGCACTGGGTTTTGTGCATAGGACTCAGAAGGTTGGACTGAACCCTGTACTGCTGATCAGAGGTATTGCTGGGAAGCAGTCTTTCTGACTGAGACCAGTGAACCCTGTGATTTACAGAGAGGTGGTGTCATTCTGTACTCTTCCAATAGTACAACAGTGCTCCATTCTAGACTTTTGTCTCTCAGCACCACATTACTAGCTGTGGATCTGCAGGACTTGGAAAGGTGTGGGCTCAGAGGTGAAAAAATGATTATAAATTTAACTTGGTTAGAGTGAGGAGGCTGGATCCAGTGACTTCTCAGGGTTTTTCCAGCTTTAAGATCTAAATTTCTCTGAACGTTGATTTTAGTAAATTTGGGGCAGAACTTAAATTCATCTTTGGTTTAAAAATGTCATTTTGTAATAATATATGTAAGCTATCACTATTATAGTATTCTCCCACCCCCACAACACACGCCACAGATTTATTTGAAGGAATTAGTTTGCATGATTTTGGGGGCTGGCACGTCCAAATTGTGTATGGCAGGCCAGAAGGCTACAAAGTCAGGCAGAAGTTAATGATGTAGGCTTGATGCAGAATTTCTTCTTCTCTAGGAAATCCATTTTTACTCTTAAGTCCTTTCAACTGGTTGGATGAAGGACACCTACAGCATAGATGATGTCTTACTTCATTTTGTACTACTGTAAATAATATCACAGACTGGGTAATTTATAAAGAAAAGAAATGTATTTTTCACAGTTCTAGAGACTCTGAAGTCCAAGATCAAGGAATCAGCATCTGATGTGGGCCATCTTATTGTGTCCACATATAAAAGGGTGAAAGAGGATGGAACTCTGTGTCCTCATGTGGAAGAAGACTAGAAGAGAGCAACCTCACTCCTACAAGCCCTTTCAACAGTGACACTACTCCATTCATCAGCTAAACACTTCCCATTATGCCTCACCTCCCAACACTATTGCATTAGGGAGTAAGCTTCAAACACGTGAATTTGGGGGACACATTCAGACCATAGCATTTTGCTCCTGGCCCCAAACATTCATGTCCTTCTCACATGCAAAATACATTTCTTTCATCCTAATGGACTCAAAAGTCTTAATTTGTTCCAGGATCAACTTTAAATTCTAAATCCAAAGTATCATCTAAACATAGTATGGGCAAGACTGAAGTTGTGATTCATCCAGAGGCAAACCGCTCTTTAGCTATGAGCCTATGAAATCAAACAACTTACGCATTTTCAAATTACCTTAGTGGGACAGGCCCAGGATAAACATTTCTGGTTGGAAAGGGAACAATAAGAAAAAAGGAAGGAGTAACAGGTCTGATATAATCTGGCTCAGTGTCCCCACCCAAATCTAATCTCGAATTGTAATCTCCATGTGTTAAGGGAGGTACCTGGTGGGAGGTGACTGAATTATGGGGGTGGTTTTCCACACCTCGTTCTTATGATAGTGAGTGAGTTCTCATGAGATCTGATGATTTAAAAGTGTGGGACTTCCTATTTGCTCTGTCTCTCTTCTGTCTTGTGAAAAAGGTGCCTGCCTCCCCTTCACCTTCTGCCATGATTGTAAGTTTCCTGAGGCCTCCCAGCCATGCAGAACTGGGAGCCAATTAAACCTGTTTTCTTTATGAATTACCCAGTCTCAGATAGTTCTTTATAGCAGTGTAAAAATGAACTAATACAAGGTCCTAAGCAAGTCTCAAACCTAGCAGGACAGACAACATTGAATCTCAAGACTGAAGAATAATTTTCTTTGAACTCCATGTCTTGCTTTCCAGACAAATGGGGTGTGGATTGGGCCTCCAAAGCCTTGGGTAGTCACTCCGCCACAGCTTTGCTGGGGAAAGCACACACTTCAGCTCTCACTCACTGAAATCATACTCCTGTGGCTTTCCTAGGCTCGTCCTGAATGCTGGTGTCTCTATAATTCTGGAATCTTCGGGGCACCACCTCTCCCAGGGTTCCACTATGCATTGTCTTAGTGGGAATGCTCTATAGCAGCCCTGACCCCACAGTTCTACCTTACATTGTCCTAGAAGGGCTCTCTGCGCCTTATTTAAATTCTGTGTGAAAGCAGGCATGCCTCTACAGCTCTTGCACTTTGCAGAATTAGCACCACATGGATGCTATCAATGCTCACTGCTAGTGCCTTTTGAAGTGGTGGCCTGAGCCAAAATTTGGCCTGCTTGAGCCAGAGCTGGGGTAGAGGAGTGCTGTACCAGAATGCAGGGAGTAAAGACCCAAGGTGACCACAGGCATCCTGGGCTCCTTCTTTTAAATTGCTCTGCCTTCAAAACCTTAGCGCTCTGGGCCTGTGATTATAGGGGCAGCCTTCAAAATCTCTGAAATGCCTTCAGAGTCATTCTTCCATTGCCTTGATGAATAGACTCTGGCTTTCTTCTGTTGATACTCATATCCTCATCAAATGGTCTCTTGACAACATCTTTGGTTTGCTCTCCTAAATAAGCTTTTTAAAATTTCTTTCAATAGTCAAGCTGAGAATTTTCCAAATCTTAACATTCTGCTTCCATTTTCAATAAAAAATATGCTTTTAAATTGTTTCTGTCTTTTCACATTTTACTGTAAATAGTTAAGAGAGGCCCCACAGCAGCACACTGAATGCTTTGCTGTTTAGAGATTTCTTCTGCAAAATATCCCAGTTCATCACTCTTAAGTTCTGGCTTCGGTAGAGTCCTAGGATATGACCACAATTCATCAAAGTTCTTTGCTACTTTGTAACAAGGATGACATTACCTCTATTTTCCAACGCCTCACTACTCATCTCTGTCTAAGACCTCATCAGAATGGCCTTCACTGTCCATATTTCTACAAACACTTTGTTCACAGAAATTGAGGCTTTTTTCCAGTCTTCACTACCAAACTGCTTCAGTCTTTACTCATTGCCTAGTTTCAAAGCTGCTTTCACATTTTTAGGTATTTGTTATAGTAACATCCCACTCATGGTACCAATTTCTGTCCTGGTCTGTTTTATGCTGCTTTAATAAAATACCACAGACTTGGTAATTTATAAAGAACATGAATTTATTTCTTACAGTCCTGAAAGTTGTAAAGTCCAAGATCAAGTCACCAACATCTGATGATGACTTTCTTGTTGCATCCTCACAAGGCAGAAGGTCGAAAGGCAAGAAAGGGACAGATTCTGTTCTCACATGGCAGAAAAGCAAAAGAGATTGAACCCACTCCCACCAGCACTTTTTGTAGCATTATTAATTTGTTCCTGAGGGCAGTCTTCATGACCTAAGCACTTTCCATTAGTCCTTATGTCTCAGCACCATTGCATTAAAGATTAAGCTGACAACACATGCATTTTGGAGAACATGTTCAGACCATAGCAGACGGTAATCTGCTTTACTTAGTTTCTACTGATTTAATTGTTCACCACATCTCAAAAATACTTTCCCAGCAACATCAGGACTAGTGTTTGGCCAAACAACTGGGCACAATAACCCAGCCAAGTTGATACATAAAAGTAACCATTGTAGGGTGAAAACAAACGAACAAAAAAACTTGGAAATTAATTCACTTTTAAAATAAGTAAATCCTTACCATGGTGGTAACAGATTTTCATATACTTCACTAATTTATATTGTCCAGTTATGGTCTCTTGTCTTTGTGCTAGTGAGAAAAAGCAGTTTTAAATCTTTGATCACATGTGATATGCTTTTGTAAAATCACTAATGTGGCTATTTTGAAATCTGGGAAAAACTCTGAGGCAATCTCTGCTGAGGAGTTTATTGTAAAAGAGCCTCTCCCTCCAACTTTGTTTTTTCCATTCACAGTGGACAGTGTGCTCTTGAACTTAGGTTTAGGGTTAAAATCTAGTTATTATAATGCCTAGAGGTTATCTCTTATCCTTGAGCTTAACTCTTAGAACACAGAGAGCTCAGAGGATGGGCCTAAGACAGCTCTAGGCAAGATTTTGCATGAGTTTTCCAATTATTGTCTTGCTTCATTTAATGGTAAGTCAGAAACTAGGAGGCAGATTGTAGTTGAAACAGCAATAATTTGTGGTATAAAACCTGCAATGCCTCTTTCCTTTTTTTCCTTTCTTTCTTCTTTACAAAATCTTTTTATAGGCAATTCTGAACTCAGAATTTCCCATTCTATTCAGTGTTAAATTTGCAGCTGTGAAGGAGAGACTTTCTTCCCTCAGGGAACACATTTTGGATTACTATTATCTACATTTCCCTTTTTGAGAATTGGTTTTTCTCCCTAGAAATGGGAATAACAATTACCACCTGGTAGCGTTGCTAGTTGTTATAAGGATAAGAAGGTCGATGTCTATAGTATGAAATAAATGTTTTGAAAGGAAAGGAAAAAGGAAGGAAGAAAGGAAAGAATGAGGGAGAGAGGGAAGAAGGAATAATGGAAGGAAGAAGCAGGAGGAAGAGAGGGAGGAAGGAAGGGAAAGAGAAGGAGAATAAAAAGGAGAAGTAAAGGAAGAAAAAAGGAAGATAAAGAAAACCTTGCAGAGACCATCTGAAGGTTAGCTCAAGTTCTTTGGTGCCTCCCTGCATCATGTCTGGATAAGGAGTATGGGCCCTCTGCAAATGGCAAGACTTTGACTTCAAGACAACCCTTTCTTCAGAAAGTTGAGACTCTCAGGAGTGTAGATCTCCTAGTCAAAACAAATAAATAATTTCAAGTCACTAGACCTTCAGTGACCTTCAGTACTGTTTAGTGTTATGCATTTCTAAGGACTTTATTTTCAGAAACTGGGGTGGGGTGCAGTGTCTTACACCTGTAACCCCAGCACTTTGGGAGGCCGAGGAGGGCAGATCACCTGAGGTCAGGAGTTCAAGACCAGCCTGGCCAACATGGTGAAACCTTGACTCAAGTAAAAATACAGAAATTAGCCAGGCATGGTGGTGGGTCCCTGTAATCCCAGCTACTTGGGAGGCTAAGGCAGGAGAATAGTTTGAACCCGGGAGGTAGAGGTTGCAGTGAGCCAAGATGATGCCACTGTACGCCAGCCTGGACAACAGAGTGAGATTCAGTCTCAAAAAAAAAAAAAAAAAAAAAAAGAGAAAGAAATTGAGAAATTGGGTGAGATCTCAAATTAATGCCTACTAATGATGTAATCAAAAGAGTAAATATTCATCCACTAATATTCTTGGGTGATTGGACCCCAAGGAGCATGTCCATATTTCAAAATGTGTTTCTCAACCCAATTCTGTGAATGATAGATTCTTTCAACTAGAGGCAGGGCAGGAGAGTAGTGGAGCTTTGTGCTGGATGAGATTTGGGACAAATTCAAATGCTTTGCATGTGGAAGAGTGTGGCAGTAGTGAGAATTCCAGGGATTCTCCAATCCTAGGGAGCTTCATGGATCAAGGGTCCAACTGTAAATCTATCCCTGCATTTATGTGGAGGCCACACTTGCCATGACTACTCTCAGGCAATGACTGAGCTCAGGAAAAATGCTCCAAGGCAGGGCTCTAGACTTGGAGAATCATGAGAGACACAAGCCCTGCTTTGGCTGACATTGGCAAGAGGCCTCCCACAGCCTTGCAGAATTTTCCTAAAATCCTCAGTAGACCAGGCTGCTCCCATCCAACCCCCCCTTTTTCTTTCTTTCTCTCCAGGTCAGAGTTGCATCACGGTCTGTGACTCTCCCAGCTTCTTCCAGGTCCCCCTCCAATTTATTTTATTTTATTTATTTTTTGCACAGGTGTTTCGCCTAATAAAATTCTCACTTACCTATTTCTGTTTTAACATCTGCCTCTCAGAGAACTGTTTTGGGTGACTAGCTACTGCAGTTTGCCTTGGACTTTCCTGGTTTTAGCACCAAAATTTCCACATCTTGGAAAATCTAAGTCTCATGCAAATCAGGACAACTGACTACCTTCAGATCATGTCTCATCGAGGGGAGAGGACACTGTAGGATTCCTTGGAGCATGTGCAACTGGGAGAAGCAAGACACTCCATAACTCTGCTGCAGAAGTAGAAGAGGCTTAGAGAAATAGAAAAGGGAAATTTTAGGCTTTTTTTTTGGGGGGGAAAGATTTTTCAATCTATAACTCTCCTGCTATCACCCCTATAGTATCTTCTAAAAAGTCCACATTGCTGGTTAAATTTAATATGTTGATTTTTTTTTAAGAAAAATTGAAGAAGCTAAGTTCTATACTTAGGTTGGTACAGCATGAAAACAAACTGATGTCTCTAATGTATGCAACTGAAGATGGCAGGACAAGAGACACCTGGGTTACAGGTGAATTTCAGATCTAGGGAGCCACCCAGAGGTGCTTATCAGGTGGGTGGCCCATATACCAAAGATGAATCCTTCAGTCTTTGGGATCTTTCTTCCTGCTATGAACATTCATGAAGTACCTTCTGTGTGCCAAGCATGGAGCTGTGGGATAAAAAGACAAGGTCCTGGCTCTTTAGGTGCTTAGCAGTTCAATAGCATCAGATACAATACTGTGGTTGTTCTAATGAAGGTTTATATGAGCACTGTAGTTAAAAAGGGACTTTTAGAATATTATTATTATTGTTATTATTAGTAGTGTTAGTATTATCTTTCAGCCCGGAAAAATTCATGAGGTCTTAAGAAACTTGAGCTGAGGCTTGAAAGGAGAATAGAAGTTTGTTACTAATCAAGTAGATAAATAAACATTTCCAGGTGGCAGAAAGATATATATAGTGGCCCAAAATCATGATCATGTCTGGCTTATTAAATAAACCACTAATTGCTACATATATTTGATCCATAAAGAATGAAAGGGAAAGGATAGGAAGTCAGGCTAGAGAGATCTGTGAGATCTATTCTTTAAAGACTTTGGATGCTGCTGTGGTCAGAATGTTTGTGTTCCTCGAAAATTCATATGTTGAACTCCCAACTCCCAATGTGACAGTATTTGGAGGTGAGACTTCTGGGAGATTATGAGGTCATGAGGGCTGCAACCCTCATGAATGGAATTAGTGCCCCTTATGAGACAGACTCCAGAGAGGTTTTTTGTCCTTCTTCTACTAAATGAGGACACAGCCAGAAGGGTCTGCAACTGAGAAGAGGAACCTCTTATGCTGTCTCAGTCCATTGGGCTGCTATAACAAAACACCACAGACTGAGAGGCTTGAAAGCAACAGAAATTTATTCTTCACATTTCTGGAGGCTGTGAAGTTCAAGGCAGATTCAGTGTCTCTCGAAGGCCTGCTTTCTGGTTTATAGATGGTGCTTCTCCCTGTGTCCTTACAAGGTGAAAGGGGCAAGGCAGCTCCCTTGAGCTTTTATAAGGGCATTAATCCCATACATGAAGGCTCCATCCTCATGACCTCCTCACCTCTCAAAGCTCCCACCTCTTAAAACCATCACTTTAGGGGTAGGATTTAAATATGTGAATTTTGGCGGACCACAAACGTTCAAACCACAGCAGATACCACTTAGTATCCTGTAGGAGACTGAGTACAAGTGAAGGCTATGGAAAAAGGGAGTGGTAATATTAGAAACACCTTTGTATAGAACAGTTGAGAACTGGGCAAGGCCAGAGACATGGCCATAGAGAAGTAATGGAAACAGTGTAGGTAGATTGGAAAGGTGGATTCACAGAAGACATATGGGGGAGAAAAGGAAGAGCATCTATTGCTTTTTGTAGGGAGAAATCATGAAAATTCAAAAGGTTGCTATTCATTTTATAAAACATGTATAATAAGCACACAATAGTATATCTCTATTGATATATTTATTGCTGATTATTTTAAACCAATGCTCATTTTCTGCTGTTGTTTTTTTTCAATGGATAAAGACCAGTTGCCAACTAAATTTTATGTGGCTTAGGAGAAATTTAAAAATAAAGCCCTCATTTTTTTGTCTGTTTACTTAAATTGAGTCTTAGTCTATCCATCACTCAAGAATGTACAAGCACTTTCTAGGAAACATGTATTAATGTATATTCTGATTTCAGTAAAATTGCAAAAATCCTCTTAGTAATACGCATCATGCAACTAACTACTGCACCCCAAAACCGCACAGCTGGTGGAACATGCACACTGCTAAGCAGGCCCAGTCTTGCTGCGTTTTCCACCAGGCAAGCTAAGCAACGGATTCTTTTCTTGCTGCTTCAGCAGAGCAGGAAGCAGACTTCCCAATTTAAAAAAAAATCATGGTATCTTTATATTATTAGAAATGCATGCAATCTTCCCATCAGTATATTTAGGATTCCAATTAAGAGGCTCTCTTGAAATTTTAGGTTCCCATATGAATGCTAACACCTTACAAGATGTACCCTACCTGTATTTCTTTGGTTTCATTAGCTCTTCCCAAAGTTGAAAAGTTATTATTTCCCCCTTTTGATAAAGTTTCAAAACTGAGGCCCAGAAACAAACAAAAAGATTTGTTCCAGGTCACAGAGAGATAGAACAGCAGACCCCAAATCAAATTAAACTGAAACCTAAGCTTTTTTCTACTTACTATAAACTTTTCCCAGGACCAGTTTTTCCAGTTCTCTAGAGTTTGCTAAAATGAGGAAGTTAAATGATTAATGAGGAATGTCTATGCATTCAATCAACAAGTGTTCGGTTGTTTCTGGAAAGTCAGAAAATAAGAATTTTCCAAAGTGAAATTGAACAAAGAAACCATTTAACATTTCCTTCTGAACATAAAGGAAAGATGCATTAAAAGTCCCTGTATAACTATATGATTAATTTGGGGCAATGGAATGTTAGCCACTTCCAGCCACATTGTTTTATCCTCTATTCTCTCTTCACCCTGTTTTTCAGTTCAGATTATGGGTCAGTGGAGCCATAAATGAAAGGCATTTCATCCTTGAATCATCATATGGAAACTGCCCGACTAACCTTTAATTGCACTGATGTGAGTGAGCAGTAAGTCCTTATTTTAATAGTCCAATAAATATTTTGGAATTATTTGTTACAGCATCTGAGCATTACATACCCTGGCTATACAGATTATATCTTTCAGCCACATTCTAGTTCTTGCTATCATAATCTATCATTTGAAATACTGAAATACCCCAAGACTGATCTTTTAATTTATACTCTCTTGATCTCTTCCAATCTTTCTTTAATTTTTCCAGACATATTTTTAAGACAAAAGTTAGATCATTTGATATTATTGCTTAAAAACTTTTAACTGCCTTTCCAAAGTTCTCAGGGTAAACCTTCTATGTAGGATCTGGTTCCCACCATTTTCATGCTCCTTATTCTTTGCCTTTCTCTCTCTCTATTTATTTCACAATTTTAATCTATTTTTTGTTCTATCACACTGTGACTTCTCCCACCCAGTGGTACTCTGGTAAGTGTTTTTTTGTGTGTGTGTGTGGTTTTTTTTTAGACGGAGTCTTGCCTTCGCCCAGACTGGAGTGCAGTGGTGAGAACTTGACTCACTGCAAGCTCTGCCTCCTGGGTTCATGCCATTCTCCTGCCTCAGCCTCCTGAGTAGCTGGGACTACAGGCACCCGCCACCACGCCCAGCTAATTTTTGTATTTTTAGTAGAGACGGGGTTTCACCGTGTTAGCCAGGATGGTCTCGATCTCCTGACCTCGTGATCCGCCCGCCTCAGCCTCCCAAAGTGCTGGGATTACAGGAGTGAGCCACCGCACCCAGCCTCTGGCAAGTGTTTAATGATTAAGTCTCTAGGAACAAAAAGTATATTATACATATGTGTGTATAAATTTGTTTTAAAATTTATAATTTTCAAATAATAAACTATGTAATACCTTTTTGTAAATCCCATTTTGCCAATTAATTCTCCCAGGATGATTTCATTGATTTTTGCCAAACATATGTATTCATAACCAGTCTTATCACCAGCTTACTGTTGTAATGAAAGTGAGATTTGACAAAATTAGACCATGAATAAATAAACATCTGATTACTATCTGATTCTGCAAAGGAGTTTCTCACAGCATTGACAAATAAATAAAGTTCCAATGTAATGTTGATGGTATTTTTATTTAGCAAACAAATAAGACAAAAGTAAAATAACAAAGATGTGTACTGGAACTTCACTAATCTGTCAAGGATATCAGTGACCTACTTGCTGAACCAGATAAGAGTTCTCAATTACTGAAGACTACTTGCTCCATTTTTTTGTATTACTCACAATGTAACAGCTATAGACATACACACTTTTAAGTATGGTCAGCATTATTAAGATTTTTTAATCATTTGCTTTAATTTAGACAATCAACAGAACTATAAATCAAGCCCTGCTTTGTAATATTTGCCTATTTTCATGATGCGAATATTCCCACCATGACTTATTTCAGACTGCCAATGTGACACCACTGAATGCTGAATTAAGAAGAGAAACATAGTAAGAAGCACATTGTATAGTATTTCCACCATACAAATACAATAGGCATACCTAATCTAAAAGCATAGATAATGGTAAAAGAAGTGGGAAGTGAGTCTTGATTATTTATTGCCTTTATTTTAACATAATTAATTTAACTGTAATGAAAGGTGTTATTATAATAAATGCATTACAAATGTGTTTAATTAGTTTTAACAATGGCTGTGTTTCAGGCCGAGCATGGTGGTTCATGCCTGTAATCTCAGCACTTTGCAAGGCCGAGGCAGGAGGATTGCCTGAGCCCAGGAATTCGAGACCAGCTTGGGCAACATGGCGAAACCCCATCTCCATTAAAAAAAAAAAAAACACAAAAAAATAGCTGGGCGTGGTGGTGTGGGCCTTTAATCCCAGCTACTTGGGAGGCTGAGGCACAAGAATTGCTTAAACCCGGGAAGTAGAGGTTGCAGTGAGCCAAGGTCATGCCATTGCACTCCAGCCTGGGTGACAGAGTGAGACACTGTCTTAAAAAAAAAAAAAAAAAGGCTGCGTTTAACAACAGGGCATGCAAAATTCCTTAAAATTTAACTATAGGCTCTCGTAAGCCAGTTGCAGTTGACATCAGCATAACACATCTCCTACCCAGGACTTTCCCATGTGCCTAGAATTTTTTTCTCACCTTTTTTGCTCTGAGACTTATCCTTCATATTTTACTTCAAAGTCCACTTCATCAGGGAAACCTTCCCTTATTCCTTGGGCTGTATCATTTGGCCAATCTTTTTCTGTATGACTATAACTGGGTTTTTACAGATGATTAAACAAATTTTGATTTGATACACTTTAGCATTTATAAAGAACTTTCACATGTATTTTCACATTTTTCAGTTCTATGTGTTAGATAGACTACATATATGTATATGTATATATATAATATCTCTTTAGATGAGAAACTGAAGTTCTGAAAATATATTAATTTTATTGAAGTTCTCTGCACAGATGGGAATGAGAAAGATGCTACCTGAATTGAGAGTTTTCAGGTTTCAAACACAGTGCTATTTAATTTTAACTTTAACACATAGACTTAAGACTATGGTACCTTTGAGAGCTCATTCTATGACTAAGAAAAAACATTGTTTTGAAACATGTATTATGATTTAAAAACTAACAACTATTATTAAGTCAACAATTTGTGAAAAATACACAAAAATGGCAATTTGCCGTAAACTTCTATTTTCTTAATAAAAGAAATCACGGTAAGTATATAAAACAAGAGAGGGAATTACCTGTGTGTGGGATTAGGGGCTGGGAAACCTTCCAGATTTTAGTCCGCTTAGGGCTTTCCTGCTGTCTCTGGATTTTACCTTCTCATGTCATCTTTTCTGAACAACTTGGGTGCATCCTTGGCATTTTGCCGTGAGTCGGCGAATTCCTTCTCTGTTCTCCAGTAGATATTGTTACAGGTAGATGGGCATGAGAGGGGCAGGAGATGACTCTCCCTTTTCCCATTAGATATGTCAGGTGATGGTTCGGCAATTAATGCACTGACTCTCTAAATGTGATAAATTGGCAGCCAGAGCCGGGGAGAGGCCATTTTCTGATGGTCCACACCTGTTAACATTACGTGTTAATTAAAGGCAGGCCCAGGGAGAAGCCACTCCCTGGCCATGCACATTAAGAGACAAAAATGGCGAAGTATGATCTTGTGGATATACTCCACGGGAAAACAAGAAGAAAGCCTCAGATAGGCATGCATACAACTCCCTAAACACGCTGCGCATGCTCATTTCTCAAGGGTAAGGAGAGCACGGCGCATGTGGAAAGACCACCCTAAGGGAGGAATCATGGGAAATAGGCGAGCCTATAAAGTCCCAGGATCAAGGTTAAAGGTTCTTCTTTTTTTTTTCTTTTGGACCTCGGTGCCTAGTTGGGTCTCTTCCAAGTGAACTTCCTTTTCCTTCCTATTCTAAAGCCTCTTAAATAAACTTCCACTCCTGCTCTGAAACTTGCCTAGGTTTCTTTTTCTGCTTTATGCCCCTCAAATTATTTCTTCTTAGGAGGCAAGAATGGAAGTTGCTGCAGGCTCATATGGATTTGCTGCCTGTAACTACAGCTAATTCAGATCTTTGCCACTGGTAGCAATATTGCAGGAAGTTTTTATGTATTTGCCTTTACTAATTATTGTAAGACCTAGCGGGCAGTGGCCTTCATGTTGGACACTGCATGGGTCCCCTGCTGGCCTGCAGCTAGGCTGCCCGTGGGATGGGCCCTTCCAGCGTGGTCTAATCCGTAGTGAAGTCTTTGAAAGAATAGTCTGATGCTGCTTCTTTGTCAAGGAGGCTGTGCTTCAGTGTCCAGGTTTTGGAGATAATGGATGCACATGAGCAGTGTCGGTTACAGTCTGTACCGTCACACTCAGAGCTGTGAGTTGGTGTAACAGCAATCTAAACTTTTTGCCCAGAAAAACTTGAATATAATTTTCATTTCTATTTTTTACCTGCTACAGAAACCTTGTACAAATGACTTACTTTTTTGCATTTTGGTTTTCCTAATGAAAAAAACAGGGAGGCATTCAAAATATCTGTCTTACAGAACTGTGATAATTAAATACAATGACATAGGCAAATCTCCTGACTCAGAATCTGACACATAGTAGGTTCACATAGTAGGTGTCATTTCCTTCCTATAGATGAAAATCTCATTGGAGGAAGACACTTTACTTAGCTAAAGAGGCTTTTATACCAGGCACTAAAAATAAATAAATAATAAATAAGCAAACCAACAAACTTAAGTCATTTAACAGAAAACACAATTTCTGTTTCATGAAGATGAGGTACATCATGGCTTTCTCCATGTGATACATGAAGGCAATATCTGACCATAACCACAGAGTACTTTAGGGGGATGGCAGAACAGGCTGGCTAAGAGTTTGGACTTTGGAGGCTACCTCCTTGGTTTGAGTTCTGGCTCTGTTATTTATTTGCTGCATGATTTTGCACAAGTTATTTGTGCAAAAATAAGGAGTTCAGTTTTCTCATCTGAAAATGGGGATATAAATAATGTTTATTTCATAGGGTTATTGGAAATATAAAATGTTAAAATAGATAAAACACTTAGAACAGTGCCTAGCAACATTGCAATCAGTATGTAATTGCTCCTCCATGCAGTGTTCAAATGAGTTCAAATTGTGATGTTTGCCAGCAATGGCATAATATCATCATCATCATCACTGCACATTTCTGGAGCATCCCTAGGTATATGGCACAAAATGAAGCCCTGTATTAGTCCATTGTCACGTTACTACAAAGAAGTGCCTGAGACTGGGTAATTTATAAAGGAAAGAGGTTTAATTGACTCACAGTTCCGCAGGACTGGAAAGGTGTCAGGAAACTTACAATCATGGCAGAAGGGGACGGAAACACATCCTTCTTCATATGGTGGCAGGAAGGAGAAGTATGATAGCAGAACGAAGGGGGAAGCCCTTTATGAAACCATCAGATCTTGTGCGAACTTACTCACTATCGTGAGAACAGGATGGGGAAAACTGCCCCCATGATTCAAGTATCTCTACCTGGTCCCTCCTACGACACATGGGGATTTTGGGAACTACAACTCAAGATGAGATTTGGGTGGGGACACAGCCAAACCATATCAAGTCCTTTGAAGAGTTTTCTTAAAGCTCCTAACAATGAGATTAATGTGGGCCATTCCAGGACTTTAGGAGGTCCCACAGAATTGAATGGTGGCAGTTCTTTGTGACACCTTGGACTCCATCTACAGGGTCCCTATATGCATGGATAACTGTTTGTGTCTCCTTGGATGAGTGCATCCCAGACAGACCAGCCAAACAGGATAGGAAGGCATGTTGGGAAGGAGATGGTATCACAGGCTCTAGTGGCCCTTAGGGACATATCCATGAAAGCTGCTCTTTTCTCCTGACTCCCAGGCCCCACATGAAATGATGGCAGTCACTTTAAGGGGACAGCAAGTCTGCTCAGCATTCAATAATACTATTTTGTGATTCATCCTCTCTTGGTTGGAGTAGCATGCCAACTCTGGGCAGTGACAGCAGGCATTAGGGCAATACCAGCCTTGTTTACAGAATACTTAAATCAGGAATAAAACGTCAGTCTTCTTTTCACTATCAACATATGCTGGCAATTCTAAACAACATCAGGGATAACATACACCTTTCTGAAAAATACTATTTGATTGGTCTAAGTTCTAAATAATTGCTCTGCTTATTGTTGAGTTTTATAACACATGTAAAATTTAAATTAGCACATTTTGTAACTTGTTTTTTTAATTCATATTTTATTTTAGATACAATGGGAACATGTGTGGATTGTTACTTTCCATGCATGCCCTGCTCCCTTGCTCCACCCTCTAATAGTCTGCAGTGTCTGTTGTTCCCATGTTTACATCCATGTGTGCTCAATGTTTAGCTACCACTTATAAGTGAGAACAGAGTGGTATTTGGTTTTCTATTCCTGCATTAATTCACTTAGGGTTGGCCTCCAGCTCCATGTTGCTGCAAAGGATAAGATTTCATTCTTATGTATGGCTGTTTAGTATTTCGTAGTATATATGTACTATATTTTCTTTACCTAATCCACCATTAATGTGCACCTAAGTTAAGTCCAGGTCTTTGCTATTGTGAATAATGAGGTGCTGAATATGAATGCATTTGTCTTTTTGATATAATGATCTATTTTCCTTTGGGTATAATACCCAGTAGTGGTATTGCTGGGTCGGATGGTAGCTCTGTTTTAAGTTATTTGGGAAATCTCCAAACTGCTTTTCACAGTGGCTGAACTAATTTACATTCCCACCAACAGTGTATAAGCATTCTCTTTTCTCCACAGCTTTGCCAGCACCTGTTGTTTTTTGACTTTTTAAGAATAGCCATCTGACCGATGTAAGATGCTGTCTCATTGTGGTTTTGATTTGCTTTGCTCTGATGATTCATGATGATGAATATTTTTTATATGTTTACTGGCCACTTAAATGTCATCTTTTGAGAAGTTGCTGTTCATGCCATTTGCCCATTTTTTAATAATGTTATTTGTCTTTTCCTTGTTGATTTATTTTGTTGATGTTGATGCTATTCCTTTCTGTTTGTTAGTTTTCCTTCGAATAGTCAAGCCCCTCTGCTGCAGGTCTGCTGGAGTTTGGTGGAAGTCCACTCCAGACTCTGTTTGCCTGGGTATCACCAGCAGAGGCTGCAGAACAGCAAATATTGCTGCCTGTTCCTTCCTCTGGAAGCTTCGTCTCAGGGGCACCCGCCAGATGCCAGCCAGAGCTCTCCTGTATGAGGTGTCTGTTGACCCCTGCTGGAAGGTGTCTCCCAGTCAGGAGGCACGGGGGTCAGGGACCCACTTAAGGAGGCAGTCTGCCCTTAGCAGAGCTTGACTGCTGTGCTGGGAGATCCACTGCTCTCTTCAGAGCTGGCAGGAAGGAATGTTTAAGTCTGCTGAAGCTGCACCCACAGCCGCCCCTTCCCCAAGGTGTTCTGTCCCAGGGAGATGGGCGTTTTATCTGTAAGCCCCTGACTGGGGCTGCTGGCTTTCTTTCAGAGATGTCCGTCCTGCCCAGAGAGGAGGAATCTAAAGACGAAGACTGGCTACAGCAGCTTTGCCAAGCTGTGGTGGGGTACGCCCAGTTTGAACTTCCCAGTGGCTTTGTTTACACTGTGAGGGGAAAACCGCATACTCAAGCCTTGGTAATGGGTAATGGTGGACACTTCTCCCCCAACCAAGCTCGAGCATCCCAAGTTGTCTTCAGACTGCTGTGCTGGCAGCAAGAATTTCAAGCCAGTGGATCTTAGCTTGCTGGGCTCCGTGGGGGTGGGATCTGCTGAGCTAGACCACTTGGCTCCCTGGCTTCAGCCCCCTTTCCAGGGGAGTGAACGGTTCTGTCTCACCAGCGTTCCAGGCACCACTGGGGTATGAAAAAAAACTTCTGCAGCTAGCTTGGTGTCTGCCCAAACAGCTGCCCAGTTTTGTGCTTGAAACCCAGGGCCCTGGTGGCGTAGGCACCCGAGGGAACCTCCTGGTCTGATCTGTGGGTTGTGAAGACCACGGGAAAAGTGTAGTATCTGGGCCAGAATGCACTATTCCTTATGGCACAGTCCCTCAGGACTTCCCTTGGCTAGGGGAGAGAGTTCCCCGACCCCTTGTGCTTCTGGGGTGAGGTGACACCCCACCCTGTTTTGGCTTGCCCTCTGTGGGCTGCACCCACTGTCTAACCAGTCCCAATGAGATGAGCCAGTTACCTCGACTGGAAACGCAGAAGTCACCAGTTTTCTGTGTTGATCTCGCTGGGAGCTGCAGACTGGAGCTGTTCCTATTCAGCCATCTTGCCAGCCACAGAACGTGTACTTTTAAATAGAAATAAACAAATCCGCCTTTTTGAGTTCCATTTTAATTTTGGAGTGCATATACTCTCCTAATTTACTGAAAAGACCCAAGACTCCTACACCCTTGTAGAAAGTACACACAGTGCCTCTGTGAGCTGAGCTTCCATTTTAATTATAACTATATCTGATTATACCATTAAAAGAATATGTACACACACACTAAAATTTTACATCTATGTGCCAAATATATGGAAACAAAGCTTATATTATTTTAATGTGTTTTAATAATTTCCCTTTATGTGTTAAAAATGTTTTAATGACATTCTTTCTCTGGCAAGGAATTCTGTATGTGTGTGTATGTGGTGTGTGTATGTGCCCGTAAGTGTGGTAGATGTGTGTATAGTTTGTGTGTATGTGTGTGGGGTTAGGGTGTATATCGGTACTCAGTTAAATGCATTTTATGTAGCCAAGATTTTGAAAGAAATGTATGGAACGTGTGATTTCAGAAGCTCACCCATCATAAAAGGGAGTGTGTGCACCATGGTGGGGTGAGGGAGGGAGAAGCTTCCGAGTGCAGTGGGGGAGGCAATGACTCAGACCATTCTCCTCTGCGGCAGGTGCAGCTGCGGACCCTCTGAAGAGAGCGCCGTAGGATCCCAATTACAAGAGTCAAGATCACGCATTTTCTCCTTCTAAATCTTCCAGTCTAAGTGCACCTATGTATGGAGAGGAGATGGACCCTTTTATATAGGAAAGTGATTGGTGGACTTTGTAAATGTGTGGAAATGCTAATCTTACCTCCAAGAAACCAGACTGCATCAATAATGGATCTTCAACAGTTACACAGAGATATTCCACTGCTATATTTTGTTTTATTTTAATATATTTTAGCTCCACAATTTTACAAAGACTGACTTTATTTGGAAGACTTTTGTTTAATATATTTTTTAAAATATCAAGAGTTCCCAGATTGGTTTCTTAAATATATCAATAAACTTAATTGTTTTAGGGACTAGTAAAAGAAAAAATAGATCAATATAAAAAAAGTACAGGAAATCATTACATATCACTTATGTTTTATTAATGAAAAATGCTTGCACAACACAAACCAAAGGCAACCCCTTTAATAATAAAAATAGCAATGTATGGAATCTAGTTCAGCAATGAAACCACATTTGTGGAATGTTTCATTTTGTCACAGATACTGGAAAGATTTAACAACTGAGAAGTGGGCTGTGTCAATTTCTACCTGGCCAGAGGGTTATTATGATTTGTAATTCAGGAACGACGGCCAGAGTATTTCACTTTTGTCTCCTACAATGCTGTTATTTGTTAAAAGTTGCTGAACCTTGCTCAGAATCGGCAGAGGGTTATCAAGAAAGCAGCGACCCCTTACCAGGAATTTCCAATAACTGGGAACACTTAACAGGGCAGCTCACCTTCCCTGCAGCGTCTCTCACATCCCGACACGCATATCAATGGCCGGGAAAAGGGCACTGGCGGGTTGGGAGGCCTGCTCTGCTGCCTGCATTGATCAGAGCAGGAGGATTACTGCACTACTGACTGCTAATCAATAGATATTGAGTGCAATCCCCTGCTGTAAATTCAGCCGGGTTAATAAGTGTCCACACAAAACAATGGGCTGAAATACAATCGCCTCATTCAAGGAGCCCAGAGATGTAGGACTGTTTGTTTCAGCAGCTGCCTGTGGGGCAGTGGGAGGGAAGAACTTGGACCTTTACCCGAAATCGGCCTGAAGCAGTCTGAGTTGGCTTAGTGTGCTGTGCTTTAGAGACAGCCTCGTTAGATGGTGTGTTTCTGTGACCCCCAAAGTCTTCATTGGCTACTCTTTCTGTCTGTCTCTCAGATAGAATACTGTTTATGATTTTGTGCCGGAGCCGTGTGGGTCCTGTGCTCCCTGGTATGGAATCCTAGAGTTTCAGACCCTTGCTTGAATATAAAGCATCATCTGCTTAAAAAGAAAAAGGGAAGAAAGGAAAAAAAAAGGAAAGGAAAGGAAGAAGAAAGGAAAGAAGGAAGGAAGGGAGGGAAAAGAAAGAAAGAGAGAGAGAAAAAAAGGAGAGAGAGAAGAAAAAGAAAGAGAGAAAGAAGAAAGAAAAGAAAGAAAGAAAAAGAAAGAAAGAAAGAAAGGGAGAAAAATAAGAAAGGAAGGGAGGAAAGTAAAGAAGACAGCCTATACGTTTTTGTTATGGAGGAAAATGGCAGCAGGCTTGGGCAAATACCATTGAATATTTAATCACACAACCTCTAGGAAAAACAGTGCTGGTGCAACCATACATTTTCTCTGGCAGGGATGAAATTGGAGCTGAAGAATTACAGAGGCGATTTGCATGTTTCTATATCCTTCTGTCTTGTGCTCAGAAAGCCTGTGGTTCCAATTACCAGTAATTCTGACATGGCATACTTAGCTCTGAGACAGAGGCATAGGAACAGCCTCTGTTTTGAATTTCAGTACAGGTAAGGAATACAAAGATTGAAGAGACTTGGAATTTATGTTGTCCATGGTAGGTCTGGATTTTCCTCATGCAGTCCTGATTTGAAGTACCGTATGCTGTGCCATGGAGCGCCGTTCATATTCTTATGCCTGTCTACAATGTATAATAATTTTAGTTTTGTGCATCCCCAACACAACAGCCTTTTCAGGCCCTTGTTGAAGGTAAGTTTCTAAGCATAGATTTTGCAGGTGTGCGGCTTTGAAATTTAAAAAAAAATAAGTCTTTAAAACAAATAATTATATGATAAGAAAGAGAAAGATATGTTCAAGATATTTAAACAGGCAGGATTAACTACCTGCCCTCTAATGCTCATTTTTCCAAAATGCAACATGAAAGATAACGACATCATTTATCAGCTATTAACATTTTCAAATAATAAGTTCAGGCATTTTTAACTTGTAGATTCTTGTTTGCATTTGAGTACTGAATATATCCACTCCTCATTCTGGTTTGGGTTGGCTAGGGTAACCAGAATAAAAAGAAAACACACTGCCCTTCCTTTGTTTATGAGTTCCCCTTCTCCTCTAATGGGTGGTACCGTGACCTTAAGGAGCACGTTTTCAGGTCTCTGTTTCTTCCCCGTTAAAGCCAGGAGTGTTCTGACCTTTTTCTGCTCTAGGTTTATGTGGATTAATTTCTCTCTTATTAATATTTTAACACAGGAATAAAAACAATCTGATTTTATATCAAATTTCAATCCTATGATTTACACTTTTACAATCAAATTATTTTGTTACATGAAAATAACAGACTTTAAGTAGCCTCATGTTTTAGGGGCTTTATAAACTTGCTCAGTGATGACCTCTATCCACGTCTTCTTCATTCTTTTAACTCTGGTGTCTGATTATGTTACCCTGGAGGCTAAGAAGTAAATGGAAGAACAGAGGCAAAGATGCTTTCACAAGTATGGTTTTGATCATTTCTATGCTCAATGTGAGGATAAGGCAATATTTTAAATTCCACATCCCCAAATCAGTATCTCACTTCATTATAGCAATGTTCTATTTGTGTGCAGGGTGTACTCTGGTGGATAAAACACTGAGAGGCCAGTAGAAAGGCTTTCTACTTTCTATTGCTCCTGCAAACGTCCTAAATGAGCAATTTAACTTCCTTCTGCCTGTCTCTTTTACACCAAAATGAAGGTAATAATGTACCCCTTTCTCTTGATTGGGATGTTTTGTGTTCTAAGATAAAAAGATCTTCAATTTTTAAAGTTAATAGTAACCATATATGTATATATTTTATCTAAAATTTGTGTTATGCTCTGGCAATAGAATAAGCTGTTGTAAATCAGGAATATTCTGGAAAATCTTGGTAGAAACACATCTCTAATCTACTGCAAAATGTGCCATGTAGTTTTCCCTTTCAAAGGAAAAATTATTCATTATACACAAGTCTGATGATTTTTTGAAGTTAGTATTCCCTACACGGTCATTATTGAATTTTTAAGTATGCATGAATTTAACAGATAGCTGGTAGTGCTTTATAGCTTTTGAATAAGGTTATAATTCTAGGGTTGTGATTTTGGGTCGTTTTCCTTTTATTTCTCCCAATAAAGGAGGCTTTCATGTCTATAGGGAGCTATCATCTTGACTAATCTACAATGCCAATTCTCTGCTTTTTACTCCAGCAAGAGGCACATGAAATGAGGTTCAGACTCAGTGAAATGGATTCTGAAGTGTAGAAATAGAAAATTGTAATTTTTTAAAAATCTATTTTTTAATTTCTTAGCTATTCTGGATGCATTGTTTCCCATTTATCTTCTGTTTTGTTATCTTTCAATTATAGACAGAGCTGAGGATTTGGAAGTGGAAACAAAGAGAATTTAGAGTATAAAAATAAATAAGGTAATGAGTGACTATGAATAAATCATTTAAGCTCTTAGAACTTCAGGTTATAGCTTATAAAACAGATGTAATATTATCTACTGCAAATAGGTTATTTTCTGAATTAACTGAAATTTTATAAATACTTTACCTCAGAGTGCTTGGTATATTGTATGTGCTCAAATTATCATCATCATCATCTACAGTATACAGAATGACAATGATCCTGACAATGATCCAAATCAAGAAGAAGATAGAAAAGGAAAGGCCAAACAATCTGAAGAGTAAAGCTAAGTGGCTTGAGGAGTCAAGTTTCATTTATTTTCTGTGGCCACCCAGGTCTGCTTATCTGCCTAGAACTACAGTGTCTGAGGAGCATTGATTTGGAATTCAGGGAAGAGAGGGCACATTTGAACATTCTTTTCCTGGGCTAACCATCAATCTACTGGCTGCTCTCTGATGCTAAGGGACAGCATTTTTGGGGGGAGGATTTTTTTTCTACTATTAAATGTCCTTTTATCCCAATCTTTGCTAATACAATCTAGAACTAATTCCTTGCATCTAATTCCTTATTCCACAACCCACACTTGATCTAGTCCCCTTTGCCAAAGGAGTTTAAATAAGATATATTTAGCTAACATATTTGGCATGACTCTCATTAAAGAAATTAGATCAATCTGTGATAAGTGTCTCTTCCAGTCCAAACTTGAGGTCCAACAACACAAGGTGAGCTCCGTTCTGTCTGCCACTCATTCTGACTTTTGGGGCAGGATTTAGCAGAATGTGTAAATCCGCAGGCAGACACTTTAGAAAGGGGATTTGTGTAATCTGCCAGTCCTCAAACTCTGCCTTGTTTCATGCAAGAAATGGTGGGAGATAAGTCCTTGAAGATTAGTCAGGTCTGAGGTACTCCTAGATCAACAGTAAAAGAACTTCTGAGTAAGAGAGAAGTGGTGTTAACACTCCCAAGCTGACTGCTTCTCTTCATTTCCATAAACCAGAGACATTAAGAGAGGAATCAAGAACAACTCTTTGAAATAAAAATGTAGTAATTCAGTAGGAGAAATGGAAGACAAATTTTAGGAAATTTCCCAGAAAATTGAACAAAAGACCAAGAGTTAGAGAATATAAAAGTTAATAAAATTAAAGCCTCAGCCTATAAGATGTACCATCCAAATACTAGGGTTCACAGACAAATCAAAGAAAAAGAAGAGAAGATCTTCAGCGCAATACTTTAAGACCATCTCTCAGAAACAAGGGTGTAAGTTTTGAAATTGAAAGGTCTCACCCAATGTCTAGCACAATGAAAGGAAAAAGGTTGTACAGAGTTATAATATCATGACATACCAGACACTAGAGACGGTGTCTGTGATTCTAAAGGCTACCTGAGAGAAAAACAAGATGTAACTTAAAGAGCCTTTGGATAAAGAATGTCGCTAGACTTTCCAACAGCAACACTAGCAGCTAGAAAAGAAAGGAATCATGCCTTGACAATTCCCAGAAAAATGTATTTCCATTTATATTTGACACTCAGAGAAATAATCAATCAAATATGAGGACAGAATAAAGACATTTTAGTCATTCAAGGTATGAACAATTACTACTACCACATAAGCTAAGCAAGTATACTGAGAAAGGATAACATGAGTTCCAAAGACTTTGGTGATCCATGTGATGTCAAGGTGAAGATGAGATCTGGGATAATGGTGAAGGGAAATCCCAGACCACTCCTGTAAGAGGATCTGAGTAGGAGCCAAGTTCAGATGAGAGTAGGAGGAATAAAAGGGAGCATCAAAATCATTTGAGTGCATCGAGAAATGTTTTATATTTCATAGAGGGATTTGGAAAAGAGTTAGTGAGAGATAGAAAGCAAGCCAGTTGAAAGATGAGAGTTAAGTTCCATGGCAAACAAAAGTTTACAAGGAAGGAACTGTAATTCTACCTACACCACTCAGGAAGCATTCATTAGAGAATAATCTTGCTCAGAATCTTGGTCTATCCAAATTCAGGAAGAGACAACACTGGGACAGTGCACATATTTCATTTTCCTTGATAATTCCTTCCCAACAATGGAGTTGGCATACCCATTCTTCAATTTTGTCTATAGGCAAAGTAAATTAAAGGTTTTCTATGATTGAGTACAGTCTTAAAATCCAGTTAAATAGTTGTGAATAAAACATTGTGAAGACAGGATCACTGGCAATAGTTTTTGATTTTCAGGGTTTGTTGTTTTATCAATTAAGTTTATTTTCCTCTTTAGAGCTTGAAGTGGATGAGTTGTTTGCAGGGAAGGCAGAAGGAAGAAGGGGTGGTGAAGGAAGACTGAAGTTCCAGGCCTTATGAAGGGTTGGAGGCCTGGCCCTATTAATTGTATTTAATACAAAGAAACCTGAGAGGGGAAAAAACAAAAAAAAAAAACAGAAGACTAACTCTGGTGGGGGGTTCACCTTTATATCATTTTTAGTTGTTGTAAAAAAATACCCACAACAAATCGTTAAAGGAGGGAGAGACCATTCCTCCCACTTTTTGCTGTAATTTTTCATTGAAGAAAATTAATAAATTACAGAAAAACAAATACAATGAAGTCACCATTGTTACCATATTGGCATGCTTTTTGCCTGTATTTTGCAAATGTACTTCTTAAATACTGGGCATGGTTTATACCTAAAATTTTACATTATACTTTGTTTTGCTAAAACTTATGAAATGTTCCCATGTCATCTAAAATTCCTTTTATAGTGTATTTTAATGCTGCATAATATTCCATTGTACAGCACTTCATAATTTATTTAACTGTCTCTGATATTGCTATGAAGGTCTTTCTGAGTCTTCATGATGTTGAGGAGAATATCTTTGTTCAGAAATTCTTGATTACTTTTCTGAGTATTTGACCGAAAGTAGATTTGGAAATGCAGAATCATTGGGTCAAATGCCTTCAGAAAGTTTGTGCCAAATGCCAGAGTTAATGTAGAACAAGGTGTTCACTTTTTTTCTATCCCATCCCAATCATCATTGTGTGTGTGTTATTATAAAAATGCTTTCTAATGTAGAAAGAGACTATTAAATATTTTTTGCGTATCATTCTTTTATTAGGAATGACATTGAATGTGTTTGCACATACAATCTGCCAATTGTATTTTTGCTTTTGTGAATTGTCTGTTAAGGTCTTTCATTCACTAATTGCTTGAGATTTTTATTTTAAATTTGTCTTTAAGTAATTAGACTGTATTCATCTTTCGTGTTGGTTGCAATTACACTGCTTCCCTAATTTGCTGGGTTGCTAAGCCTAGCCTATATTTTTGTAGCCAAAGTGAGCTTTGATTCCCCTCACTGTACTTCCCACCAGTGCTGTGTTTGCCTGTATTCTGCAGGTCACAGCTCAAGTGAGGAACTTGGGTATCAGTTTTGGTTTTATCCTCTTTCTTCCTTTCCATCTTTAAGCATTAGAAAGGTGGGCTGCCAGAACTATGTCTCAAATGCCTCTGCTCATGATTCTCTTGACTCCATCCCCAGTTCATGATCACCATCTTTTATCTGGGGGGAGCAACAGCCTCCTTCCTGGTCTGTCACCTCGTCCCTTCTCTGCTCAACAGAGAAGTGTACGGAAGCATCTCCATCTGCCTGAATGCCACCCCAGCACATGCGCATGTGCACACACATGCCCTTCACAACAGATGTCTTCTACATTCTGTTTAGTTCTTAATTTAAATGCCCTCTGCAGTGGGTTAGACTATGCCCCCTGAAAGATATGTCTATGTCCTAGACCTGAGAACATGTGTATGGGACCTTACTTGAAAAAAAGTGTTTTTGCAGATATAAACGAGTTAAGGATCTCAAGATGAGATCATGTTCCATGATCCAGTTGGGCTCTAAAACCAAGGGAAGTCTCTTTATAAGAGAGAGAAGACGCACTGGAGGAGGTCACATAAAGATGGCGGTAGAGGTGCAGAGGGGGCATCTAGAAGGAATGCTGGCAGCCTGCGGAGCCGAGAGAGGCCATGGCTGGATGGTCCTCTAGCGTCTCCAGAGAGATCTGCTGACGCCTTGATTTTGGACTTCTGCCTTCAGAACTGTGAAAGAATAAATTTTTTTCTGTTTAAGCCATCAAGGTTGAGGTAATTTGTTGTAACAGCCTCAAAACGGATACACTATCTTCTCAGGAATGCATTTACTGGTCATCATGTCCTAAGAGCTGTGACCTCCATCGTGTTCTCCAAGGCAGTTTCCATTACCGAAACATCATTGGTTTCTCTTTTTTTAACTTTTGCTTTAAGTTCAGGGTTACAAGTGCAAGTTTGCTACATAGGTAAACTTGTGTCATGGGGGTTTGTTGTACAGATTACTTCATCAACCAGGTGTCAAGCCTAGTACCCTTTAGTTATTTTTCCTGATCCTCTCCCTCCTCCCACCCTCCACCCTTCAAGCCAGGCCCCAGTGTGTGTTGTTCCCTTCTATGAGTCCATGTGTTCTCATCATTTAGCTCTCACTTATAAAGTGAGAACGTGCGGCATTTGATGTTCTGTTTCTGCTTTACGTTAATTTGCTGAGAATGATGGCCTCTAGCTCTATCCATGTCCCTGCAAGGACATGATCTCATTTTTTTTAATGGCTGCATAGTATTCCGTGGTGTATATGTACCACATTTTCTTTATCCAGTGCATCATTGATGGGCATTTAGGCAGACTCCATGTTTGTTTTTTTAAATAGAATATTTGATATTTTTCTAATTGTAATTAATTTTTTTTTCAAAATTGCCAGTAAGCACCATAGAGGCAAGCAGCTTGCTTAATTAGTCTTTAATGCACGTCTACTCTTGGACACATTGTGATCACTTACATATTGTGGAAAGAGAGGATAATAAAAGACAGAAGACAAAGATGAAAACGGAGAAGAAGGAAAGAAAACATTAAGTAAGTCTGCTCTTCGATGCATTCTTTTCTTCCGATTAAAATTCTTACCGTGACTTCCAGGTGATAAGGCCTTATAGAGCAGAGTACATGTCTACACATCTCATTAACAAAGCTGATTTTGTTTCCCTTTTTTTCCCTTTTTGTTTTTATTACACAAGTAATATTTAAAGCATTCTACCATAGTTGCATCAGTGCACACGTATGTTGGGTAAAGCTTAAAAGTCCCCCTGACCTTCCTTGACCCTCCCATTTCATGCAGGTTTTTATCCTATTTTATACATTTACATACACATATGTATAAACATATGTGCAAACATTTCATAGCATTAATAGGAACATGCATATAAAACACAATTTTTTCCCTAAAATGTGCTTTTTCACCTAATAACATGAATATGCATTTTTTGATCAGCACATACAATACGAATACCTCATTTTTAGTGGCTGCATGACTGCATTTGTCCAAGGTAGAGTATTACCATAATTTATTTTGCCATTTTTGCATTAATGGACATTTATAATTGCGCTTTACTATGATACCAAATGTTGCAATAGATATCTTTATGCTTAAAACTTCACATTTTTAACAATGTCCTTAAAGACAACTTTCTCGATGTCTAATTATTAGATAAAATGGAATTTAAATATTTGATGGATAATGACAGCAGTCAATAAATATTTTTCCAGCTTATGCTTTTATCAAAATTATATGAGAATGCTTGTTTTTCATATTATTGTAGTGCTTTATAAACTTTTTTCATCGGTTAGATGAAAAAAAATCAATTGATTTAATTTGTTTTTATTTGATTACCAATGATGTTAAGCTTTTTAATGTGTGAATTGGCCATAATATTTCTTCTTCATTTATTGCATGTTCATTTGTTTTGCTCCCTTTTCTATTAGTTTGTGAATATTTTTATTATTGATTTGTAGGCACTCTTTATGTATTTTTCATCATTCCAATGGTGCGTTATATTAATGTATTTCATATGAGAACACTTACCTTTGCAGGAGATGTTAACTACAGTTGCTCTTTGACTTACAATAGACTTACATCCAGATAACCCCATCATAAATTGAGAATATAGTGAGTCAAACATCACAGCTTAGCCTCAGCCACCTCAATCATGTTCAGAACACTCACATAGCCTATAGTTGGGCAAAATCATTTGACACAAAGCTTATCTTATAACAAAGGGCTGAATACTGTACAAAGATGGGCATTGTGTAGACATTATGGGGTGCAAAATCACAAAACACAATATCCAGAAGATGCTGGCAACAGAGCCCACTGTAGAGTATTGGCGGTATAGCCTCTTGCTGGCAGGCAGATGGGGAGCTATGGCTCCCTGCCACTGCCCAGTATGTCCATGAAGTCTCCTATCCCAGAAAGCAGACCAACATTCAAAATTCAAACTGTGGTTTCTACTGAATGCATATCACTGTCACACAGCATAAAGTTGAAAAATTGTAAATCAAACCATCATGAATTGGGATCGTTTGTATATACCTAAAGTTCTGATTTTCTTTCCATTCTTAATTAATTTTCACTGGTATCAAACTCCTGTGTTTGCTGTGGTTTGTTTTGACTTGAAGATGAGGTGATTGGTGATAATGACATAGATGTTATTAAACTCTCTGTCAAGTGATCTACCTGTAAAACCAGGTGGACACCTGAATACAGGTTGTAACAGAATTGAACCAGTTACATGGGACCACAAGGGGGAGGTGTTTGACCTTAACTGTGAGAGAGGAAATTTTATCTCCTGACCCCTAATTGAATGACAAATTGAAGACAAAGCACGCCCACCTGGCTGCTAGCCTGGTTAACATTTTACATTTTTTCTCTCCTTCATTGGAGTCACAGGCCCTAATTTAATGAAATAATTTAACAGAACAAAATGACTGCAGGACATGTTTTAAAATGTAAACCACGTCATCTGTGGCCTAGATCAGCATGACATCTGCCAATCTGAAGGACACGGAAGGTAGATATGGCGGGATATATTTGTGTATATGTTTATTTAATACCTTTTAAGCTGTCGTCTAATTCTTATCTTCTCCAGATACCTGGACAAATGCAAAGAAAGCATTCAGCTGAGTCAAAAGTGCAGAATTATTAATCAATCCTTGAAAACAATAGGCTCTTTGGCCCCTTTGGTGGGCTGAATTCTCAGGATCGCAGAAATGAAAAATTGTGGTGATTTGGAGGGCATTAGATTCTTGTGTGGCTGACTTTATTTCAACTTCATGTTTATTCTGTGTTACTGTTGAGCAAAGACAAAATTGCCTTGGAAGGGTACAGCGGTTCTGTCATGTGAGGCTCTCTTAATTGCTAATACCATTCATTAATTAGAAGAGGGAGAACTAGTGTTGGAGGCTCACTGGGGACCCAGCAGGTTTAGGGCTACCTAGTTTAGTATGCTAATGACGACTGCCTCTCCTAATATGCCAGTCAAAAGTGACTCCCTTTAATCTGTCCTGAACTGTGTGACAATCTGAGCATACAGTGACAGCTGCAGAGGCAGAACGCTGTATCCCACGCAGAGGGGCTTGGTGACTCTGGTTGGAGTCCGGGGGTGGGGGTGCCTAGGACACAGGAAGGCAGGAGCCTGTGAGAACAGAACCAGGCCAGCTCTCACATTCTGGTCAGAAATGACAAGGTACACATGTCCCTTTAGACTCTCATGAATAGAAAAACCACAATGGCCTGATTTTCCCTTTTGTCTCAGCATCAAATCCTGCAAGAAGACCCACCCAGATTTGAAAGGAAGGTCTGCGGTGAATAACTGAAGACTTGAACTCCCCTTATATTTCACTCAACACTCTGAAAAGTGTGTTCCTCCCAGGAGGGACTGCAGTTTGATCCAGTGATGTGTTCCAGAATGTTTCCTAACTTGGACTGCAATCAGATTTACTTCTCCTAAGTGCCTCGTGCTTGACGGCATGGGCATCTCTGTAGACAATTTAGCTGGGAGCATAAATGGTTCAGGGGAGATCAATTATCTGATTAAGGAACAAAAGCAGATGGTGACCTGGTTATGAGGCATTCTCAACTCACCCTGAGTTTGTTTGTTCATTTGTTTCCCACATCCCACCTTTGAGGAAAATCTTCCCTTCCACCTTTTCATAAAACACAGCAAATAATTGTGGTTTTTTTCCTTCGGAGTGAGGGGTGTGGGGGATCTGAAAGGGTCACCCGCTTTACATGTGTCATTGCAGATGCGAGAAATGCATTAAGCGTTTTTAGAAGAATGGACACTGTCGAGGCCCTGACAGTCTGGTGACGATTTGTTTGTGTTGGAGTAACCAGTAAGTCGGCCGTTAGTCTTTGACTAATCGCTCCTGTCAGCTTGTTAAACATTAAAAACAAATGCACGCACTGGAGAAAAGCCATACCTCTTTTTGAGATAGGGAGTCAGCTTTTGGGCTCTTTTCAATACATGTGGTCCTTGAGGTTGTGCGTTCCTAATTGTTGCCTTCACACCTACCGTGAGGAGCCCTTCGTAAGGCAGAGTGAGGATAGAGGTGTTGAACTTCTGACCTGCAAGCCAGGTCCAGCCTCCAACCTGGTCCCCAGGTGTACACATTTCTGGCCATTGATGTTACAGCACAGAAAACAATTTTCTTTCTATGAGCTGCTCTGGTTATTCTAGTCATAAAAGTCTTTAAAGGTTAGAGGAATAGAGAGCCTTTCAGGATCTGCGAGCAGTGTTTAGTCAGATAATTAACTTCTCAAAGCAGTAGGAACAAGTGGATGCTATTCAGACGCGCACAGTCTAATGAAAACTTACTTTATCCTTTGATTTTTATTCTCTTTATTTTTATTCCTCTCCTTTCTGTCTGCATTTCACCTTCTTTGTCATCTCTTTAAATTCTCTCCTTTCATCAATTCTATTCTATCATTTTTTTGGTTCCTGTCTGTAAGTTGTGATCTCCCTCCCCCATCTGCTTAATGGATTATACATATATTCTGATTTACAGACATCTGGGCATAGCTTCTCACGCATCTAGGTCTCTCCAGGAGTCTATATCAAGGAGATATTTTACCAGATGACTTGCTCATTCCAAATCCGTAAACGTCTATTAATTACATTTGAGGTAATTCCACAATGTTTAATATAATAATGTTTTAATATGCATTATTGAAACTAAATATGTATATTTTCAAAGGAAGTTTTGCGAATGTTTCACCTATCCAGATCTGTGCTACCAGGGTAACACCACGTTCTTAAGGGCCTTTACTCTGAAAAACAGCTCTCTTCTGTAGTACGACTACTTCTTTTCAGGCTTAAGTTTATTGAAATTAATCAACTGATGTATCTGTGGTGCGTTTATCCTTGTGATGCCGTGTGGAGCCTTTTTTCGCATCTCAGGAGGAAAGATTATGGGTCGGCAGAGAGAGTCTTCACAAGAACGGTCTATAATTCAGATGCAAACCTTGCGCGTGGCCTTGGGAGTGCTTTCCTCTGTCTTGGGGGTGGGATTCCTGAGCAGAGCCTGGCCTCTGTGCTCTGGGAAGACACTGTGCTCTCAACTAGGCTGGAGAATTTCAAACCCACTGCCAGAGCCAGATTCAGGGACAGCCCACCAGGGCCGGCTTCTGGAATTTTATTGAATATACACTTTCTAAAAGCTGTTTTTCTTTTTTGAGATGACTTTTAACCAAAATGTCACTTTTAAAAGCCAGTTTCAATGATCCATCTATCATCAAGTTCCCACTGCAGATTCCAGAGTGCCTTTCTAGACAAACTAAGATAAATACATTCACTCAGAGCTCAGGGTAGGGCTCCAGGAGCAATCAAATCAAAAGGATAAAAAGTCTCAAAACTGAATCTGTGGAATAAAATTCCAGGGGAGATTCATGAATTCTACGAAGAACACTCTCAGGTTCCCATATTTTGGGGGATATTTAGGGACATTGAGTAAGCTACAAGCGTCATAGCCATGCCACACTGGAAGACCTACAAGAATTGAGGAAATAAACACAAGAAAAAGTTATTCATGGCATATTTTAAATAAAACACACCTAATTTTATTAATGAAAGTTAAAGTGTCCAAGTAGCCATTAAATCATTGCAGAAAGGTGCTAATATACATACAGGATTTTTAAAGTTAAATCTATAAATTGGCTATTATAATATCTTTAAAACAATCAAAAGAGAAAATATGTCAAAAGATTGGTTTTAGAATAACTGGGTAAATTTAGGTTCTGACATTTGAAAACAAATCTTAACAAAGGAGATATTTATGTTGACAAATGGAAGGCAGCCCTTTACGATAAACATTTTAACAATGCTTCGAACATCTAGTGTTTGTTGTTGTTGTTGTTGTTTTGAGACAGAGTCTCGCTCTGTTGTCCGTTCTGGAGTACGGTGACGTGATCTCAGCTCACTGCTGAGAGCCTCCCGGGTTCAAGCGATTCACCTGCCTCAGCCTCCCGAGTAGCTGGGATTACAGGCGCCTGCCACCACGCCTGGCTAATTTTGTTGTATATTTAGTAGAGACGCGGTTTCACCATGTTGGCCAGGCTGGTCTTGAACTCCTGACCTTGTGAACTGCCCACCTCTGCCTCCCAAAGCACTGGGATTACCAGCTTGAGCCACCGTGCCTGGCCCAAACATCTAGTGTTTATCCTGTCCAAATTTTTAATCTCTGTACCGATGAGCTATAGATATTTGTGACAGAAAATTTATTTCCTTATTATTATATTCCTTATATTATTTTCCTTATTTTAATACCCAACCTACTTCAGTCATTTTAAAAGGAAATCTTGGTGTTAATTATATGGATGCATAGATGCTTTCATTAAAAATATGTGGTGTTCTGGGCTATCACCTCATATCACTTCTAAGGAAATCCCTATGTGATTTGCTTCTTTTTGCATAAGTGGTGTTCCTAAAATGTATTTTATTTTATTTTATTTTGAGATGGAGTCTCACTCTGTCTCCCGGGCTTGAGTGCAGTGGCGTGATCTCAGCTCACAGCAACCTCCGCCTCCCAGGTTTAAGCAATTCTCCTGTCTCAGCCTCCTGAGTAGCTGGGATTACAGGTGCACGCCACCATGCCTGGCTAATTTTTGTATTTTTAGTAGAGATGAGGTTTCACCGTTTTGGCCAGACTGGTCTCAAACTGCCAACCTCAGGTGATCAGCCTTCCTTGGCCTTCCGAGATGCTGGGATTACAGGCCTGAGCCACCATGCTCGGCCCCAAAATGTATTTTCTAGAGCACTGCTCTCACTAGGTATTTGGCAAAACAAGTATCCATATTCTTTTTCCGCTGCTTGCTACTTACACAGTTTGATACCTGGAAATGAGTAGCTGCAGGTAACGGAATCTAACATGGGGTGGATTCTAAGTGAAAGAAGTAGGGGAAGTAAGGAATCTCTTTCTCGGAAACGGACTTTGGAAATCTTTCTTATGCCAACACAATACAGTTGGCCAAACTATAGTCTGTAATGGTAATGGAAGCTTTAGTATTAAGGGACTTGGGTGGAAAAAAAAATCTGAATTTTAAAGTATGTTGACTACTTCTTGCAATCACCAATAAGAACCTGTGTAAAGAGGTAAACTTAGGGGGAAAATAACTCTTGATTTTCCATCTTTGGCTGTGGATGACAATTCAGAATTTTAAATCTGGCTTTTAGAAGTATGAAAACATTTAAAAAATAATAACCATCACAAGGTGAAAATATAAACAGAGATGCTTCTGTCACCTTTCCTTCTCACCCCAGTTCCTGCTCCTATTCTCTGCCAGTTTAAAGAACTGTGTTCTCCATTAAAATAAAAAAAATAATTAAAAAAAGCTGAAGCTCATGCTCATTGTGATGGTGCACCTGAGATACAGTCTCGGTGCAAAGAACATACTTTTCCCCTTGAAGCTAGAGTGTTCAAATGGCTACAGACAGAGGCCCGGGTGAAATTAGCAAATATCACATTGAGAGCTCAAGCAATGGGCAGTGCACAGAACTGTTGCTAATAGACAGAAATCTTCACCTTCGAAAACTGGATGAGATGTTGTCTTTGGTTCTTGTACTAAGCCATGGAATTGACTGAAAGCCTTGTAAATGGAAGGCTCCCAGGTGTTTAAGGGAGATCACTGCCATGGAAACCAGAAGCGGTTATGAAGAGGAAGCAATGGTGCCACTCCAAGACAACTGTTAGGCTTACAGAACCATGTCAGCGGGGAAAGTTTCCCAAAGGGATACCTTTCATTGCCATCAAGGAGAGGCCAAAGAAGCCATGGGAAGGGGAAATTATACCTGGAAGCTCACCGAGAGCTCTCTAACCAGGTTAAATCAACAGCACAGACCGCTGACATGGCAGGAAGTTCTTGCCAGAATCAGCCAGTTGTAAATGACAAATGGATCCGTGGCCTCAGTGGGCTACTTCTCATGCTTCTATTTTCCAAATAGAAAGTTCGGGTTTGTTTTTACAGCTATTCTTTTCTTCCCTCACAATTCATTTGGAATGTTTCAGAGATACATAATTTATTGTTAATCAGGGGTCTCCAGGCGTTTGGACGTGATGAAGAAGAAGGCATATCATGGAAACGTCCTAGACTTGGAACTAGGTGTGATAGCTAGATATGACTATGTCATCTTCTTGGAAAGAGTTTAGTGCATTTTTTTATAAGTGTGAGCGTGTTTGAATGAGAGGGCATGGAGAGTGGTGCATTTGTGAATGCTTAAATAAGTGTGAGCGTGTTTGAATGAGAGGGCATGGAGAGTGGTGCATTTGTGAATGCTGGATAATTACTAGACCCTCATAGACACTACTGGCTACTGATGCAGGAACTACCTCCTCCTCCTTTTTTTCCAAACAAAGTCTTGATTTGCTTTTAGCATCCCTTCATTTTTGGAAGATCCCATATGTCCCAAGTAAAGTTGAAAATACTCCCTCAGTTCCAAAAGTCAGCATGATTGATTTAAGAGGAATTCCGCTTCTCTAATTAGTGACAGGAACAAGCATGAGACCCAATTCAGGCCCATGACATGAGTTAGAGATTTTTCTGGCTGCTTCCGGAGAGGTTTTCTTTATATTGTTAAGAACTCCCGGGAGTAACGCCTTCTTAATTCCTCCTGGTGTTGTCCTATGTGAATGCAAGGCTAAGGATGACTTCAGCTCTCCTGTTAGCAGCCTAAAGAGGAAGCTAACATGCTCCGAGGGACCCTCAAAGAAAATCTTAAGCCAGTTACTTGATCAAGTTAATCTTGAAATTCACCTTCCTTCTAGATTTCATGGCATGCCGTTTATTATAGGACAAGCCCACTTGAGTTGGTTTTATTGTTATTTGCCAACAAAAGCCTTGCAAGGGGTATGGCTTCAGTGAAAAAATTGTAGAAGCCACAAGCCATGGTAGAAAGAGTGGGGAGAAGAGAAAAAAAAAAAAAAGCATTACCGGGGAGGAAAGAGTATAACAAGAACAGAGAAAAGGATAATAGGGGAAATATATTTTTTGCCTACTTAGAATTAGTCCTTGTTCAGAGAATCACAGAATCTGGGACAGAAATGTACTGACATGCAGTTCACAAACTGGCACTGGTTTAAAATAAGCACTGTTGTATGTTTCTGAAATTCATAAATTTCAAATATCTTTTATTCTGATATTAAGTCTTTTCACTTTTTTGGCATTAAAACTGCATTTTTAATTGAATCCTATAAGTGGTTTTATGCTTATATGTATCAAGCTACATTAGATAGCTCTGCAGTTTACATTATTTAAAGTTTTGCTGGTTTGTGAAACTCCAGAATCTGCATATTACCAAATTAGGTCAATATCTTTTACTGATTATGACGGTTAATTTTATGTGTCAAGTTGGCTGAGCTATGGTCCCAGTTGTCTGCTCAAACACCAGTCTAGATATTGTTTTGGATATTTTTTAGATATTATTATCACTTAAACCAGTAGACTTTAAGTAAAGCAGGTTATCCTCCATAATGTATAAATTGAAGGGTAATCTGCTCACCCAAAGTCCACTGATTACACTCCATAATGTATAAATTGTATGAACTGATTGAATGAGGCCCACTCCATAATGTGGGTGGGCCTTACTCAGTCAATTGAAGGCTTAATAGAAAAGACTGAAGTCTCCCAAGAAGAGGAAATTCTGCCTCTAGAAAGCCTTTGTATTCAGGACTGAAACATCAAATCCTGACAGATTCCTAACCTCTGGGCCTGTTCTACAAGTGTCAGAGTTTCTAGCCCTACCCTTGCATGAGCCAATTCCTTAAATTAAATCTGTCTGTCTCTGTCTATACACATTGTATTGGTCTGTGTCTCTGAAAAACTGCTAATAAGACACTGATTCCTTAATATTCATTCTATTAACTACTGTTATTTAGGTCCTGTGATAGTTAATTTTGTATATCAACTTGACTAGACCACAGGGTGCCCAGATATTTGGTCAAACGTTATTCTGGGTATTCCTTTGAGGGTGTTTTTGGATGAAACTGGACTTAAATCAGTAGACTGAGTAAATCAGATGGCCCTCCCTAATGTGGGCAGGCCTCATCCTATCAGCTGAAGGCTGGAAAAGAACAAAAATGCTGACCTTGCCTCAGTTCATCCTGCCTGATTGCCTTAAAACTGGTACATCAGCTTTTTCATGCCCTAAGACTCAAACTGAAATATTGGCCCTTCCTGCATCTTCAGACTGGACCTACACCATCCTCTTTCCTGGGTCTCCCACTTGCTGACTTACCTTACAGACTTGGAGCTTACTACCCTTCATAATCACAGGAGCTATTCTCTCTTTCTCTGAGCGTGCATGTGTGTTTGTATATGTATTATATATGTACACACACACACACACACACACACACACACACACACGGTTGGTTCTCTGGAAAACACTGACTAATACAGGACCTTACCATATGCTGAACACTATTAGGAATAGAACAAGGTGCACAGTCAAGTAGGAGAATTGAAAGTATCAACACCTGCAATGAAATGTGATAAAAAGGGCAAAGAAGGTGAGGACAAAATACTGTCTAATGCAAGATGAAGGGGTCCAGAAAGAATGCTTTCTCAGAGGAGGTGACTTTGAGCTGGGTTTTGAAGACTGAGAGGAGGTTTATCAGGCAGGAAAAGAAAGAAACTGTTTCCCAAGAATAAACACACATGTTAAAACTCAGCTGAAATATCTCCCATGTGATAAGACCTCACTATCTGCTGTCACTCCAGTGACAGATGCTCCGATTATGAGAATCTAGCCCCCTGAAACACCCCCCAGTTTGTTTCTGGTTCTCTTAAGCATTTACTAGACATGTGGCTTAGGAGGTCACCTATCTATTCCGAGATTCACTGTCATCATCTATAAATGGGAATAATAATACCTTATAGGGCTATAGCAAATAGCAAATTAGATCTTTTATAAAAAATTTCAAGCTCATATTAGGCATTTGATTTATGTCATTTCATGATGTTCCTTCCGAAGGGAGATACAGCAGGTCTATTCCAGATCCATAGGAAGGCCTTTACAAAATGATAGGCCTATGAATAAATTCAGGAAAATGGGTTGAAACATGATGTAATGTATCAATAACTCACATAAAATATATAATATTTTATATATATTTACATATGTACATTTACATATGTAAATGAAAATCAATACATTCATATTAGAATTGAATGCAATGAATAGCAATCTTTCAGTGTTTACCTTTTTCCTATCTGGACACATTTCTACCCAAGATATGTGCTTGGTGACAGGATGAATTAATATAAAATTACAAAATCACTAAAACAAACAAAAAGGTACCTTTTTTTTAACCTGTCAGTAAGTTCAATTAGTAAAAACTATTGGTAGATAATATATTTTTTACTAAAAATGTTTAGAACTCCTCTTGTTTGTACTGAAGTCTACCTTCTTTGTAATCTAAAAATTCATAATTGAAAAGGTGTAATTTTTTAATATTACCAATAAATTATTCTAAAAGTCATAAATTCTTTAAAGTATCTCTAATTTTTATAAGATAAAATGATCTTAAGCAGGTAAAAGACAACAAGAAAATAACAGAATTCTACTTAGTCCAGTGTCTGTCTATGGATGGGACTCTAAAGACTTGGTTATTCTCACTTTACTGAACAGGATGAGGAGTCAGCAAAAAAAAAAAAAAAAAAAAAGGGTATGTCAGGTGGAGATTTTCTTCCCAACCCTTCAGCTTTCCTGGCCGGCATGCTTTCCTTATGGAGGGCCTGTCTCCTGGTTTCACTCAGCTTGCCCTTGCAAAGGTGCTGGCAAAACTTCAAGGTCGAGCTGTCTCTAGGGTTCCCCACTGTTGGGATGGCCAGGAGCCTTTAAACACTGCTCCGCAGCCACACCAGAGATGACAATGCATTTGACCTGCAGCGGGGTCCTGCGTTGGTGTTTTTAAAAACTCCTTAGACGATTTTATTATGCAGCTAAGGTTAAGGGGCACTGTGCTAGTTAATAAAAGAGGATAGGAAGAAAAGAAAGGGTTAGTGCAAATGAAAAATGAGAAAAGTTGAATTTTCAGGAAGCAGTATTGAAAATGACAGTTTCTCTGTGTGTTTGTCTTTTCCATTTATTCACCATTCATACATGTAATATCAGCAACATTCTTCATTGTAAGCTATATTTCTCCAGGAAAGTGTGGTTATATTAGGATTTCCTAGGACCGGGTATGTGATTTTATAAAGCTCTTGTCTATTTTATCTGAGCCCAGAGGGGTGTTTATTCTCCTTTGAATAAAGCCAAGATGGAGAAATAGCATCTTACCAATATTTCCAATGAGTTAACTCTCCTCACCTGCTCATTAGGGCAGTCCTGGAATATGTGCACCAGAAGGTTCTTTAATACATGTTTTCTAACTCCCTGAGGGAATATACGAATTTCAGGTGTAAACTCTTTTAATTTTCATGCCATGCCCTTGATCAATTCTTAAAGCTGTCTTAAAATTGAGCCATATTACTTAGCAATTAAAAAAATACAAGCAAAGAAGAATTTAAATTCTACCTGGCACTCTGTGGATCAATTTTCTGAGTTCAATTTACAGTTCAAGAACAAACACAGATACATGGACATGCACACACACACATACACATATACATAATACAATATGTATATATACATGCATGCACTACCTATATACTATACATATACATACATATACATATATCTGCATGTGTGTATGTGTATAAAATAACTTCTCTAGGAAACCTCAACAAATTGCTGTTCCTTTATGTTTTCAAAATATAAAACTCATATCAGCATCATTTCCAATGTCACCCTAGGGGTTTCTTCTCATTCTTGCCCCTTACTGAGAAAAAGGAGTGTTTTAAGTGCATCATACAATTAGGATTTGTATTTGAATTTTTAGGAAGCCATTTTTTAAATGAAGCTGGATTGTAGATTACCAACACTTCTAGCTGGTAATCACTGGAGATCTGTGCGGTTTGGCATGCTTTCATTAGTTATCAAATCATAAATGTGCACATTTTACATAAGTGACTATTGAAGAAAAGAAATCGTGGGGATCGTTGAGACCAATAACATCAGCTGAATATTTATTTCTGTCCTCCACTGGTTTCACAGCTCTTAATGTATTGTTTTGAAAGGATTCTTTTCTTCGTTTGATCTGCAAACTATGTATTTTTTTTTAATTCCAAAATACATACCTGGTCAAAACTTTCACAGTTAAAATATGTATTTAAAATAGAAACTTCTTATTGGTTGTTTGGATATGGAATTCTCTTTGTCTTATAGAGAAAAAAAAACTGATTACAAAATATCCAAACATTCACTGGGATTTCTTTTCTTTTTTTTCCTTTTTTTTTTTTTGAGACAGGGTCTCACTCTGTCGCCCAGGCAGGAGTGCAGTGGCGCGATCTCAGCTCACTGCAACCTCTGCCTCCCAGGTTCAAGCGATTCTTGTGGCTCAGCCTTCTCAGTAGTTGGGACTACAGGTGCCCGCCACCACCTGACGGGATTTCACCATGTTGCCCAGGCTGGTCTCGAGCTCCTGGGGTCAGGTGGTCCACCCGCCTTGGCCTCCGAAAGTGCTGAGATTACAGGGGTGAGGCGCTGAGCCTGGCTGAGATTTCTTTAGAGAATAGCAGTCCGTGGGCAATAGTCTACTCCTCTAACTGATGATTTTAAGATTATTCCTGACATTTTTTCAAACAGAAGAGATTATTACTAATATAGAGAACAGTAGTGAATAATGCTTTATTTTATTAGCATATACCATTCCAAGTCCTAATGATTTCTCTGAAATCCTGAGGAGCAGGTACCCTATCTGATTTTTTATTTTTTTATTTTTTGAGACAGAGTCTCACTCTGTTGCCTCGGCTAGAATGCAATGGCGCAGTCTTGGCTCACTGCAACCTCTGCCTCAGGGTTCAAGCCATTCTCGTGTCTCAGCCTCCCCAGTAGCTGGGACTGCAGGCATGTGCCACACACTGATAAGGTTTGGATCTGTGTTCCCACCCAAATCTCATGTTGTTGAATTATAATCCCCAGTGTTGGTGGGGCCTGGTGGGAGGTGATTGGATCTCAGGATGATTTCTCATGAATGGGTTAACACTACCCTTTCAGTACTGTCCTTGTGACAGCGAAGGATTTCTCATGCGATCTGATTGTTTAAAAGCATATGGCACATTCCCCCACTCTCTCTTGCTTCTGCTTTTGCCATGTGATGCACTTGTGCACCCTTTGCCTTCTTCCATGATTGTAAGCTTCCTGGGCCTTCCCAGAAGCCAAGCAGACGCCAGCATCATGGTTCCTGTACAGCCTGTTGAACTATAAGCCAATTAAGTCTCTTTATAAATTACTCAGACTTAAGTATTTCTTTATAGCAATGTAAGAACAGACTAATATGCATACATACCTATGATAAATCTAATTTGTATATTGGGCACAGTAAGAGATTAACTAAAACTAATAATAGAACAATTATAACAATATACTGTTCTAAAAGTTATATGAATGAGGTGTCTATCTATCCCTTTGTCCCTCAAATATTTTGTTGTATTGTACCACGGGTAAAAGATACTATCGAAAGTGAGACCAGAGATAAGGGGAAATTACTATATCGGATGTTTAAGCCAAATAACAAGACAAGAAAAATTAATGAGAATAAAAGTAATTGAACAGGAAGAGAAAAACAAATTATTATTTACAGATGATACAATTATTTGTATAGGAAACCTGATCCAATAAATACAAATATGTTTAGAAAGTATAAGTGTGTTTAGCAGTTTTGACTTACATAAGGTCAGTATACAAAATGCAAAAGCATGTCTCTTTACTGGTAATAATTGACCAGAAAATATAACATGAAACATCAGCCCATGTGTAATAGCAGCAAAATGTATAAAACATCTAAAGCTGGCATGGTGGCACATGCGTGTAATCCTAGCGGCTTCGGGGGCTGAGGTAGGAGAATCGCTGGAACCTGGGAGGCAGAGGTTGCAGTGAGCTGAGATCGTGCCAATGCACTCCAGCCTGGGAGACAGAGCGAGACTCCTCTCAAAAAAGTAAAAAATAATAAATAAATGAATATTAACAAATAATAAACAAGATCTTAGTAGAAAAATTTTGAAAATATATTAAAGGATAAAAAAGGAGTATAGAAATACTATTTTCAAGTGTACGATTATATGCTATTTTAAGAATGTAAATTATTCCGAAATTAATATCTAAATTCAATATAATTTTCTTCAAGATCCCATCAAGATATTAAGAAATTTGATGAGTGAATTCTAAAATGTAAATAAAAGAACAAGTAGATTGAAAAAGAAAAGAAAGGTAGGGGAACCAGCTTGCTAATTACTAAGGAATCTACAGAACTTTAGTTTAGTACAAATAAAGTGACAAATAAACAGCAGCGTGATTTTGCACAAGAAGAGAACAATAGATTACAATATAGCAAACACTGAAATATTCTATATGTAGCACCACAATTAGCTGGCAAAGCAATCAATTATTCAGTAAACTGCTGTTAAAAACATTGGTTAGCCACATGAAGAAAAGTAAAGCTGGCTTCCTTCTTCATGTCCTTTGTTAACATAAACTCCAAATAGATTAAATGCTTGAATTGAAAGATACAACTGGAAAACAAAATAAAAAAAATGACTAGACAATTTCTATGATCACAAGGTAAAGAAGGATTTCTTAAACTTGACTTGAAATATATTAAACTTTACAGGGACTCTATGGCTATGACCACATTAAAAAATAACTTTTGTTTAATAAAGATAAAGTGAACAGGGAATGAGTATATTTATATTGCCTAAACAAACAGGGAGCTCTATCTCAAGTATCAAAGAGACTTTTTCAAAGCACCAAGCCAAGTTCTGAAAACCCCATGGAAACTGAACAAAGTGTATGAATGAGGATGCACAGAGGAGGAAAACAAACAGCCCGCAGTGTGCGGAGATCTGCATAAGGTCACTTGCAATCATGGAAATGCAAATTGAAACAACATTTTTTACCCCTCAAAGGTTGGCAAAATTTAGCCAACTGGATCTCTGCAGGTGTATATGGGAAAATGGAATTCCTCAGAATATAGTAGCCTGCAAGCTGGAAGACATAAGAAACTCAGGACTGAGAGTTTTTCATGGAGACGGCAGGGTGAAAGAGGGAATGATGATGAGGGTAAAACTAAATAGTAATAACAGATGAGAGGAAAAAGAAAGCAGATTATTGCTGGGAGGTGATATTGTCCTATGAGCCAAGGTTTATGAATAATTGAGGTGTCTACTTGAAGTGTTAAGGCTGTTATCCCAGCATACTCAGGCTGCTGTAACAGACTACCACACACTGGGTGCTTTAAACAAGGAGCATTGATTTCTTACGGTTTGGGAGGCTGGAAGTTCAAGATCAGGGTGCTGAGTGGCCAGGCTGTTAGAGAAGGCTTTCTTCCTGGTTTGCACATGGTGGCCTTCTTGCTGTATTCTCCTATGACAAAAAATGGAAAGAAAGATAGTGAGGTCTCTCCTGTCTCTTCTTAAAGGGTACTTATTCCATTATGGGGGCTCTACCCTCATGACCTAATCACCTCCCAAAGGCCACACCTTCTAAAGCCATCTTATTAGGGCTTAGAGTTTTCAGCATATGAATTTTGAGACGACACAGATGTTTAGTTCACAGCAGGTATGGAGGTTTTAAAAAGAAGAATGAAACACAAACTTCAGAAGGATTACTCTGTTTCATGGAGATTGTACTCATCATAGAGCCCAGCCCATGGCAGGTGCTTGTGTTTCCTAGGCTCTTTCTAGGAGGAGTCCACATAAAGAGCAACAACGGAAGCTTTTGTTTGAATATTTATTGTTGTCTGTTTCTTTCTGATGCTTCCAAAACTAACAGAAAATTTAATCCGAACAGGGAATTCAGTTTAACAGCTTAAACATAAGCAACTGATTGTCCCAAATAATCGGAAGTGGAGGGGTAAGATAACTACAGCAGTTGGCTCAACTCAGGGGCCCCAGTTGTATTTCTCTGCGACTCTCTTGTGGATTTTCCATGATCCATTATGTGCACATTATCCAGATGGCCTGAAGAATGCTGTCCATGCATGGGTTTAGTCCTGGTTCCTGAGACCCTGTCTGAAAAAGGGGGATGAAAATTACCAGGGTCATCTCTCACCAAATATGGCTCTACGCCGGAGCTGGACTCATTCTTCACAATACATGGCTGCAACATGTCAGGTGAGGAGAAACCCACACAATTCGCTACAAAGGGCTCCTGGGGGAAATAAGCACGTCAGTAACCAAGTCGGATTTTTAGAAGGAACCCCAGTTGGAGCTCTGCAGTGGGAAAGCATAAGTGTGCATTTGACAAACAGTAAGAAGGTGGATCTGCAGAGCAAAGAATCCTGCACAAAATTCACATTTAAGGGGTGGGGTGGGAAGAGATGGATAGTCAGATCATTAAGTGAACATTATTCTTAGCAGAGAGAATGCCAAAGGGGAAAAATCTTCTGAAATCATGATGTAAAGACTTGCACCAGAATCACCAGGTGTACCTGTAAGAACTCATATTCCTGGGTGTGACATCAGCACTCTGCTGAGTCAAGCCCAGCGGATCCTGAGGTGGACTGAGGAGTGATAATGCCCCCTGTGGAGAAGAGCTCTTTCAAGAGGGTCCCTCCATTCCTTACACCCCGCGAGGCTGTGAAAGGGGGAATATGTTTTGCCGATACATCTTTTCTTGTTGCCTTATGAATGTAGCACTGACTCAAGTGTCTTTAGGGCCCAACTTTGTTTAAAATGAGCAAATTGATTTCTTATTCCAGGAAAAGTACACATAAAAAGGGTCATATGGCTTCTTTGACATCAAATAGTTTTTTAACATAACAAACTGTTTTGATAAATTGAGTGCCTCTAAATCAAAGCCATATGGGAGGTACTGGGGCTGAGAGGGCAGGAGGAGCAGGGGTAATTGGCCAGCGGTTCAAACACTGAGTGATTCTAGGCAGTAGACAGCCAGATCTGAGGACTGGCTACCTCCTCTCTATTCCCTTCTGCAGATGCCATGACTCTATTACTGTTAAATATGTTAGCTGCTCATCAGTCAAGAGACTAAAGCATAATGAGATTGAAAGGAAAATTCTGATGTGTCCTAGAGAAGAAAATTATGTTCACTTAGAGTAAAATATCTAATAGGTCACAAGCAACAAATATATGCATTTAATGTTTTAACAAAAAAGAGGAAAATTCCTCTCCTTTCCAGCATGTGTGTGTGAGCAATGGAGTGCATACAATGAACAGTGAACTAAGAGCACGTGGGAGTCTCAGGGATCAGAGCAAATCAGCCTTTCAGCATCAGCAGTCTGGCTGCATAGCCTGTAACCCCGAATTTCAACCTGTTCACCAAAATTGCACTTTGTAAAAAAGAAAATAAGTCAAAAATATGCCATATTGATACAAATTCTGGAGTCCACTGCCTCAGTTGCCTTTTACTAATAACATGCATTTTCCTTGGGAACATTACTTGGCTCTTTTTACTTTAAATTCCTCATCTGAAAAATGAGGATAACAAGATGTACCTGTATTAGTCTGTTTTCACACTGCTATGAAGAAATACCTGAGACTGGGTAATTTATAAAGAAAGAGAGGTTTAATGCACTCACAGTTCCACATGGCTGGGGAGGCCTTCAATCATGGTGGAAGGTGAAGGAGTAGCAAAGGCACCTCTTACATGGTGGCAGGCAAGAGAACATTTACAGGGGAACTCTCATTTACGAAACCATCAGATCTCATGAGATTTATTCACAATCATGAGAACAGCATGGGAAAAACCTGCCCCCATGATTCAATTACTTCCCACTGGGTTCCTCCCATGACATGTGGGGATTATAGGAGCTACAATTCACTATGAGATTTGTGTGGAGACACAGCCAAACCATATCAATATCTCAAAGGACCGATTTCAGAATTAAGCACATTTCTACATATATGTCGCTTAGGGCAGGGCCTGGCATATAGATATATTTTTAGTAAAATAATAAATGTTATATATGTTGGTAGAACATTTTTCATATTAGATATATCTGATGATAATTGGTTATCTTTAGAATAGACATTATTTTTAAACCTATATTGATAACACTGGGAGTGACATTCATCATCAGATTCACCTACATAGCCAATTAGAAATTTCATATACTTTTAGCCTCATCCAGCTCCAATTTTTTCTCTCACTCTAACCTATAGCAGTCGTTCTCAAGCATTCTGATCTCAGGAATCACTTGCATTTAGCTTGTGTGGATTACATCAATCAAAATTTACAATTCAAGAAATTAAAATGGAGATGTTTTTGTTTAAAAATGTATTAATTTTATTTAAAAATAACAACCCTAAATCCATTACCTGTTACTATGTGACATTTAAAAAAAAAGTTTCTCAAGACAAAATTAGCAAGGAGAATGTCATTGTTTTATTTACTGCAAATGTCTTACTTCATAGAAGACAGCAAGGTTCTCACACTTGCTTTTGCATTCAATCTGTTCCAATATGTTGCTTCGATTAAGGTATACTAAGAAAATTTGCCCTAATGCAGATAGGTAGCTGGAGAAAATGAAAATAATTTAATAGTCTTTGCAGCCTGTTGTGGAAATTTTAACTTTACACAAATGTTCATACTATTGCACGTTAAAATCCATTGGTCTATCTTACAGTTTGAATGTGTATTTTACCTATGCAATGTCTTGTAACATTATGCACTGGTCATTTGAAAAACTCTTGGCTCATTTGCGTTACCCAGCTCTTGTAAATGTTAACACATTTTATTATATGAAAAAAATTGCATTTACTAATATCAGTATCAATTTCATCAGCAAAGTGTTAATTTATTGGGAAGCTGTCTGGATCACAGTGGCAGATTTGGATTTTTCAAAATTCTAATTTTTTCTTGCAAGCTTTAATTTTGTAATTGGCAAGAAAAATTTCCAATCAGTTTTCTTGAAGTGACAGGTGCATGCTGTTCATTTTTAGAAATATGTCTGCCATACAAGTCTGAGTGATCAAAGATTGCTGTCCAAGGATCTTTCAACTAAATGTGGTGTTCCGTGAAAGAATTAGCTAGTTCAGCTTGCAACTCAATCACATAAATGATTTCCTTGAGGAACCATTGTATCTCAATCCATAGCAGAAGTGCTTTACAAGTCCTCCTTATTTCATCATACAGAATATTTAGAAGATGTGAAATCGATGATTTAATTGAATACGATTAATAATTTTACCGAGTAAAGTACATTCTTAAATGAAATTGATGTGTTTTTTCCTGCTACTATTTTTCAGTCGACAGTTTGTTTCAAATGCCTTGATTGGTCCTAACGTGCCAACAGTTTTGGTCACCATTGCTTTGAAACCACCGGTGCAAACCTCAATAGTGTGAAAAAGACATAACATATGAAGATATTATGAAAATAATTTTAACATGTCTCATGGTTGCCAAAGATTCTGCAAACATCACCTTGAGAACCCCTGCCCTACAGAAGTGTCCTTTGGCCAGCCTGGTTTCGTCTTTTTCTTCCCAGTCAAGCTCACTTGCACCATGTTAATCTTCCTAGTATCTCTGCTCTCCCAGACCTCCCTGAGCTACTGCATGAAGCTGCCAGCATCTCAACAGCAGGCTACATTCTGGGTGTGTTTCTTCTGAGCACAGAGTATAGGGCCTAATGTTGTCAAATGAAAGAGTGAATGGGCCAGTGAGTGAATGAAGAGATGAATGAACAAACAAATGAACGAGTGGACAAACGTGGTTCTGGCTGTACTGTATTTTCTTCCATCTCTCAAACACATACAGATTGCTCCTACGTAGGGTGTTTTGCTTCCCCTTCTCACTGCCAGGAGTATTCCTTCCGATATTTCAGCATCTGGCTCTTCTTATACAATCTCAGCTAAAACGTCACAGGCATTCCCTGGATCCTCGAATTAAAATAGCCATTCGCGTCTCCCTTTACCTCCCATTGTGCTATTTCTCTGCAGTGCACATCACCCCTCAAGTGTATTTTTATGTCAGCATCCAGCACGTGGCAGCCATTTAGTAAATATATTTCACTGAATGAATGACTGAATAGAGCAGACCATTCAACAGATATTTATTAAGCATCTACCACGTACAAGCCACTGTGGATTTGATGGCTTTGCTCTAAATAAGCTTAGGGTAAGTGTGTGTTGGTGGTGGGGCAGACAGTAAAGGAACAAACAACAGAGCAATCCATGTGAATTAACAATCCCGTTATTTGTTTAAGGAACAATACACGTTGTTATGAAAGTGTATTAGGTGGGATGAGACCTTGCCACGGTCTTTTGATGTTTCCCCAAGGAGATGTTCATTGAGCTAGAACCACAAAGATGAGTAGGTATTAAACACCGAGGGCAGGCAGGCAGGCGGGTGGGACGCCTTGTACCTTAGGCTTATTTTACTGCTTGTTAGTGTTGCATAAGTTATTTCTCTGGACACATCTTACATCTTTCCTATCTCCCAGAAGTTACAGGGCTGGGCACAGAGAAGGAACTCAGCAAACAAGAACTGGTGAGGAGACCAGGGCCAGAAGCCAGGGTTAGCACAGCTGTACCTGTGCTTGTTGGGCGTGTCAGCATCCCAGTTCCTGGTAGTATATCCACACCCATGAGATATGATGACTATTTGCATAATAACAGATTGCTTTTCATTTCCTTCTCTTCGCTTCAGTCCTGTGTGCATTTTCAGATGAAGCTTTTGTCAGGATCCACAGTCTCCCTCTCCGCTTTCTCTCCATTGCCCCACAACTCTCGAAACATCCTCTAGAGCAAATCAATCTTTATTTCTTTGCCATTATCGGCCCTTCCATAAATCAGTCTTGCCCACTCAGTAGCTGGTGTGGCAGGGCCTGCAGCTGTCCACTGCCTGCAAATGGTGCCTTTTCTTCTTAGCTCATCATCGCCAGCTGTTCCTGGAGCACTGTAGGCTCTGCATTTTCGACAAGTGTCTCATCTGTAAAATTATTTCTCTATTTTTTTCCCCTTTCCTCCTTCTTGTTCCTGGCAGCCGCCCACAGAGCTGCACCCCAGGCATATATCCCAGCGCACCCAGCACATGTCTGTGGCTGGCTTTTAGGTAATAAAAGCCAGCTTTCAGTAAATCATAGGAGTAAGGAGATCCATAAATCTTGTTCTTGCCTTGCACACATCAATTCTCACTGTCATGAATACCGCAGGCATGAGTCACTTGGCCTGCACACTAATTTTGGACCTAGTCACTGCCCGGAGGTAATCAAGTGGGGAGGATGTCCTGGAGGAGATTGTGTTCCTGCAAATCGGTGTCTTCTGGACTGAATGGAGAATTAGGCCCAATTCAGGCAAATGGCAATGAACTCAGCAGAGCCTTCTCATCACCCAAGGGTTATGTCATGCAATGTGTGCAAAGACATGTGAAGTCTGGAGGAAAGAAAGGATTCCAGAAGCCACCTTCATTGTTTCGTAGCATTTAGAACTTCACTATTAGCTCCCATCATGTAAATGTCCTGACAGAAAGGACACTATCAGGAGGGTATGCTCAGAATCCCAGTGCTGGCACATCCCAGAGGCCCAGCTATTGCATCTGTGCAGTGGGGATTAGGAACGTGCTTTGTAGTGTTACCCCAAGGACCAAATATGCTAACACATGTTAGCACATGTTTGTTTTATGGTTTTAAGTTCAGAAATAAGGTAGCACCTTTAGTGGATGAATAAAAGACCTGCTGTACCCCCATGCGGTGTTTGCTAGGATCACAGCAGGTGGAAGAGCAGACACAGGGGATTGGACAGTTTTATGCTACATTTGCCATATTGCTCAGTCCTTCCCTTGTTCACCCTTACCAAAGATTGGGCAGTAGCTGATGGTAGAGGTTAGAAGCAGCTGAACTTGAACTAATGGGGTGACACTGAAAACAATATTTTTTTGCATGCAAAAATGTCATGATTGATAGTGGTTCTGTCCTTATGCCCCAGGTAGCTGGCATGAGACCTGGGATTAAGAGTGGGGTGGGGTAGAGGAGGGAAGAGGGCATTGGAAATGGAACTTGTTTCCTAAGTAGGCAACTCACCTGGCTTGTCTCTCCTGTGCCCAGTGCCCTCCATGCTCCAGCTCCTGGGTAGGAGCATTGCCACAGACAGGAGGGCTATGGACAAGTTCTCCTCTTTCTTCTCTTCAATACCTGCTTCAAATATGGCAGAGGTAAGAGAAATGGGTTACCCTGACATTCCATGTCTTTCAAGGACACAGACACAGGAAATAAGAAAAAAAATTACAATAAGTACTAGAGGACCTGGTCTGTCATAATATTTATTTTAATTTTATTATTTTTAGAGATGGGGCCTGGCTATGTCGCCCAGGCTGGACTTGGGTTCAAGAAGTCCTCCTACCTCAGCTTCCCAAGCAGCCGGGGCTATAGTTCCCTGCCACTGCACCTGGCTATACACACCTTTTGTTTTTGTTCCCCTTCATCTTGTAGTTTCTTCTACTTTGCTCTTTCACTGTTTTGGCACTGTGGAGGCCAGGAGGCATGGCTACAAGACAGAGGAGGGCCATCTGGCCTGCTTTGGACTTAGCATGAGAAACAAAATCTTCTATTATATTCCCACATTAAGACCTGTGGGGTTATTTGTTACCACAGCATAGACTAAATAATCCTGACTAATACAGCACTGTAAGAAGTAAGAAGCACTAAATGATCCTGACTAATACAGCACTGTAAGAAGGAATTTGTTTATGTTCTATGAAATAGAGTTGCAGCCACCTATGGAGATGGGAGGTATCAAATAAAAATACTAAAGTTTAATAAAGGTTTAAGACTGTTCCACCTAGAAATATAGACTATTAAATACTCATTGCCCATCCACGTGCTCAGTGTGGAAACTGAAGGACTTCCTAGTGCCAGATGATGTAATAAATCCATGAGTGTGTTGACCCTTCACTAATCACCTTTGTTTTCATTCCTTAAATTTTCCCAGGTTCTGTTATGAGCCATGGCAGATTCAAGACTGTCTGTCTTCTCCAAAATATTATCTTCTTTCCAGCGACAGTATTCATCCAATTTAAATTTATTTTATTCTGTGATCCTTTGATATACATATTATATTTAATGAATGTAGTGGATTGATTTCAAAAGCAGCCACAATTTTTGAATCCTCTGAGGGTATCCATGCCCGCTGCAATGTGACTTTGCAGGTCTTGCCATCAAGAAGTTGCTTCTCCTTCTCATATTTCCAATCTGGGCTGGCCTCGTGGCTAGTTTTGACCAAGACAATGCAGCTGAGGGGACACTGTGTTGCTCCTGCACCTGGCCTCAAGACACCTTTCACGGTTCTGCTTACAGTGTTGATAAATCACCGTCAGCATGAAACCAAGCCTGGGACATCCTGTTGGTGGATGACACACACCATGGGGGAGACTGGTTCCTCCAGCTGAGACCAGGGGGCACTGCCCAGCAAGCCCACCTTCCATGTGTTGAGCTGCCTGGATCACATTGGTAGCTGCAGATTCATGAGTGAGCCCAGCTGAGAGCAGAAAAATGGCTCGGCCTCCCTCAGACCTATGTTTGGATTAAGTAAATGCTTGTTTTCTTAAGTCAGTAAGGAGTTTGTGATTGCATTCTGTCCCAGATGACTGTGGCAATGGATAACAAACACAATGGTGGTCACAATTAAAAATCCCTGTTTGTCTGAAGGAATTTCCCATTTAGACAACCTTTACCTATGTGATTTATTTAATTTTTGCAATACTTTTATTGAGTATATATTTATTCAACCTTTTTTCCTAAATAAATTGTTTCAGAGAAGTCACACATTAGTAAATTCTCAAACCTAACATCCGGATTCTGGGAGGACAGATGCTTTCCTGCAAGGGTGGTCTTCACTAGAAGAGTATCAGCTCCTAGATGGGCTGTCTGGTTCCTCTCCTAAGTTTTCCACCATAAAAATCCCACAGAATTTAAGCTTCAAGAAGAATCACTCAGGAATTTCCCCTGCATAGATAAGAAAACAAAGCCTTTACTTTCAGCATTCATTGGCCACTTTTCTCTTTTGCAGTTGATAAATATAGGAGACGTAGGTAATAATCTCAGCATGTGGGGTGAGGGCTTGTTTTTAAGAAGTCATTTGTCCTCAACACCTTAAACCTTAGGCAATTAATGCTAGAAATAATATGCTGATTTGTATGTTGTGTGTGTGTGTGTGTGTGTGTGTGTGTGTTTCCTAATATGAAATAGGAAGGCCTCAAAACTCCCTAGATGATCAAAGTTTATGACATATGCTTTTTAAGAAAATAAACTTTATTATATATACTTAAGGTATGCAACATAATGCTATGGAATATGTATAAATAGTAAAAAAAGTATACTACAGTGAAACAGATTAACATATCTGTCATCTCTCCTAGTTATTCATTTTTTTCTTTGTGTGGCAAGAGCAGCTAAAATCTAGCCATTCAGCATGAATCCCAAATACAGCTCGAGTTTATTACTTGTAGTGGTATGTTGGGCTGTAGGTCTCCAGCCTTGTTCATCCTTCATATTTGCTACTTTCTATCCCCTGACCTACCCCGCCAGTTTCCTTCTCCCACTCCCAAACATCATCACCTCTGGTAACCACTGCTTTGTTCTCTATCTCTATACATTTGGTTTTTTTGATTCCACATATAAGTGAGATCATGCAATATATATTTTTTTCTGTACCATGGCATATATTTTTAACCCATACACATAATGTACTTGGCAATGATCATTGCTGAAGTTGCATAATTCCGCTTCTCATCAGGTATCAGCCTAACCTTTTGAGGCTGCAGTGCTTGAGGTGGTATGATGTCTGTGAGAGAAAGATGATGTGTGTAGAGAGTTCATTCTTTGAGCAGAATTCATTTCCAGTGGCATCCTCCTTATAAACACAGTTGTAGTTTCACACTGTAAAAAAAGAATTAAAGAGCATAAACACCGATGATTTTAACACCACTTTCTGAATCAACAAATAGTATCTGCCTTTAAGTTCAGGTAATCAGATATAAAATTTTTCCTTGAAACAGGTTTTTGTTTCTGGTTGAAACAACTTGAGACTAGGTCAGGGGCAGAAGGCACTATTTAAATATAGCAAAATTTAAGTAAGACCTTCAGGAGTCTCATTGCCAAGGGATTAATATGATAAACCATAGTGAAAAAAATGTCAACAGCAAACTTTAGTCCTTCCTTCTCATTTCACCCTACTCCTTTTGAGGGATTACTTTGCTATTCTCTTATTTGATTATTCCATATTTCAATGACCATCCATTTCTATCATAATTCAATCCTGTACTTTAAGGACACCTACAGGGAGTTAAACACCGGTGAATTTGTAATGGTTGACAGTGCTGCAAAGCACATGAATAGACGCCAACATATATAATTCTACCACATTTTACAGTGGAAGCTTGAAAAATTTTCTTTTCTGACATAAAAACCCAGAAAATCTTCCAAGACCCAAATAGCCAAGCCCCAGAAAAGGATGAATAACCAAGCACATAGACCACTAAGAGCTCATACTACTCATATTTTTGCTATTTCAAAAAAATCTACCTCATGACATGGATTTACACACAGGGGAGTATAAGCATGTCTAATGACAGCCAAGTGACATTTGACAAAATAAAAGTCCCTTTTCATACATTGTTGCTAGGTTTCAGCAGGCTTTAATTTGCAGGTCTGGGAAAATTACACCAAGTCTATTTTACTTAATTGAAGTTAGCAACAGTCATGTGTAAAAAAAAAAAAAAAAAAAAGACCACCATTTGCATTCCTAATTCTGACTCAAGGTACATATGTGCTTATAGCAATTTTAGTGAAACTATGGGTAGATTCTGGACATGTTGACTTTAGCCATCCGATATGGAAGAAATGGATTGTGTTGTATCCTAGCTTTAGAATATTATGTGGTTAAGTGCCTCTCATATCTGCAGTATATATGGTATAAATATAGAAAAACACTGGACAAACTAAAGTTATGTATGTGTCAATTGAATATTTCATAAGAGCACTTCTTGTAGAAAATAGGTCTTGACCAGAGTATGTGAAAGTTTGTGTTTATATGATTATAATAGATCAAGCAAAACTTTTTCAGTTTTGTTCAAACTCCACTAAAATTTTTCTCCCCATGTTCCATCCAGGAGTGACTAATAGTGACAAACCCAGGGACCTAGTGAATATGGAGAAAGAAGTGAAGGTATGTCAGGAATTGAGAGCATACCATGTGCACTTTTTCTTAGACCATATAGTTTTGTTTTCACAATCATGTGATGAGTTCTTGTGTTTGTTAGTTTCATGTGTCAATTTGGCTAGGCTGTGGTGCCCAGATATTTGGTTAAACAGCAGTGTAGATATTTCTGTGAAGGTATTTTTTCAAATGAAATTAATACTTAAATCAGTAGACCTTGAATAAAGCAGATTATTGTCTGTAACTTGAGTGGGCCTCTTTGAATCACCTGACCTTAGAGAAAAAGATGAAGGTCTTCCGAGGAAGAGGGAATTCTGCCTCTAGACTCTCTTTTGATTTGAGCTGTAACAACGCCTCCTCCCAGAATCTCCAGCCTGCCGGCCTGCTCTGCAGATTTCAAACTTGCAGCCCCCAAAACCACGTAAGCCAGTTCTTTAAGATAAATTTATGTGTATGTGTATGTCTATGTGTATGTATATGTGCATGTGTATGTGACTATACAAGTGTATTTATATGTATCTATATATTTATGTGTGCGTATATGTATATGTGTATGTATAAGTGTGTGTATATGTGTATATATGTATATGTGTATCTATATGTATATGTGTATATGTATGTATGCATACATGCATATTTATATGTGTGTATGTATATGTGTATGTGCGTGCATACATTACATGTGCATGTGTATGTATATGTGCATTTTATGTATATTTGCACATATTTGTGTATGTGTACATATGTGTATGTGTATCCACATGTGTATGTATATGTGTATGTGGAGGTATATGTGCATGTGTAGTATATACATGTGGATGTGGATGTACATGTGTGTATGGATGTGTATGTGCTTGTGTATGTGCATATATATGTGCAAGTGCATGCATATATGTATGTCTATGTGCATATGTATATATATAAGTATATGTATATGTATATGTGCATGTGTATATGTATGTATTTGTGTACGTGTATGCATATGTGCATGTGTATCTGTGTATGTGCACGTATATATGTATGTCTGCATGTGTATGTATGTGTGTGTGTATGTGCATGTGTATGTATATGTGTATGTGCATGCATATGTATATGTAAATGTCTATATGTATACACACATACACAGCCCATTGGTTCTGTTTCTCTGCAGAACAACGGCTAATAAGAGTTATCTGTTATTATCTCTGATGTCCAGTTGAGGAAACTGAGGCTCAGAGAGATTAAGAGACTCTTCCAAGATCAAAAAAGTGGAATAGATATTCAAATGAGAACTCCAAGCCCAGTTCTCTTTCCACTGGAGGCTGGATATCAGAGGCGTCTGGCTATAATTTATGGGAAGAGGTCCAAGCTGGGCAGCTGTTGGAGTCAGGGAATTTTGTCTACAGGAAGCAAGGATCAGGTAAGATAACTGGATCTGAGGGGAATGTCTACTCACTAAGAGCAATAAAGGGCTGTGGCATTCACACTGACAGTTCAGTGAGGTGTAGGGGCAAGATGGGAGGTGTCATAGGAAAATTGGAGTGCAGACAGAGTTTCTGATGGAATTCATGGAGATGGAGCAAGGGTGCCGTGTGTAGGGAATCATGTGTGATTAGATGAAATTGGCAGTGATTTGGAAGTCAAGTTAAACAATCGACATGTGATTTATTTCATTGTAAAGTATATATTGAGCACTCAGCCACATCATGAAACTCCTTCAGTGAAAGGATGGGAAAGGATGTGGAGCTCATATTCTAGTGGGGAAGATAAACATCAAAGAAATAATTATGCACAGAATTATGTTACTGCAGGTGCGATAAGCACTATGAAGAGAAAGCTGTGTGTATCAGGAAGAGCAGCCTCGTCTATTAGGAAAGCCTTCTTGGATGAAGTGGTGTTTTATGGGGCAGGACAATGGTTCTTAGCCTTCTTCCCAGCATGAGCTAAACAGGGGTGTCTACAGCTTACATTAAGTAGCTGTGATTTCTTCTTCCCACTGGCAGAAATAAATTTAATGAATGGAGAAAATGTCTCACTTCTAGTTTTCCTCTCATCGTATATTTTTAATCATGGCACCTGCTACTACTTCTCTGTGCTAGCACGTGACAAATGAATGAACAAGTTGCAAATGAATACTAATGAAAAGCTGGAAATAATGCATCATATTTATTTTAACAGTTTTTTTGTTATCATTACTATTTTGTTTTGTGAAGCCATGTAGTTTTTTCATGGAAACATACTAACATTATCCCTAGTTGAGATGATGGAATTAAACATGCAAGTGTCATGATGTTCCACAAAATGCACCAAGAGCCAATCCAAGGAATGCCGTGGGGCAGCAGGAGGCTGTGCTAATTTTGTGTACAGGGAGGAAAGAGGATATGAAATTCTTCCATACGCCAACTACTTCCTATGTGCCAAGACTTGTATGTGTATGATCTCACTGATCCTTTACAACGATACAGTGCGATGGGTGTCAGCAGTATTCCTATTTTGAGGTGAGAAAGTGAGGCTTAGAGAAATCCATTGACTTGCCCAGTCATAGCATTCGCATATGGCAAATGGTTTAGAATCAGGCATCCCAATTCAAGATGTCTGCGTTACTCAGTGGTCACCAGAAAATAGTGTATGTATGTATTTGTATAGATATAGATGTGTGTGTGTGTGTATATATATATATGTGTGTGTATATATATATGTGTATATATATGTATGTATATATATATGTGTATATATATGTATGTGTGTGTGTGTGTATATATATATATATATATATGTATTTATGGAGAGAGACAGAGAATCAGAGAGAAAGAGATTTCAGGAATTGGCTCACCCAATTGTGGGAGTGACAAGCCTGAAATGTATAGGGCAGGCTGGCAGGCTGGGGATTTAGGCAAGGGTTGATGTTGCAGCTCAAGTCTGAAGGCTTGAAACTGTGGTACAGGTTTTACTTTATAGCCTTAAGATGAATTTTTTCTTCTATGAGAAACCTCATCCTTTGCTCTTAAGGTCCTCAACTGATCGAATGAGGCCCATTTGCATTACGGAGGGTGATCCACTTTACTCAACATCTACTGATTTCAGTGTTAATTGCATCTAAGAAATACCATCACAGCAATAACTGGATCAGTGTTTGGCCAAACAAGGAGACACCATCGCCTGGCCAAGCTGACGTGGAAATTAGCCATCATGACATCTTCCCTTAAATTATTGGGTTGTACCTTCTAAACTCCGGTTTGGCATTGCCCAGACTAAGGCTGAACTGGAAGTACGATTTCAGACTCTGGCGCAGATGGTGGCTGGCTCATGTCTCTGTCTGTGTGAAGGGCTGACTCCCTGGGAAACACCTGTTCACCTGCCTCCCCACCCTGCTGTTCCTCATGAACTCGTTCCATCTAACTACTTTCCCAGTTACATCTTGTGTTTTTGGTCCCTGTTTTTGCCTCTTGTTCTACCATCTTTTGGTAAACCATCTTTATGCTGGCTTTTCCGACCTCACCCTTGCCCCTGGAGTGCTTACATGAGAGATTTTTTGGTTGACCTTCTGGGACTCTAAAGCCTTTCCCAGCTCAGATTTCAGAATTGCCCCTTGGCCTCTTCTCCCAGAGAAATTAGGACAAACCTTCCCTCAGATAGTCTCTCCCTTGCAGATTTCTGCATTCCGGGGTGTATGTGTGGAGGACTTTGCAGGGGATATGCATGATGGCGTAAGGGAATTAATTTCTAAAACTTCGACTTCCATATTACTATTTCCTAACGTTGATGGGCCCAAAAAGGGACCTGAGAGGGAGACTACCTTTGAACTTCCCTTTTCATAATCAACTCTTCACATTTGAGAAGAGCATGAGTCTCATGCATAGCAAATCTGATCCCCGAGGAGGTAAACCCCGAGAAGAACCTAACAAAATATGATTTATTAGTTCCTTTAATCAAAGCACCGTAATTGTTCCCCAACCCAATATTATCTCAATAAGAGATAACTTTGCAATGAAAGTTAATTATTTATGTTTAATAATTACTTATAAAAATGTAATACACTTATTATGCCTTACTGATTACTTGTATACCATTAATGATTTTAATCATAGTCATTCATCACTTAGTGATGGGAATATGTTCTGAGACATGAGGTCTTAGGCACTTTTGTCCTTGTACAAACATCACAGAGTGTCCTGGCATAGACCTGGACAGTACAGCTGACTACACAGCTGGATATATGGTATGGCCTATTGCTCTAAGCTATAAACCTGTAGCATGCGTTGCTGTAATGGGTAGTTTAGGCAATTGAAACACAATGGTAAATATTTGTATATCTAATCATAGAAAAGGTACAATAAAATATAGTATAAAATATTTTTGAAAGGGTGTACCTGTATAGAGCACTTAACCATGAATGGAGCTTGCAGGACTGGAAGTTGCTCTGGGTGAGTGAGTGAGTGACGAGTGAATGTGAAGGCCGAGGACATTAGTGTACACTCCTGCAGACTTTATAAACACTCGACATTAGAGCTACATTAAATTTATGAATTTTTTTCTTTTGTCAATTATAAATTAACCTTAGCTTACTGTAAGATTTTTACTTGATTAACTTAAAATTTTTTTTGACTCTTTCTAAACATAGAAAGAGTATTTTAAGTAATACCCTCACTCACTCACCCAGAGCCACTTACACCTGCAGTCCCCACTCAACCCCAGCACCCTGCTGGCTGAAGTCTGCGTGGAGCAGTGCACCCTCATGGACTCCAAGATGAAGCCCCTGTGGATCATGTACAGCAATGAGGAGGCAGGCAGTGGTGGCAGGGTGAGCGTCAGCCTTAAGAGGGATGATGACCTCTGGCAGGACATGCTGACCATGCAGACGATCCGGCTCATGGACGTCCTGTGGAAGCAGCAGGGGCTGGACCTGAGGATGACCCCCTAAGGCTGCCTCCCCACTGGGGACCACACAGGCGTCGTTGAGGTGCTACTCCACCCAGACACCATCGCCAACATCCAACTCAACAACCGCAACATGGATGGAGGCAACGAAGAGTTCACCCTCTCCTGTGCTGGCTACTGTGTGGCCACGTACGTGCTGGGCATCGGTGATCGGCACAGCGACAACATCATGATCCGAGCGAGTGGGCAGCTGTTCCACATTGATTTTTGCCACTTTCTGGGGGAATTTCAAGACCACGTTTGGAATCAACCGTCAGCGTGTCCCATTCATCCTCACCTATGACTTTGTCCATGTGATTGAGCAGGGGAAGACTAATAATATGAGAAATTTGAAAGGTTCCGGGGCTACTGTGAAAGGGCCTAACACCATCCTGCGGCGCCACGGGCTTCTCTTCCTCCACCTCTTTGCCCTGATGCAGGCAGCAGGCCTGCCTGAGCTCAGCTGCTCCAAAGACATCCGGTATCTCAAGGACTCCCTGGCACCGGGGAAAACAGAGGAGGCGCTGAAGCACTTCCGAGTGAAGTTTAACGAAGCACTTCCGAGTGAAGTTTAACGAAGCACTTCCGAGTGAAGTTTAACGAAGCCCTCCGCGAGAGCTGGAAACCGAGTGAACTGGCTGGCCCACAACGTGTCCGAAGATAACCGGCAGTAGCGGCTCCTCCCTGCCCCGGCCCGAGAGGAGGCAGCCGCGAGTCGTGGGGACCAGGCACGTTGGTGGTCCTAAAGGGGCTGAAGAGCCTGACCTGCACCTCACGGGAAAGAACCTACACAGCCACCTTTTTTTTTTTTTACACTAGTTATTTCTGTATGACTTGAAATGTTTAAGGAGCTAAACAGCCATAAACGGAAATGCCTCCTTCGCGCAGCGGCGGTGCTGGGCTGCTCGAGGCTGCACCTTGCTCTTGGCTGAGGAGGGTCACCCCAAGTCTTCCAGCCGGTGGATCTGGGCCCAGCAAAGACTGTTCTGCTCCCCGGGGACCTTCTTCCCAGGCCAGACTGCCTGGGTCCAAGCACTTGGCGGTCACCTGGTGCCTACTGTCCGACAGGACGCCCCGATCCTCATCGGCTCGAGCGACCCACCTTGTGCATCCTCTCTAGACTGAGTTCTGGCAGCTCCCCGAGGGGGCCAGGGTACCCTCTAGATTCAGGGATGCTTGCTCTCCACTTTTCAAGTGGGTCTTGGGTACAAGAATTCCCTCGCCTCTGTCTATTGTAAAGTGATTTTGTTTGCAGGTAAGAAAATAATAGACGACTCACCAAACCTCTACGGCTGGAGAGATCGGGCCCAGCCCCATAAAGCAGTATATGTGCTGGTCCTCAGGGCATGTTAAAGAGACCTGGGCCTCATGGAGCTCACCCTGGTCATGCATGAAGCTGGTCAGAGGCGAACACTGCCATTATCTCAATTTTTTTTTTTTTTTTTTTTGAGACAAAGCCTCACTCTGTTGCCCAGGCTGGAGTGCAGTGGCGTGATCTTGGCTCCCTGCAACCTCCACCCCCCGGGTTCAAGTGAGTTTCCTGCCTCAGCCTCCTGGGTAGCTGGGATTACAGGAGTGCACCACCACGCCCAGCTAATTATTGTATTTTTAGTAGAGACGGGGTTTTACCATGTTGGCCAGGCTGGTCTCGAACTCCTGACCTCAGGTGATCCACCCACCTCAGTCTCCCAAAGTGCTGGGATTTCAGGCGTGACCCACCGTTCCTGGCTCACTCTGCCGTTATCTGTGAGCCGCCTCTGAAAGCAGGTTTTAACAAAAGGGTGAGGCCAGATCTCTTCCAGAACCATCACCTTTGGGAACCTGCTGTGAGAGTGCTCAGGTAGCAGAAGTGTGAGAACGAGGGGGCGTGCTGGGATCTTTCTCTCTTGACTGTATTTAGTTTGAAATGGGGCAGGCTTAGCCTTAAGCCTCCAAAGGCCTGGATTTGAGCAGCTTTAGAAATGCAGGTTCCAGGGCCTCTCCCAGCCTTCAGAAGCCAACTCTGCAGATGTGTCTAGGACTGCGGGCTTTTAGCAGCCCACAGGTGATCCTAATGTATCAGCCGTGGACTCAGGACCTGCCCGGTGATGCTGTAGGTCTCTCAAAGGTCTTCCAAAACTCCACTGAGCCAAAAGTAGCCGCCTGCTCAGCAGCTCAGGTGCCAGCTCTGTTCTGATTCACCAGGGGTCCATCAGCAGTCAGTGCCACCCACGGGGCACCTCCCTCGCCACATGCCTGTTCCTAGCAAGTGCTGAAACTCACCAGACCCCCTGCGTGTTTTGAAATGGAAAAGCCGTGCGCGCGCATATGTGTTATTTATTTAAGTGCACCTGTGTGCGCGGGCATGGGAGCGCACTTTGCAAGCCGCAGCATTTCTGGTAGTGTAGAGTCTTGTGTGCCTGGAGAGAAGAATATTTTCTATTTTTTAAAAATCATTTCATGTTTCTGTCTGAGGAAGGTGAGTTCAGTATCACTGATGTGGGTAGAGCCCAGCACTTTGTGAAACCTTGAAATGAGAAGTAAAGGCAGATGAAAACAAGAAGAAGAAGAAAAAAGATTTAGGTGGGGACACAGAGCCAAACTATATCAGATCTCTTGTAGCTTATCTTGTTCTCTCATGTTTACACTTTCTTATTTTAATTTTTCCCCAGTTCTTTATTTACCAAATGGATGATTCAGGCTTCTGGCCAATTGGGAAGGTATCCCTGGGTAAGTACCAGTTGTAGCTAAAGCAGGTGGGTAGAAGTTATACCCAATGGCGGGCTGAGGTCCTAGCCTTGTTGAGGGTGGCTGGGGGAGCTCTCAATTAGATGTGCTGAGGTTCATCAGGATGCAGAGTGGGAGCTACTTCAGCTCCCCTACCAGGCCATTAGGAAAGCTACTCACCTCACAGCCTCATTGCTGACGCAGAGTTTAAGCTATTCAGGTGAGACAGGAACATCTTTTCATCTATGTGAATTTTGATATTCCAAGTAGAGAGGAATGGTGACTCTGTCTCTTGTGGAGGCTTGAATCTTGGTGGTACTCCTCCTGTAGGGCTGTGCTCACCCTGGCTTGTTCCAGGAAGGCTGTCTATAGGTCCCTGTATGCCGCATTCCTGTGGGAGAAACTCCAGCTGTGTCTGCAGTGGAGTGCCAGAGGGAAACAAGGATTCCTTTTCCAAGGTCCTTCACGATCACAGATACTACCTTCTTTTTGGGGTACAGGTGCAGACTTTTCCTACAGCACGAAGTACTGCAATTGTAACTCTGCTGTGAGAAACTTCCTACCAGTGGAAAGATCTGGAACTCAAGGTCTGCTGTTCAGATTCTTTTGTCCCACAGGGTGATCCCGTGATGTGATGCTCTACCACTTCCTCTAGGTATGGGGCTTCCTGAGAGTGAGACTGCAGTGATCGTTAATGCTCTTCTGGGTCTAGCCACCCAGTAAGACCACCAAGCTCCAGGCTGGTGCTGAGGAATGTCTACAAAGAGTCCAGTGATGTGGCCAGTCTTCAGGTCTCCCAGCCGTGGATACCAGCACCTGCTCTGATGAGGTGATTGGGGAGTGATGTAGGCTCTGAGATTCCTTGGTTGTAGATAGGCTTAGTGTGCTGGCTTTCTTGAATGCTGGTTATGTGAGCAGTGAAGTTGTCATGTGGACAGACTCAGGACCTCTGGTTAGCCAGGATATTGCAGGTGGTGGTATTAGCTGTTTTTTTTTCCTTCATGGAAGCAGTGTTAGTCTGCTGAGAGTTGCTGTTATGGCCTGAGTTGATTGGCCTCCAGCCAGGAGGTGGCATTTGAAAGAAAGCACCAGCTGTGGTAGTAGTATTTGGTTTTGAGCTTGCTGTAAGTTGGCCAAGGGAAATATTCTGGTTTCTCAGGCAATGAGTATGGCCACGAATCTCCCAACAGTTTATGTCTATTGTGTTCAGCTACCAGGGCAGATAGAGAAATACCATCAGGTGGGGGCAAGTTTAGGTGGGTCTGAACTCACAACCTCCTCGGGTGGGGCTTGCTGCAGTCACTGTGGGGGAGGGAGGGTGGTTCTCAGGCCAATGCTTTTATGTTCCAGAGGGGAGTATGGCTGCTTCTGTTGTGCGGGAGAGTTCACCAGGGGAGTGGGGGATAGCTGGTAGCAAAAGGCCTCACCCAGCTCTCATGCAGTTGTTGAGCCTGGTCTCACTCCTGCAGTGCCCCACTAACAGTACCTGGTTTAGATCCAGGCAGCCTGCATGCAGAACTCAGACCTGCCCCAGGCCATAAGCTTCCTTACTGAGAGAGCACCGCTTTTAGGCCATGCCTCTCACCATCTGGCTGCAATGGTGGGTGCCCCATGCCTGCACTCATATCTGCTACAGTTCTTATTCACCCCCAATTCTGTTCAAGGGGGATCGTGCCCATTTGAAATTATCACAAAATTCAGTTGGGAGCTTCTTTCACCCTGTTACCGCTCCTTAATTCCACTGGCTGCCATCCCTGAGGGCCCCGATGAGATATCATCAGGAATGGCTTCCCTGAGCTTGAGTTGGAGACTGGGAATGTCTACAAGGTTTTATTTGCTGCTGCTTCTACTTTATATTTTGCTCGGCTCCCTATGTTTGTTCCAGCTCTAGGTGAGGTTAAAACCTTCTCCTGTGATCTGGTTTTTCAGATTTCCCAGTGGGGACATGTGATTGGAGGCAGGTTTACCCCCTCTCCTACTCTGGGAACTCACAGTTTTTCACCTGTCTCACAGCATCCAAATGTGACAACCAATGAAATCACACATTCTCACTTTCTGTTATCATTGTTCTTTAGATGTTTACGTCTATGTTCACAAAGAGGTGAACAAAAACTCTCCTTGCGTGGGGCTTGCCGTGGCCACTGTCGGGGAGGGAGAGTGGTTCTCAGGCCAATGGGTGTATGTTCCAGGATACCATGCTGTCCTGACCACACTTAATGATCTCAATGTATTTTTAAGTGTTGTGGCATTCTGCTTCTTTCAAAGGATCTGTGAATGCTTTCAGTTTTCCTGGTATGTTCCTGTGGTGGTTCTTGGAACAAAAGTTCACAGTGTGACTCTCCACATACCATTCTGTCCTTTCAAGTGAGAGAGGCATGCTAGCCCTGCCTCCTACCTGACATCTTGGGGGGAAAAAAAGAGGATTTGTAAACTTTTACTTAAATTTGCTTATTGTCTGTTTTGAAATTTTCCTATTTTCAAACATATGAAATGATTGTTATAAAAAATATATCCAGGAAGAAGGGAGTGAAATTTTTGCGTGGCATATATGTTTCTGACAAGTTAGGTAACACTGTTTATTTCTTGGGCTTAGAGTGAATGACTTAAGAAAAATATAGTCAAGCGTAGTCAAAGATGGAAGGTCTATTTCTTGAAAGGTCTTCAGGAAAAGTGACTATTGGTTTTTAAAGATATATGCAGATCCTTTGACCTTCCTCCCGTTGAAGGATGGGTTGATATTTCCAGCCCCTTGAATCTGATTGACACTACATGAAAGATTGCATATAAGAACAGCCCAGCCAAGTCCTTGCTAAAACTGCGAGTACAATAAAATGTTTATCATAAGTGCTAATGTTTGGAGATCTGTTAGGAGGTAATAGCAACTCAAACGGTGACCACAGTTTTTTAGGTTTAACAGTAGATCCAAGTTTAAAACAGTGTTGGTTCACATCTTTGTGAATGTGAACATAAACATGTAAAGAACAATTATAATGGAAAGTGGCAATGTATAATTTCATTGGTTGTCACATTTAGATGCCACTTCTCCTAGCATTTCTGCTAGTTTTCTACAAAAAGCTAATGTCCTGAAATTCTTGTCCATATATCTAGGGAGCAGAAAGCCTCCTTGAATAAAAGAACAACAGATATTTCTCATTAAATGGGACAATGGGCCAGGCGCGGTGGCTCATGCCTGTAATCCCAGCACTTTGGGAGGCCGAGGCGGGCGGATCACCAGGTCAGGAGATTGAGACCATCCTGGCTAACGTGGTGAAACCCTGTCTTTCTAAAAATACAAAAAATTAGCTGGACATAGTGGCAGGCGGCTGTAGTCCCAGCTACTCAGGAGGCTGAGGCAGGAGAATGGCGTGAACCTGGGAGGGGGAGCTTGCAGTGAGCCGAGATTGCACCACTGCACTCCAGCCTGGGTGACAGAGCGAGACTCCGTCTCAAAAAAAAAAAAAAAAAAAATGGGACAATGAGTCTGCTACTTTATTTTCTCTGGCCATGAAGAATTGGGGTGATGGGCAGGAAGTATGTTTCTGGCAGGGTCCCCACCGACACATTCAGTGCCAGCGTTCTTGCTTCTGGATCCAGGATAACCAAGGCAAGTCTCATCGCTGAGTCCTGGAGCAGTGTCATAGCAAGCTCTGAGCAGCTCTGAGCTAGCTCTTGCAGGGAAACATCTTAGATCAGGACATGGGCAATTCCTGGGGCAAGAAGGAATTTCTTATACCCTCATGCTGAACACTGTGCTGTTTTGTGAGTATAAAGAACAATGGCGAACACACTAGTATAAGGACTAATCTTTCCAGGAGAGAAAAATGGGAGGGAGGACTTCCTAGTTCCTCATTCTGGGAAGGAATATATAAGGAATTAATAAGTCAAATATTCTCTCCTGTCTTTTTGACTGCTCCCATGCAGTGTTTCTATTTTACTAAGGTTTGGTTCTCTCCTTTTGTGTCTTTTCCATTTTTTTCTCATACAAATAAATTATTTTCAGAAAAATTTAGGAAGGACAGACATTTTGTTTGTTTCTTTCTTTTTTAATAAAATGAAATTGGTTTATCTGGACGGTGAGTTAAATGTTCATTTTTAAGATGACTTTGTAGAAGGAGAATAGAAGAAATCATAAAACCCAATTATTCAGCCATCAACTGGCTTATGATTTTGCAGAGTTCTCAGTAGAAGAGAAAAGACTACCCAGGGAACATTGCAGAATTCTAACATAACAGAGGTGGTCAGTCTAATGGGAAACCAGCTTGTGATTGTCTTAGAAATAAACATTTATTTCTGAGTGTGTTCAGTGGTGGTCAATTTTCTGTTGCACTTCATTTTGACATAACACCATGCTGTCCTAACCACACTTAAGTGACCTCAATGTATTGTTTAAGTGTTGTGCTTTGCATGGTCTAACCTGAATCACCAACACCAGATCCATGCTCCAGCGTAGAAAATGAAAGAAACTTCTTTTTAGAGAGAGAAGCAGATGTTGCCCACATCACTGCTGCTTGCGTTCCATGGGTATGACTTTAATCATTTGGCCCAAGAGCTTGGAAATTGAGTGTGTAACTGGATGATTATTGTTCTGCTGAAATGTGTAGAGTTATACTACTTAAAGGAAAAAGGGAAGAATAGATTCTGGAGAATAATTAAAATCCCTGCTGTGGACATGAAGACTATATGAACATTCTGGAAAATAATGGAGTAATGTGAGAAAAAGACCCCGGGTCCATGCACATCCATGTGTAGCAGTGCTGCCTGTTGGTTCTGCAACATCTTCTTACCTCTGTGTCTTCGTTTATTGCAGCTTCCATAACAAAATACAATTTACTGGGGGTTGAAACATCTGAAATTAATTTTCTCAGAGTTTTGGATGCTGGAAAGCCCAAGATCAAGGTCTGGCAGTGCTCAGTTCTCAGTGAGGTCTCTCTTTATGGCCTTGCAGACGGCTACCTTCCCACTGTGTCCTCACGTGGTAGAAAGAGAGTTCCAGTCTCTTCCCTTTTTCATAAGGACACTAATCCCCTCAAAGGGGGTTCACCCTATGACTTCATCTAAACCTAATCACCTCCCAAAAGCCCCACTTCCAAATATCATCCCTGAAGGGTTAGAGCTTCAACATAGGAATTTCGAGGGAGCACAAACTTTCTGTTCATAACGTTCTGGTGTGTTATATGATAGAGAATAAATTTTGATTGTGTTTGAGATAACATACATTTGCATCTACTTGTTACAGCAGCTTAGCCTGTTTCTCACATAATACATGCTCAAGTGAACATACTACTTCTGATATGGTATGCCCTCAGTGTACGGCAGAATAGGACAATTTTCGTTTAGTTCTAGAATGTTATTGTGCTATTCTATTAATGTTAATATCACATTCCCTTTGTGGAGAAAGTTACATCACACTGTTTATCTCTACTAATTTTACTGTTGAATAAAATCCATAAGTCTGTTCATCAAAAGTTACTAGTACACAAAATTTTCTCTACTATACTAGTATCATATTAGATTTTTGGACCTCTGCAAATTATCATTAGATATGTCTCACATCAGTCATATCCAGAATAGTTAGCTATTTGAAAAGGTTTAGTCTCTCCTGCTTCTCAAAGAAATGGGAAATCAAATGCATGGTATCTTACAGTTCACTGTAAAAAACATGAAAATATCTCTGGACTTAACTGGATACACACACACACACACACACACACACACACGTACACACACAGACTTACTAACTGATATGGCTTTGTGTTCCCCTAAAAGATATTTTCAAATCCTAACCTTGGTATCCTAACCTTGGTACCCGTGAATGTGACCTATTTGGTAATAGGGCCTTTGGAAATGTAATCAAGTTAATAAAGTTAAGATAAGGTCATACTTGATTAGGCTGGGCACTAATCCAATGACTGGTGTCAAAAGACAGACTAGAGAAATGGGGACACCTTGGTGAATGCCATGTGCCGACAGAAGGAGAGATTGGGGTTATGTGTCTTCAATTCAAGGAACATCAAAGATTGTCAGTAGCACCAGAAGCTAGGAGCAGGCAAGGAAGCGTCCTTCTCTACATGTTCCAGAGAGAGCATGGCCCTGCTGACACCCTCATGTGGTACTTTTGGACTCCGGGACTATGAAAGAAAGAATTTCCATTGCTTTATTTCATTAAGTTTGTGTTAAGTTGCTATGGCAGTCCTAGGACGCTTATAGGTTAACTATGAGACTTTGACAAGTTAGCTTCCCGAAACCAACTTTAGATCATCCATGAAACGGGAATGAAGATCCATGACAGCTATGTGATTAAGTGAAATAACATAGGTAAAGCATCTCACACTATTCTTAACACATAGAATCCAGTGCAATGAATGTTAGCTCTCTCTTTGCAGTCTGCAGACGGTGGGAGTGGAGAGGCCGTGTAGAGAACAACTATATTCCCATGAGTGGGACGAGGTTCCCTTCATGGGTTTGCAACAGCCTACTCACCATCTGTGAGGATAATAGGAATAACAACAACTGCCTCTATTTTTATAAACAAGAACTTGGTAGTAAATATTATCTCCATTCTGGAATATGCTTGTGTTATATATTTCCCAGTAGTGCTTTGTAATTGAAACATTCATAACAAGAATATATCTTCATTTTTTATCATATTTTGACCCACAATAAATTTTCATTTCTGAAAAATTCATAGTGTTATTACAAGAGGACTCATTTTGCTGAAAATTAAAGTATTAATATGCACTTTATTAACTAAATACTTGCTATTAAGTCAACTCCCTGTTCATTTCAAAAATATTTAAGTAATAGCATTAACATAGCTATGCAGGCAGAAGCCACAGAAAAGAACAGAAAGCAATTACTTAGGAGTAATTCCAACAAGTGTCAGACTTATATTCCGTGGAAATGGCTCAATAAAACTCTTATTTAATTATTTATTATTTCGGGGGCATAGTGACATTATGGTAATATGTGTCTTTATGGGCAGAATACTACATCTGATACAGAAAACAAAAGGAAACTGTCATCTCATGAACTCCTCTTATATGACAGACACTGCTCTAGAAGGTCTGTGTTTTTAATCCGGGATAGGTGAGCCTAATTTCTTCATTTCTATAATGGAGGGAACAATCAAGTCCAAGGATTAATTCAACTTCCCAACATGACTCACATAGTAAGTGGAAAAACTAGAATACCCCAATTTGTGTCTTTCTGACTCCACATATCTTTCTACTATAACCTGACATGAAAAGTATTCTTTATGATACAGTTTATTATTTTGAGTCCTAAAAAGAACTCTAAGAAAAGAGATGCTTTGGCCGGGTGTGGGGTCTCACACATGTAATCCCAGCACTTTGGGGGGCCAGAGCGGGTGGATCACGTGAGGTCAGGAGTTTGAGACCAGCCTGGCCAACATGGTGAAACCCTGTCTCTACTAAAAATACAAAAATTAGCTGGGCGTGGTGGCACAAGCCTGTAATCCCAGCTATGTGGAAGGCTGAGGTAGGAGAATTGCTTGAACCTGGGAGGCGGAGGTTGCAGTGAGCCAAGATCATGCCATTGCACTCTAGCCTGGGCAACAAGAGCGAAACTCCATCTCCCAAAAAAAAAAAAAAAAGAGAGATGCTTTGCTTTTATCTCTGCATATTAAGACTTACTATAAAGCATTATTAATTAGTATACTGATACATAGATAAATAAAACAAAATAAAGGTACCTATCACAAGACCCTTTCATACAAAGAGTGATGTTTTACAGAGCTGGCATTGAAGGAGAGTGAAGGAAGTATAAGGTGTTCAACAGGTACTGCTGGGATAATTGATTATTTATATGCAAAATAATAAAATGTTTTCCTACTTCATACCACACATTCAAATCAATTCCAGATGGATGAAATCCTTCAATGTGAAAGACAAAAATGTTGAAAATTTTGGAGTATCTTCATATTAACCACTAAAAGAAATAAAAATTATATTTTACTATATTAAAATTAAGGACTTTGGTTAATCAAAACATATAGTAAAGAGAGTAAAAAGAAGAGCTATAACTTTGGAGAAAATGATCATGACCTGCATAACCAAAATAATGTATTATAAGAATGTGTATTTAAATTTTTTACAAATTGATTAGTAAAGCAAAACTCTTCAGAAAAGCTGTCAAAAGATCCAGTTGTTTCATGAAAAAATAGACACAAACACTGAAAAGTGGTACAAAAAGTACACAATGTCATTAGTTACCATGCATATACAAATTAAAATTAAAAATGTGTTACTATTTAATATCCAAAAGCATGGAGAAAAGGGATGGGTTGACAATATTAAGTGTTGGTGATATATGGAGGAACAGAACCTCTCATCTCTTTTCACTGATGTATAAATTGGTAGTTCACTGACCAGTTACATAGCAAAGCTGACAGTCTGCATATCTAATATGCAGACATTTCACTCCTACTTGTACACACTCGAGTAACTTTACCTCATGAGAATAAAAAATATTAAAAGAATATTTAAGACAAAAATATATAAGTTTAATAGCAAAACAATTAAAAAACACATAAAATCTAACAAATTGGAATAGCTAAGCAAATCATGGACGTTTGCACTATGGAATATAATACAGTGTGACAATCAGCTCCTGTATTTATCAACATAGATAACTTGAGAATTTTAGTAAAACAACCAAGAAAATAATAATACATGTGGTATAATTCCATTTATATAAAATATAGCATCTTTGAAAATTAATAATGTATTTTCTTATGATGTATATGTGTGCAATAATGTTTTAGGAAAAATAAGGGAATTATTAATACAATATAAAGCATGGTAGTTATTTCAGATTTTGAGTTTTGAAAGGGGACAGAAAATCGAAGCACAGACAGAAAGTTGCAAATTTACTAGCAATTTTCTATTTCTTGAGGTAGTTGGTGGTATTGATTCTCTCATTATTATGTAAACATTAAATGCATTATCTATATACTTTGCCTGATATGTGTTTTTTCAAAATATCTTAAGATTTTTTAAAGATTCCAGAGGAACACAATCCTTCATGACACCTTTAGGCTTCTGATTTCCAAAATTTTAAAAGTGCATTTGCATTGTTTTATGCCCCTAAAAATTTGGGCACCGACAGGAAACGAATGCACATCTATATCCTGAGTTTCCCGGAGCTTCACGGCATGAATATCCAGGTGGGAAAAGATCAGCAACAGTCATTTTAATCCCGTCTCCCTCTCATTTGAAACTTTTCAGTGGATTCCTACTGGGGGTAGGGATGTTGGATACAGTGAGTTCCTCTTCAAAGGTTCCACTTGTTCAAATCCCTTGTTCTTTGTCCTCTATTTTCAAAGCCTAACTTCCTTGCCTCCTTGCCCCTAGTTACAGTAAACAGCCTTCCAGCCATTCCCAATCAGTAACTCACATCCATTCTCAATCTGTAATCCACACCCATTCCCAATCTGTAACATCCTACATCTGTTCTTTATTTGGTGCCCTTAGTTCTGAAACTGCTCTTCCTGCCGCTGTAGCCCCCACCTCTGCTCCATTTGAAGTAGCCAATCGGGATCAGCTTAGATCATGCAGTCCGACTCCAGCCAATGAGGACCAGACACAGTAGCTGGGACTGGCTGTGTTAGGGATAAAAACCCTTTCCCCCCTTGGATTAGTGTGCTCTGGCAGTGACCAGAAGAGCCAGCAGCACTCTTCTGGAGAAGTAAATTTGCCTTACTGGAAAATCCTTTTAGTGCTCGTTTTCAACTCCGAGCTCTTATTTCCAACTGGGGGATAGGAGGAGGAGGAGGAGGAGGAAATAGAGGGAAGGAAGGGGAGGAGGGGAGGAAGGGGAGAAAACCTTTGACCTGAAAGCCCAGAAGGCCTTTCCTAACCCTGGGACTTTACAGGCTTTACCTCTTCTACCTGAGAAGCTCTTCTCTTAAATTTTCACCCTGCAAACATCTACTCATCCAGTGGGTCTTGACATAAATGTCACGTCTTCGGAAGCCTTTTCTGATTCTCCAATGTTAGTTAGGGTCTCCCAGCCCCTGAACCCTGCCACACATATTTCCTTGCCTTACATCCTGTTCTTTTCTGTCCTAGAGGGCTTAAGTGATTTGCAACTGTGGCTGTACTTTTACATCTTTGTTTCACATGTATCTCTATCTTGGTAACAGACTACATCAACACCTTGTCTGTTTGGTTCACTGCTCTGTAACCAGTGCATGTATAGTGATATGATCTGGCTCTGTGTCCCTACCCAAATCTCATGTTGAATTGTATTCCCCAGTGTTGGGAGAGGGACCTGGTGGGAGGTGATTGGCTCATGGGGGCGGATTTCTCCCTTGCTATTCTCATGATAGTGAGTGAGTTCTCACAAGATCTGGTTGTTTGAAAGTGTGTAGCACTTCCCTCTTTGCTCTCTCTCTTTCCTACCCACCATGTGAAGATATGCTTGCTTCTCTTTCACCTTCTGCCATGATTGTAAGTTTCCTGAGGCCTCACCAGCCATGTCTCCTGTACAGCCTGTGGAACTGTGGGTCAATTTAACCTCCTTTCTTTATAAATTACCCAGTCTCAGGTAGTTCTTTATAGCGGTGTGAGAATGGACTTACACATATAACAATCAGTGCATATTTGGCAAATGAATAAATGAAAGTAACCAAATGAATACATGAATCTCAATGAATCTACCCTGTGTGCACCTGCAGCATGTCCAGCGTCCCGTGATCCCCCTCCCCAGTATTTCCTGCAGTCACCAATGGGTGTCCCCTGAGTAGGTGCACACTTGTTCCTATGGCATTGGTGCTGTTTAGCTAGACACAGAGGACTCATTGGGGTACTGCTCTTCTGCAAGGCATGTGGGGAAAATGCCTCTGCACTCTGCAATGCCCTTGCATGGAGGGACCTGCAGTGCTGCTGTATCCCCTCTTTCCTCTGCTTGACATGCAGCACAATGTGGTGAACTTTTATTAAAGCAACTCAGCATGTTTTCTGCAACCTGCAACACCAGGCAGGGCTCTGGCAGTTATAAATTCAAGTGGGAGACACCAAGCTGAACTCAGAATTGCCCTCTGCTTCAGAATAGTTTATGTCTGGCTCCTTCTCCCTTCAGGATTTCTCCCTAGGAGCTCTTAAATCCTCCAGCGAATAAGCCTTATAGGGCCAGCCTCCCCAGGGCCCTGGCAAGCTTGACCTTGCCTAACTTTCACTTAGTTCAAAAAAGAAGTTTTGGACACTGCAGTCAGGATACTGAGATGGGGAAATTTAAATTTCCAAAGGATAAGGTTGGTATCACTATTCAGGCAGGAATGTGGAAAAGCTGCTCTTGCTGACTGGTGAGGGAACCGGCCATCCAGGGAGAAGGAGGTTGGTCCCCTGAGCCAGGAACTTTGCCTGTGGCTGAGACCCTGTTGGACCTGGCTGGCCACTGAGTGTCACACCTGAAGCAAGTCACACCTGAGAGGGTTGCAGTGCAGCTTCCCCTCCGATCCACGAGGGAAGAGTCATTGGTTTTGTTTGTGATAAGCAGTCGGCAGAGAAAAGAGACTATGCATCCTCCTGCAGGCAAGCATGTTACTTATTGCTTTAATAAACATTTAACTATTTTTGAGAGAGCAGCACAGATAGGCAGGGCAGTTTCCCCCTCCCGGCCAGTTTCTGCAGCTGTGTCATGACTATAAAACTGGAAAAAAAAAAAAAACAAAAAACGTCAAACATGAGAGAGGTGTTGAAGTCAGCCTGAAGGTACTAAATTCCTGATAGCAGCTTGTAAAGCAGGGGGGAAATTGGTGCTGTGGGTGCTGACGATGACTTGGAGGTGCAGGGAACCAGGCACTGATGTGGAGGAGCTGTGGGCAGTGGGAGGGGAGCCGTGGGCAGTGGGAGGGGAGCCGTGGGCAGTGGGAGGGAGGCTGCACGCCAGCTCCCCAGGGCCTGTGCCTGTCCAGCAAGGAAAGCACTGAGGACAGGGCAGGAGCTTCCCATGGACATGGATGTCAGACAGCCAATGAGTGACCCGCAAGGCATGCTGTAAGTTTTCTCACCTCCTTTCTTTGGGGACATCAGGGAATGAAAAGCGATATATTCAGGGGCTTTTAAATTTGTTATAAATAGGAGACACATGGTTGGTTTTCCTAACATCGAACACTTTTCTCCACTTTACGTCACCATGATTAGTAGGACTCTTCTGAGAAATATTTTGACTCTATAATTACCAATTAGTTTTTTAAAAATGAAAGGCAGGGCCCATTTATGAAAATATTTTTATATAGTATGCATATAGAATGGAATCTTTGTTCCTCTTAGCTCTCCAATAACATTTCTTTGCAGTACTTGTCATGGATTATTATAAGTGCATGTTGTGTTTTCTGAGGAGCCTCCAGGTAACTAACCCTCTAGCATCAGCATGACAGGCCTTTTCTAGATGTTTTCTAGAAAAGCTGGAACCATAGTATGGCCTGATTTCCTGAAGATTCCTATCTAAGGCCTACTAATGTAGCCTGGGTATAAACTGGGTCTTACAGGTTTTTGACTCCAGAGACAGGGTAGGCTCAGCTGTAACCAGTTCTCATCTCCTTCAGAGAGCAGATGTGGATGGTATCTTAATATGTCCATACCAGACACCTGGCTTGTTCTGGTGAAGGGAATTTACGTGCAAGTGCTGTGCACACCTTCCGAGTTGAGGACCTTCCTGTGCACTGTTCCCCAGCACAGGAACCGGACCATGGCTTGAGAATGAGGTGATGCAAGCAAGCCGGCTGGACCGCTGATCCCCCACCGGGAAGACAGCTGATCTAGGAGTTACCTGGACAAAAGTCAGCTTTTTAAAGCCAGAAATAAAATTAATTTTGGGAAGCCACCTGAGATCATTGAGCTTCTCTATTATTGCACAGAAACTAACACATACTTTCAAGGAAGAGAGACTGAAAAATAAATGAACTGCATTTGACACAGTCAACCTAGACCAGGCTATTGACAGCCCATGTGTGATGCTATTGAAGACCAAATAATCCAGACTTAGGGAAATTTTGCAGTAATTGGGACTGAGGGTAACCATGCAGGTGGGCCATGCAAATCTCCGTCAGGGTCTCACATCTCCCCTACTGCAGTGAGCAGAGCAGACTGAGGATCTCCGTCACTGCCCCCGGAAAGCCGACCCCATGCTTTGTGTAGACTGCTCCTGGCCACTGAGCAAGCATGGCAGAGGCAGGATCTCTCTAACAGGCAAATTGTTTGGGACCCCTACACTGGCTTGGTTGAGATTTTCTAAGTAATCCACTGTGCTTGGAGGCTCTTCCTACAAAATCCTTCCTTCTCTCTGTCCCCTCCTGGATCCCAGACCCACGTCCAGGTCTGAAGCTGTCCTAGCCTGCCCCTTTCCCCTGCCCCTTCACAAGCGTTTCTCTTGATGCATCTCATGCCTGTGTAATTCTGCCTTTCTTAGTGCGTTTTGGAGGACTCATACTGGCACTGTTGTCCTACTGGGCCCGCAAGGCCAAGCTATACTTTATGTACAAGAATAATTTTCTTCTAGATGTTCCTGTGTCAATTACCATGAAAAAATTCAACCTAGGGCCAGAAATAGAGCTTGAGAAGTCAGGTTACCTCCAAGGTGTGTGGGGTGGGCAGAAGACTGAGAGGAAAACTTCCTCCCTTTAATTTCTGGGGATAAGGAATTGGTTCTATCTGAACTTTGAGGCATGACTGACTGGGGCTTTGGGGTGACGTGTTAAGAGCTACTTTGCAACATCGGTGAGGCATGCTGTGAGACCCAACAGAATCCAGTAAGAAACTCAGAGAAGATTTTGGATCTATTAAATTAATGCAAATTATTATTTTTTTACTCCTGACTTTATTATACATAGATCTTAATAAAACTTCATTGAAAATTAAGCTTTGCTCTCTCCTATGAGGAAATAAGAGGCAAGGTCATGAATAAGTGTAAGATGAAACAAGAAAGAGTTTTTCGATCCCCTGAAACCAAGTCAAGATGGGGTGACAGTTGAGAACAGCAGGAAGAAGTCTTGATCAGAAGGCGACTGTTAGGGGATCAGGGACAGGGGCACAGGGAAGCATGGGGTGGGCGCCTGATGCCTTCTAGGAGAGGAGCCTGGGAAGAAGGGCTTGCTCTTAACAGGAGGCACGGTTGCCTGAATTGAAGGATGTAGGATCAAATGACATAAACAAAGCACACAAAGATTTAAATCAGAATTGGCCTAACGTATAATTTCCTCATGCTACTCATCATGGTGAGAGCTTGCAAGGAAGATCAACTGAATTATAGAGAAACAAAACAATTGTGTTTTTTGACACAATGAGGTTGTTGAGAGTAAGTTTGTGATATTTCTCTACTGGTGCATATGCAGGTAGGGTACAAAGGAAGAGGAATAAAAAACTGTTTCATTCCAAGGAAAATATACCCCTCTGGCTTCCATAGCTCTGCCTCTCTCTTTCTCTGAGCTACAATTTTGCTTTTTGTAATTGGCTGCTCTCTACTTGTTGCTCTCCCTACCAAGGAAATTCCATTCATTTCTATCCCACACCAACGCCATTCTCTGGAGCAGAGAAGACATTTTGAGATCCCTGACCAATAGCCCTCCCCCTTGCTTTCTTTTCCACTGATAGAAACTCTTTCCTGGGACAGAGGTGAACAGACTCTGGGAAAGAAGTCTTCCTTTCCTGGCCACTCTGCAGTGAGGGGTGCCCATGGGACCTGGTTGGGTCAATGATGAAGAAGGAAAACCAGCAGGTTACTTCTGTTAAAGGTCTTTCTCCTCCATGAACAGGACTCTGTCATTGAATGAAATCATGTGGGGGTGTCAAAAGCAGCAGAAACGGCCTAATTAGTGGTTAATTTTTTCAAGCAAGAAATAGGAAAACATGGACTGACAACTTAGTGCGTACTAACGAGGTGGAATCAAGAAAGTTACTGCAAGTGGCCGGATGTGGTGGCTCATGCCTGTAAACCCAGCACTTCAGGAGGCCAAGGCGGGTGGATCACTTGAGGTCAGGAGTTCGAGACCAGCCTGGCCAGCATGGTGAAACCCCGTCACTACTAAAACTACAAAAATTAGCTGGGTGTGGTGGTGGGCACCTATAATTCCAGCTACTGGGAGGCTGAGGTAGGAGAATCTCACTTGAACCTGGGAGGTGGAGGTTACAGTGAGCCAAGATTGCACCATTGCACTGCAGCCTGGGCCACAAGAGCGAAAATCCATCTCAAAAAAAAAAAAAAAAAGAAAGAAAGTTACTACAAGCTAGGCTGGTCCCAGGAAAGTTCAGACATTTGTCATTTCTACTGTATGTCTGCAGGCTCAGGTGCTCTCCTGGTGTTGGTGGTTTCAAGCTCAGTTTGTACAATTGGCTTCAATCCATTCCCCTTAACTCCCTGAGCTACAACAGCTCCAAATGCACCAAACATTGAAGTCCCTTTCTCAGTTTTGGCCACATATCACAACTTTGGCTCAGCAAAATGTACCATCATTTGGACTTCCTACTTCTGTAATGGTTTGTGCTTACTGTTTTGATTATCCAGTGTTTAGCTGTTCTTGATAAATATCCTACCAGTTTCACCTGGTCTTGTAAATGAGACCTATGTCTTTACTTTAGAAATAAATAATTGGTTAATAAGCACTCCACTGAATGGGTGCAGGGGCTGAAAGGTCCTGAGGATGCATGTGTAGAGTCAGTGATATTGGTACATTGGCCCAAACAGGACTTAAAGGTCAGAGATGCGCATCCCAAAGCTGTGAGAGTCTTACATGCACCACAATATCATTTTTTTCAGACATGAGATGAGAATGAAATAATACGATATGGATTTTGGACATTGGTGTCATCTAGCTTATTTGACTCGGTAAAGCTATTAGAAAATGAGTTTTTAACACTAACCAGAATAATACAATACTACTTTGAAATGGTACATACTCTAGATGGTAAATATTAGGAGAATAATTTAAGACAGGAAAATCAGCCAAATGAACAGTGCTAAGTTTTAGCTGATATCTCTAAAACCAGGTAATAAAATTTATTACTCTTAAATTTATAATTATGATGTATGGTGTAATGTATAAAACCAGATACTTGATTTGGATTTGTCACTCAGGGTCTTCCTAATTTCTACATTTCATTACACTAAAAAATCTACTAAATTCATACACTATTAACAGGCTATATTGCCAAATTACCTAAAAGTTTAGAATTAAATAATTCACCAAATCCTTACATTAGTAAGACTGATATAAAGATATTTCTTAAAATAAATGGGAGATTTAGAAATTTATTATAATAATGACATATATGAAAACAAGATCTGCAACAAAAACTGAATGCATTTGGATAACTTAGAAAAAATTTATTTATGGACCACAAATATATTTATTGGCTATTCTTTTCACAAAATTGATTACATTTTGAAATAATATCTCTATTTTGATGCTTCCATAAATACAGAACTTAGGATATTAGTTCCATATTTTCTGAAAATATAAAACTTTAATGGTAAATTTTCATCTAGCCTAAAAGAAGTCAAATTCATCATGCTTATTAAGGACTTATTAGTGCCAGTCATTGCACCAGGCCAGTTCCTCTCTAGCTGTGTTTATTTAAGCAAAAGCCCTAGCCTCTCATGCTTTCTCTTCTTATATTTTCTTGTATTTACAATGGGATCGTGATCATGGGCTTGCAATGTGGTGGGGGCCTCCCATGTGAAAAAGAAGAAATTAATGACATATCTGTATTTTTGGTGAGTGGCGCTCTGTTTGATCATAATTAGGACATTTCATTTCCTGAAACCATCCGTGGAGATCCCAAAACATTTCAGAGTGGATGCCTGACACTGCATACCAGGTAGAAGATTCTCTCTCCAAAATCTCCTCTACTTAGCTCCCAGTGCCCCCTTTCTTCTTGTTTCCTGTTGCACCTGAAACCTGCTCCAGGTCCCCTGACTCCCCAGATGCCTCCCCTGGCTCCATCATTACTCAGGTACTGTGCCAACTGTTCCTCGTCCCTGCCTGTCTTTCTCCAGGGCCACTGGGCTTGGCATCTCCCAGGCCCACCTGGTTCCCCTGGGGAGAGGGAGATTGTCCCATCTTCTTTCACATCATGTGCCCCGCTTCTCCTCTCACTCTATCCTTGGCACTGTCGTGTGTGGCTCAGTTTCTCTCAGTCTCCTCCTCAGGTGGAGCCATTCTCGTTGCCTGGTCTCGCAGGGTTCTCTGTCTGGAATCTTCAATCCAGCCTACCTAAACCTCTTTGAATTGGGCGTTTTCTCATTCTTGTCCAACAAATTCCTCCTCTGGGTGGGACTGACAGAGCCCCTTTCTGATGCTGTGCAGTGGGCGCCTGGCTTCTTTGGCTCTTCTCTGTTCCTGCAGGCCATTCTTCTGCCTGCAGGGCACAGGGGGTAGTCTCCCTTGAGCCTGTCAGTCCCACACCTCGCAATCACCAGCCTTGTCTAGAAAAGCCTTTCTTGCTGAATCCTGTCCTGTGATCCCATGCTGGCTTCTGGCACTTACACATAGGGCTTTAATCCTGTCCCTGGAATTTCAAAGCATTCTCCCCTTGTTGCTTAAAGTTGTAAGTTAGTTCTGCTTGTCCTGACTTCTAGATTTCAGGACCCTATTCATGGGCCACACCCTCATCCTACCTGCATCCAGGAAGAGAGACTAGGCAGTGAAGCCTGCCTTTGATTAGACTCAGTACATCAGCTCATCATGGGCAGACGCATTTGGCCCCAGTACTCAAAGAATTATGTCACTCATGGTGGCTAAGACAGCCATGCCATCCAATGTACCTCGAGTGCCTGGTATGCAGACAGTCTGATTCCTCATCAGAGTCCAAATTCAATGACCCTTAGCCTGTCTTTGATCAGTAAACTTAATATTTGTACTTAATCTCTTCAATATCTGAGCCTCATGTTTCCTGGAAAGTACTTCACATAGCTGTCACCAGGGTTTTCATCATCCTGTCTGCATCTCCCAGGTCCTACTCTCGCCCTGAAACTAGCTGTAAGTCCAGCCACAGAGGCTGTGCAACCAGACCCAGCCAGCTAATGGGGTGCTGTCAGGCCCTTGCAAAGTGCAGCTCAGATTTTTGGTGGTGGCAGGTGAGCTGGAGGCTCTCTTAAGAACTCCTAGGACTCCCACGCCCTGGTGGTGCAGGGCTCTTTAAATTCAAACAGAGACTCTCAGAGGATATTGCTGCAGCTTTCCAGTCCATCTGGTTTGAACTGATCCTTTCAGTTCTGATTCAACTGGGCAGATGAAATCTCAGTAGTTTCAATATCCCATATTGGCAGGGCTGACCTGACTGTAGGATGGAGCAAACGTCCCCGTATGGTAGGATTTCAGAGACACTGGAAACAACCAAATGCCTTTCCTGGCTTCACCCCCTACCCACATGTCCATTATGATTTTGTATTTTCTAATTTTGCCTGAAGTTTCACCATAAAAGCTTTAGTCCTTAGGCTGAATGATCAGTGGAAGTGCACACTGAGTCATTATCAGTACTTTATACCCTTGTGAGAATAAAGAACCTGTGGGCATTTCATGTTCTTGTAATTACTCATTCTTCCTTTTCTGCAAAGATTTGATGAAGCTACAATAAAATTCAGTAACAGGGTAAAATAAAGACATTGAAAATGTGGAAAATGATGACAAAAGTAGAAAAGATGAATCTAAATGAAGTAGGTTGGCACCAAAAAAGAGACTTCTGTATGCCACGATTTTATGTTTAAGACTTTTTTTCCAAGATCAGTAGGGTAAGAGAATTTAGACATGTCTATACTGTGGATTGGCATAATGATTTTTATTTGACAGAAGAGGAAATTGAGGCTCTTAGAGCTCCACTGAATTGCCTTGTCATATATTTAGTATATATACAGCTAATATTGAAACCCAGGTCAGTCTGGCTCTAAAATTATCTCTAAACACTATGCCACTTGCTTTGAAACACAGCACTAGAAGTGAAATGTGTTGCCTTTGCAGTTTTGCCTGAGCAAGACTTGGATATAGATATTAAACAAAGGAGAGGTGTGGGCTAAATTTGGGAGATATTTCTAGTTTATATTCTTCAAAGGAAATGTAATCTTCCCCACACAAGTAATGCTTAGGATTAATCTTGCTTCACCAAAAGAAACAGCAGGAGACCAGTAGGAAGGAACACAGGTACATCACATTCCTTTCAGAGCATGGCTCAGAGTGCTGCAGCATTCATCACATTTATGCTGTCTGACTTTTTTTCTTTTTTTCAAATGCCTCATTTAAATGCTGACAGATTGGTTGGCATTGTGAATGTCTTTGATATGTAATCATAAAATGGTACGATGTGTGAAAATGTGGCATGTAAAACTGCTGCTCCTCAGACGAATTTCATGGTAGCATTTGATTGACAATAAGGGCTTGTGCAAAAAGTGATATCTGTTGAGGATGGGGGGTTCCATGTGGTATGTTGTTATTTAGATGATATTTAAAATCCTTTTTGCTCATTGCACTCTAAAAACTGAGAAAGCAGCCGGTGGAAAAGGAGAAACAACCTGTATCCTGGCCAAATTCTTCCTTTCTAAGTGGCTTGTGGGCTTGTGTTGATGATTTTTTTTTCTCTTGATCTCCAAATTAATTTTCATTTTTTGGCAAAAAAAAAAAAAAACCCCACAGTGCCAGATTTTGTACATCTGGGAAAGAAAATAATATGGTTATCTTTTTTTCCCTAACTAGCATATTTCTTTGGTTTTGATGCTAAGACACTGCAATGCACGTGATGGCTTGTCTCAGGACGCAAGGGAAAACCTATAGTGTACTCAGATTTTCTCATTGTCTTTCGTGATTCTTAGTAGCTTGAAACCCTTCCAGAGGAATTCCTGGATGGAAATAGGCAAGTGGCAACAATTTCAGCAGAATATATATATATATATATATATATATATATATATATACACACATATATATATATATATATATATATATATATATACACATATATATATATATATATATATTTTTTTTTTTTTCTGTTGGAAGATTCTAGCAAAATGTTTTGTTTCCTGGAGGGCTTTCTTGGAGAACAGGAGCCTGGTCTGACTGTGCATTTGGCATTCCTGGCTGAACAGGAATCAGTGAGCTGGCCGGTGGCTCAGGTCCTTCTGCAGGCAGGCTTCCCTTGGACAACTGCGGGGGTTTAGGAATTGAAGGCACTACTTGCTATCTTTTGACAGCTCCCTTGGCTGTTTTCTTGACTTACCTGAAAGCAATTGTCATTCACTCCGCTGATGTCTATATAACTAACAACATGCCATCCCCTCAGAAGCAAGAAATGCAAAGGTTCATTTAAAGTAACCAAAAAAAAATGTCATTTTTACAGAAATGTGGAAATGACTCTTGAGTACCCACAAAATTGTCAACTGGGATGTCCCTTGTAAATAAGCTGTTAAACATGTGTTTATCCGTTTGTGTGTGGGTGTTCAGGTTAGTTTTGTATTTTTCCCTGCTCCCTGAAATAGAATTTTAATCACAGCAATGAGATGCATTTTTTTACTTCCATTCATGTGGTAGAGGAGTCATGAAAATGACAAGCTGCACATCTCTGAAATTATTTGACAGATAGACCTTGCATCTTTCCACAAAATATCTGGGGACAAGGTTAGAGAAGGTTAAATCTTCTCCTTCCAGGTGAGAGTAGTCATCGTGTTCTAGCTACCATTTATTGAGTACCAACAAGTGCCAGCCACGTTACACGTGGAATGAATCCTAATCCTCTCGGTAACCACAGGAGATGCTGTTGTCCTGTTCCTTAGGTAAGAAAACTGACGCTCAGCAAGCTTCACTAACTTATCTTAGGTCCGCCATCAACAACTGGCAGAGTCTGGATTTAAGACCATGGTTTCCCGGCCACAAAGCTAGCGGTTGGTGTGAGCCGCCTCCTCTAGCATCGTGCCAAATGGTGCTTTCCTGTGCATCCGAATCACAGCTGCCTGTCAGCAATCCCAAAGCCGGCCACTTCACAGAATTTTTTAATTCATAAGGTATAGGCTCATAGTGCCTCCCTGATTTTAATATCTTGATTAAACAAGAGAACATAGTTTGAGGTGATTCTCCAGGAGAATAAGTTTGATTCTGCTTTAAAGTGCTTTACCATCTCTATTTGGGCTTAATGCTGAAACCATGTGGATCACAGAATTGCAGGGACGCAGTGGTGCACAAATTGTGCAAGTGAGATACAGCTCATGCTGTTTAAATTACTGCTTCTGCAGCTTTGACAATTATAAATACTGGTGCCTTTTTTTGTAGTATTCTACTTTTCTGCGGTAGTTACAACTAACCTTCCCTGAGCTATAGACAATTACTTAATTGTATTAGTCTACTTTATAAGGTGTTAAGAAGACAACTATAGCCAGATGGCTATACCTATTATCTGATAAAAGTAAATAAATTATGAATAAAGCAACTTATAAAAAATGAGATTGAAGTAGCATACTTTCTACCTAAATAGGAAAAATCAAATTCTGTAATATTGGCCTGAAAATATTTACTATATGTATAGTTTAAAGAAAAAGGTTTAAAAAAATATTTTCCAGATAAAATATATAATAATTTGAAGGATTATTTTTAGATTTCTCCCTAGTATTGTGAAATGGAAAACACCTGTGTATTTGTTTAAAACCTACTGAGCCAAAAAGTGGTTTTAGCAAAAATAGCATTAAAACTCCACAAAAGTTACATAATCTATTCTAGACTCATTTTACCTGATTACAAAAGGGGAAGATTAGTACCTATTTCAAAATGATTTTAATAAACGTTAGAGAAAATAATAAAGTGATTAGAAAAATTACATTCAAGATGACATATAAATTCCTATGCAAGTTTGCCCTATCCTACCTAAAACATAAAGCAATTATTAACAAAATATGTTATTATATATGGATATGCACTCATACGTATACAAAAACAACAATAAAGTAATACACATCTTCCTAACTTGGAAAAGAATGGGCACCCCTGATAAGCTAGCTCTGAAGTGCTGCAGTTATGTGGCCCTGAATGTAGAAACAAGAACCAGTCAATGGTGGCCAGGAATTCAACTAAAGTGGATCTACGGGTCTTTCAGATGAATTGCGCCTATATTCAGCTCACTGGTCTAATGAGTGGTGTATGAGTTTTCTCATTTCTAAACCAAGGCTGGAAATAGTTGTTACCACCAGTGTGGCTGTTACTGAGCTCTGGGCTTGGCGGGAAGAGCCACATTCACTGCAACCAGGCTAAGCCACACCCTCACTCAGGTGCCTGAACTGAAATACTGTTTGCAGATGGCTGCCCCGAACTGCACATTAATGTAAATCTAAACTGGAAAACAACCACAAGCCTTGAGACTTCATGGGGAAAGTTGAGATGGGAATGAGAAAGAGAAAGGACTAGTCAACATATTCTTTTAAACAAAAAGTGCACACAGAAAGCTGACAAGAGGAAAAAATACTGCCAAAGGGGAGAATTTACTCTCTGAAAATAGAAATAAGAAAGCAATCTGGAAATGGCTATAAAATAAGAATGGTGAAGATCTTCAAAATAATACTGGAGAGACTGGTATCCCAATAAACACCCGAAGGCATGAGACAACATGCCTCCATGCACAGGAATTAGAAATCATGAGATTAACATAGAGTCATTTGCACAATTCCTGTCCACAATATCAATATGCTACTCATCACTATGACTAGTAATATTAGTAATTATTCTTTCTCTCTTTTTCATTTACTCCTAGTGAAAAGGAAGAGGAAAAAGAAACAGGAACGATACTTCCTGCTTATTTGTTTTAACATATTAAATCATGAAAGACACATGTCAGAAGGACAATTCATTGCATGGCAGCAGGAGAAACTCCCTCTGTGGACCCAAATCCAATGGAATACACATAACTTACAAAACTTATTTTTTTAAGAAAGCACTTTAATATCTTAGAAAATTGTCCTAAGGGCATGTAGCAAAGGAAGAAATGTTTTTGTTTCTGTTTTTTTTTTTTTTTTCAGTAAAATCTACTAAATCTCAGTAAGATCTGTGAAAGTCTCTGGCATTTGAACCATGTCCCACATCCTGCTCCCTCCCTGCACTGCCAGCTCAGTGTGACAGAAGTGCTACTTGAGGTGAGTGAGAACACAAAGATCAGACTCCCTCCTTTCCCCTCTCAGGCCAAAAAGGCCAGGCAGCTTGTATTCCTAGTCCCAGTCTAGTTCCGTGTTGTGGAGGCTAAATTCCTGGCCTGTGCTGCTGAGAGGTCAGGGGTCTCTTCTGCCCAGCCCCTACTCAAAGAGCACATGCCCTACCCTGGCTTGGGTGGCTAGGATTACTGGGATAGCAGCTAAGAAAGGCAAGCAGAGAGGACCAGAGGCAGCAGCCTGCATCCAGCATCCTGCTCTTGTAAAGCAGGAATGCCACTCAGAGAGAAGCAGAATTAAAGAGAGAGGTAGACAATTCAGCAATTATAGTTGGAGACTTCAATAGACCACTTTCAGAAAAGGAAGGTAAAAACTAGACATAAGATTAACAAGGACATCAAAGACTTAAACAAACTAAAACTAAGCATATCTAATAGACGTCTTTAGAACACTTCACCCTAAAAAAACAGAATATACATTCTTTCCAGGAGCACGTGGAAAGTTATTGAGGCTACACTATATACTAGCTCACAAAAAAGCCTCAATATATTTAAAAACATTAAAATAATAAGAGATATGCTCTCCAATTTTAATGAAATAAATTTAGAAATTAGTAGAGGAAATTTTGAAAAAAGTTTCAAATATATGGAAATTAGACTCTTCTAAAAAATGTGTCAGAAAACGAGAAAAATTAGAAAATATTTTGGAACAAAAGACAATGAAAACATAATGTGCCAAAACTCACTGGGTACAGCTAAAACATCACTTAAGAGAAAAATGTTTAGCTGTGATATAGTTCAGATGTTTGTTCCCTCCAAATCCATGTTGAAATGTGATCCCCATAGTTGGAGGTGGGTCCTGGTGGGAGGTCTTTGGGTCATAAGGGCTGATTCCTGATGAATGGCTTGGTGCCCTCCCTGTGGTAATGAGCTCACCCAGGATCTGGTAGTTTAAAAGAATCTGCACCTCTTAATTTCTCTCTTGCTCCCTCTTTAGCCTGGTGCAGCTGCTCCCCCTTCATCTTCTGCCATAATTGTAAGTTCCTTGAGTCTTTCACCAAAAGCAGATGCCAACACCATGCTTGCTGTATAGCCTGCAGAACTGTGAGCCAAAATAAACCTCTTTTTTTATATATAAATTACCCAGCCTCAGGGATATCTTTACAACAACACAAATGGACTAAGATAAGATGTAACTACTTATTACAAAAAAGGAGAAAGATCACAAATCAATAATTTAACATTCCACCCTAAGACACTGGAAAAAGAAGAGCAAATTAAACCTAAGACAAGCAGAAAGAAGGAAACAATAGAGATTAGGGAAGATCTTAATGATATTAAGAATAAACAATTAAAAAATGAACAAAACCAAACATTGGTTTTTTGAAAACATCAGAAAAATTGGCAAAGTTTCAGCTAGATTGACTAAGAAAAAAGAGATTTAAATTAGTAAAGTCAACCCTCCAGAAAAAAAAAATTCTGTGAATAACTGTATGCCAACAAATTATGTATCTTAGATAAAATATACAAATTCCTAGAGAGACACAAACTTCCAAAACTGACTCAAGAAATAGAAAATCTAAATAGAACTATGTCAAGTAAAGAGGCTGAGTTAGTAAATAAGAATTCCTCACAAAGGAAAACCCAAGGATGACTTCACTTGTGAATTCCACCAAACATTCAAAAAGTCCCCAGATTCTGGAGAGGGGTATTCATGAATTCTCTATCCTGGTTCTCAGGGCTAGTCAGGTTAAAGATGTTCAGAATTTTTTTTTAATTAAGAAAAAAGAGAACATAAATCACATAAATCACAAAAGTAGAAAGTGGGTCACTTTAGAGAATGCTGTGTTGTTTTTTTCTTCCCTCTTAGATATGGCTTAGGTTTTTATCATTTACATAAGGGACGCTCTCTACACTGGGGCCTTTCTTGGCCTCTGTCCTTTCAAAGAAATTACTCAAAATTTTTTTCAAGTTTGTAAAACTTTAATTTATTCAATCAATGGAATAAATCTTTATTGGGAACCTTTTGCTTGCCAGCCACTAAGATGAAAAGACAAATTAGATAAGTACCTCAACATAGAAAGCTCACAATTATGTGGGGGAGACAGACTAATAGTGGTCACAATCATGCTACTTTAATAGCAGCTGAAACATATCCAAGGTTCACTGCAGGTGAGGCTCATTGCTGTATATCCATGGTTTTCTTTAACGTTTCCAGCTATTCTGACTTCTCTTATCCTCCCTGGACATGTGAGGAAAAAGAAGCATGAATGCCCCACTGCTATCTGAAGGCCAGACTCCTCCCAGCACACACTTGGTGTCCCATGTCATTACCATGGTATCCCTTGGAAACTTGAGTGTGTAGATAAGCAGCCATGATAACTTTGTTTTTTAGCTCTTACATTTCCTGGTTTTATAGTTTTAAAAATAGGCTTTTGCTCAGAGGAACTCATCTTTTTCCTTTGGACTTCACTCTTTCCTTAATTATCTTAATTAATGTTATTATGATCTGTCACTCATTTTCCAGTATGTGACATGGCTATTCCTCTTATTATATTCAAATATTTGTACCCCTATTAATATTTAGAAGTGCCTTGCAAAGCATATAAAAACATAAAAATATTCAAAACCATATGGTTCAAAAGCCTTAAAAGTGTGTTAGAATCTAACTGGAAATTTGAACCATGCTAGCCAGAAAAAAAAAAAAAAATCCGCTTCTCCTTAATCTTTCCACTTGAAAATTCTGATAACTACAGATTAAGTCTAAAATTAATTATCTGTCATGATTCTCTGGTAACTGTAGTTTTAAAGGCCACTAGAAACAAGGAAGGAGCCAACCTTGCTTCTTGGATATATTAGTCAAACCCATGAATACCCCCGGAATAACATATCATTGAGTTTCTCATGGCCACATTGATCCAGGGGTTTCCAAATATATCTCATGATCAGGCTGAACAGCATCACTAGTGGCATGACAAAAATGTGCATTTTAATACTACACAGCAGTTTTTAAATTTGAATCAGCAGGAGAGTCCCGACTCTCTATATCCTCTTTCTTACCCTAAAGGTTTCTGAAGAGATGCAGATACATAGCTCAGGTTGGGATCCACTGGATAAGGCAAAAATGGTGAGTCTTAACCTCTAGAAAGCCATGATTAAATAAACTCATACCTGGTGAGATGCATTTTTCACCTATCAGTACATCAACTGACTCCAGAATCTTTGTTACTGATGTTCCTTACACAAAAAGTTCTCAAAATGTTGTCCACAGACCACTAGGGAAACCAAAGACACCTGCAGGAGATTCATCAGATCAAAATTAATTTCAAAATACCACGAAGTAATTACTTTTCTTTTTCTCTATGCTGATATTTGCACTGGTTGTACAAAAACAGTAGTGGGCAAATTGCTGGTGCCTTTGCACAGTAAGAACAAACTATACTAATGTTATTGAATTCTATACTACTACACATTCACAGAAAAAAAAGAACCAGTTTTATCAAGAATGTCTTTGATGAAAAGCTATAATTATTCATCTTAATAAGTGTTGACCCTATGACCATATATTTTTAACATTCTGTGTAATGGAATGGAAAGTTTATATAAAGCACTTCTGCTGCATACTAAAACATGATAGCTGTCTCAAGGAAAAATATTTAGGCAATGATTTGAGTTACAAGCTAAACTATCTATATTTTATATGGAACACAATTTTTACTTTAGAAAGCAACTGACAATAGAAAAGTATGGATTATTAAAACAGAAATTAAAACAGAAGCAGTATCCCTGTTCCCCCAAAACAGTTTGAAGTAATAATAATAAACCAGAAGCATTTGGGAGAAATTTTCCCAAAAATAAATTGAGTGAAACTGTCATTTTAAGGACAACAAATTGCAATATTTGTCAAAGATAATAGAATTTGAGCTCCGAAGTAGAAATTAGGATTCTGCATTACAGCTTGAATCTGCCACCACGAGCTTGACAGCTTCCCGATATTTAAAGACTTCTGATGAAATTGATGGTGCCATTAATGCATGTGCTCCTCGACATTGCATAATAACCTAAGCTAACACTTGGAAGATCTGTACAAACCAGTATTTTCCAAATACCTAGTACATGAGACCACAAAATCAAATATGGGCAAAGATGATTACAAAATCAAACATGGGCAAAGATCTATTCAAACTTCAAAATAAGCAAATCTTAATGTAACAAAGTATGAAAAGTTTATTAATATGGTTTCAGATTCTACATTGCAAATAACCATTAAGAAACTATTCTTTGTAAAATATAGGTGTATAAAATATGGGTGTGGTTTTAAAGAAGAATATCTATCTACATCTGAAAATACTATTAAAATGCTTCTTCCTTTGTAAATGTGTGAGTCTGGATTTCCTTTATACTTGAACCAAAATATCCCATGACAAGAAAATAAATGCATGTATGAGAATCCAATACTATTTTATAAAGCTAGACATTACAGATACCTGTAAAATGATAAAAATGCCAATCTTTTCACCATATTTTAATATTTGAAAGACATTTATTTTTAATTAAATATATTATTTATATTTATCAATAATAGGTATATTATTGATTTTTAAGTTAATAAACATTTTTAAAAGTTTTGTAATATGTTTAATTTGTAATTTGATAAATATTGACAGACATTACCCACATAAGCAAAATCTCCTTGGGGGTCCCCAATAACATTTTTAGACTACAAAGTGCTCCTGATACAAAATAAACTTGAGAATCATTCTATGATATTTATTTGTCCTTTGTTTTTCCATCATTATAAAAAGGGAGAATACAGTGAAACTCGTTTTGTGTTTACAGGCATGTTAGATACTGCTCTGAAAACATAAGGCTTAGATTTCCCGGGATGATATTACTTTCATTGTCTTTAAAGATGCATTATCAATACATTGTCAGAGATGTTCTTGTTCCAGCTCCTCCCATAGTAAGGATAAAGGGATGAAATAGGAGGAAATTGAAAGGGAAAATTTGCTGTTCAGATCTATCAAAGTTACTACTTACCACCAGAATATGTGACTTTCATTCTTCTTTACGTATCTTCATGCTGTGTGCCCTGCTTGGACTCTTCTCTGCTTGCATCTCCGCTTGAATAATTCCTCTCATTTTTTTAAGACAAAGCTAAAGAAATCTTCCCTGATGTTGTTGCCTTCTCCTCCCTTGTATGCTGCTTTAACAACAAGTGCATTCCTATTTAATAGCATCGATTCCAGGATACTGTCATTGGAATTATGAGTTTAGTGGTTATAGAGTTCTCAAGTACCAAGGCCAATTTGCAAAAAGATTAGCTATAACTAAATTGAATGTACATCACAATAGACATTTTACTCAGATGCCTAGAATTTAACAAGCATCTCCAGGTAATTTTAATCAATTCAGAGTTTTCCTGTTCAATTCTGGATTTTCTATCTTTCTTTTATGCCCTCTGGTTTGCAGTAAAGCCTGTGTTCAGGATGTGGCAGGGACCTTGTAGGGAAGTGGTTTGATCATCAAGGACTTCCAGCTAGGTTCTGCTAAACCATACAACACGGATGCCACGGTTTAAATAACAAGGGCAAGTTTGTTATAGTGCTGCAGGTCAGAATTGTTATAGAAACTGGCTACAAAATAAGTAGGGTACATAAAAGTAGAAAGTAATATAGTATACAGATACAAGAAAGTGTATATTAGAGTTTAGTTTTGATGAATGAGGGGACTAGCTACAAATTTGGGTTTGTAAACTTAAAATGAAAGAAAACCCCAATTTTGAGATCATGTCAGATACCTAGAGGAAAGCAAACTGTGGTTCTAGTGGTGATTATTTCAGACTCTGCATCTTAGTAATTGCAACTCTGTGAGTATGCAGTATATGAACTTACTGCAATCCACAGAAAATGATTCCTTCTGCAGCCTCTGTCTAATAAAAGGGATAGAACTGACTTTGAAGTGGCGAATCTTGTAATAAATTGAATTCTTCTGCAAGTAGCTTTTGGTCATTTAGAATTCACTTTGAATGTGTCCTATGTATTCTCATAAAATACAGAAACCTGGATGTCACTGTAACCTTAGGGAAAAAAACTGCACACTGAATAAAGTTGTGATTTAGCAATTTTTCTTATTGTTCCACAATCACAGGCACATTCTGCAGAGATAGGCAGTGAATGTCAGACTCACCCATCTCCTTTCAGCTCTTCAATCAGGTAGGCATTTTGGAAAACATCAGTTTTCTAGGAGGGCCCTTCGATAACTCATTCTGTTCTGAAGACACATCCCCAGCTGATATTCACTCGATGTGTTTATGAAACAAAATTGATTAAAGATACAAGTGGAAAGAAAAGAGGATAGAAAAGAAGGGTGAGAATCACAGAAAGACTTGGCTATTTAGGAAAATCCTTTTAGTTATAAAGGACCATCAGAATCTAATGGTTTTCTATTGACCTACCAAACCCAATCTTATTTGCAAAATGTATAATATCTTCAAAATAAGTGTCAACAATAATAAATGCAAAACGTAAAAAATTCCTGTGTAGTTGACACTTGATCTATAATCTTCTCTCTTTCTTGGTTAACTTTTGCTGTTCTATAGCAAAAGTTTAGCCATCCTAAAACCAAGTGGCAGAAGATCGCCTCATGTAATAATATTGCTTGTGGTTTGTTGCATTGGCTGGAAGATGGCTGATTTGGGACAAATGTGACTGGGCACCTCTGCCAAGGTAGTGCTCTTCCAGGGAATTTTAATCATCCTCCTGGGATGAGCAGACCAGACCGTGTGTTCATCTCATAGTAATGACAGAAGTATGAGAGGTCAAGTGGAAACACATAAGCCTTCTCAAAGTCTCAGCTTGGAAATGACTCCTTATCATTTTCTTCTCATTCTGCTGATCAAAGCAAGTCATCAGACAAAGCCCAAATCAAAAGGTGGGGGAACATTTTCCACTCTCATGGGAGGAAAGCAACATTCACATCAAATGACATAGATACAGGAAGGTGTGAGAAACTAGTGCCAGTAATAGAATCTAGAATATGTGTATATGCCAAATTGTACATGATTATCCCAAAAGACCACTACTAATAAACACTTTCAACTGCGGGAAATATGTCCCAATACTTTGGAAAACCACAGTACAATTCAATTCCAAATTGACAGAGAAGTTGGTGAGTGTGCCAATACAGACAAGATGGAATACTCTGAAACAGCTGCAAGAGTTTTGGAGAAAAGGAAAACAAAAACAAAGTAAAAACCAATAGCCTTACGATACTTGGGACTGATCCAAGGAAAGATCTTATATTTACTTTGGGACACAGACTGGTAGACAAAGGAGAGCAGAGGGGGCATAGGTCAGAGAGAGCAGCTGCAGAGGAAAGCTCACCTTCAGTGACAGAAGGAAGCTAGGGAATTCGGCAGTGGAGGCAGAGAAGACAGGACAGGCCAAGTTTCACATCAGATTGTCAAAAGCAGGCATGGACTTTCCAGCAGGTGGTGTTAGCATTGCAACAAGACATGAAGGGCCATGCACAGGTGGGACAGGTGTTTATTTAGCTTTATTGAGCAGCTATGATATGCCAACAGCTTTAGAAACACTTTCACGTAGATGTTTTGATTCCAAGCCCCTTATGGTAAAGTAACTTAGAATCACAAAACTGTTAGTTTATAAAGCAAAATATCAGTTCCTATGTGTTTGATTCCATAGCTCATGGTTGCATGTAGTGTCAGAGTCCTAGACACAAATCAAAAGTGCCCATGATGAGGATCATCGTCGCCCAAACCTGGGTCTAGAGCAGCAGCCGAATAAGAGACATCTGGAAATCCACATGTGAACCTGGGATTGGTTTCAGCAACACACTCTAGTTACTGAAGTTGATTTTCTATGTTCAAGTCTGATCAGCAGCTGTTAGGTCTTGATACTCAGAGTTCTGAGCTGGAGTTTCTATACCCTGTAGAGGGCAGATGGGCAGAACCTTGTAGGGTGTGGGGAGATTAGGTCTAGAGAAGGTAATCCTGTTACTCTAAATGTGGACAGAAGGATGGTGGGGGCAAAAGTCTAGAAAGTTTATTTTATTCCAAAAAGTCAGTCAGAGCAAACTGCAAAGAGAGTTAGTTGGCCTTCAGGTCTTCAGCTAATTCTGGACCCCTTGTCTTGGCTGCTGTCTGTGTGTCTGTGCTTGCTAGCCCCATTTCATCTAAAGATGGAGTGAGCGATGGGCATGAGCGTGCAAAGAAATGAGATTGCTGCCATCTCTACATTCTTTTCTCTTTCTCCTTATGTCTGCTTGAACATTCATCTCCATAGCCATAGTGCACTGTCTCTGTTATTGACTTTTTAAATTTATAAAGCATCTAATTGTTTTAAATTTTAAACCCGATTATTTAGATATGTTTATCTCTCATTATTTGTCTCCCGGATCCATTTGTGAAGAGCATATATTAAATTTTAAATAAAACTTTAGATGTATTTATTTCTCAATGAATTTCTGTTAGTTGTCGCTCTATAACATTTAAGTCAGCATTGTTAGAAGCAAGAACATTTTTCAGCTATAACTTCTTTTTTTTTAGCCAATATATAATGCCCCTAGTTGTCACTGATACATTTTCTGCCTTGAACTGTATTTCGTAAACTTTGATTTTGCTATTTCTGCTTAGCTTTGATTAATCTTTTTCTGTACCTCATTTAATATGCATTTTGCCAAACTTTCTAAATCATTTTAAGCGGGTTTTTTTTTAAATAAAATATATCACTGGATCCTTTAATTGTTATAAAATCTAAAAATAAATCAGCTTTTAGTTGACAGATTCAGGCTACTATATTGTAATTAGTTATACTACTACTTATTACTGACACTTAATTTACTAATTTTTTGCACTTTTAAATTCTTTTTCTTTCCTTACTTTCTTTTGAATCATAAAATCTTATGGTTCTAGTTTAAATGTTATATATTCAGTTTACTTTCACTGATGTTCCTAATATCCTAAGACACAATATCCCTTGTGTACACAATTTTGTATATGTCATCCTGCTCACAACATGCCCTAAGCACTGTCTTACCTTCTAATATTAATATGGTCTAAAATTTTTGTTTTAGAAAGTTATAGGCTTTTAAAATTTGTTTCTTTCTTTTATACACAACTGTAATCTTTACTAAGTTATTTGAGCACACTTTTTTTAAACATCTGGCTTCATCCTCCTAGATTTATTTGTATTCTTATTGGGATACTTCTTCAAAAGTGTTGTCAAAATGTGTCTTTGTGTTGTTAATCTTAAAAGAATTATATGGAAGTTTGATGGTCTCAACACTTTGAAATCATTACTCTATTGTGGAGTGTGGATTTAAGAGTCATTTGTCAACAGAAATATACAAAGGGCCCATTATGTTCATTTATCTTGAGAAAATCATCATGGAAGTAAGTAAGGTACCATCAAATCACATCCTGGCATAAGACCTCAATCAAGTAGCAACTATCATTGTTCAATCCCTTTAATGAATAAATGACTTTCAACTCAGGAAGACAGGTTAAAACAAAGATAATGAAGTAAATCAAATGCACAGTGAATATAATTAATTTTTGTGTGTAAGTACTTATGTTTAATGGGATGTCATGATTTCAAGATTTACAAGAAAAATATACTTACAATATTTTATAGATTCTCTTTTTTAATATTATGTGTTTTGTTTGTTTGCTTTTAAAATTTGATTTATAGGAGTTGTTGAAAATGCCTGGAAGACTTTGGGGTTTTACATCTACTCTACCAGGCACTTTAAGTGCTAAGAGGAAAAGCTATATATGCTACGTTTATGAGTGCTGATTTTAGATTGATGATGGGTTTAGATGAATTTATTAAAGGAACTGATTGTTAAAAGGAATGCAATCTGTGCAGCTTCTGTTAACAAAACATTGGTCCAAAACAAGGAAAAGGAAATTTACTAATTTTAAATAAAATTACTAATTCTACAAATAGAATTATGATCGATTTGTGCCAAACTTACGAGCTTGAAAAAAGTTTTCAATTTTGTAATATTAATAGATTGAATATGATATAAAACACAAGTAACTATAAATAAACCCATCACCAGACAATAAAAGTAACAGACTGACATGAAATGTTTGCTAAATGGTTCTATAATATTTGCAAGACAGCATGAACACATACATACAATTATGTACATAGCCACAATATCATGGATAATCTCTCTAAATCTGTGAACTTTCTTTCAAAAAAGCAGGAAAATAAACACTAATCCAGGGACTATTGTAGACTGTAGGTTATCTCATTCCTTCTGTAACTGGCTTGATATTTCTTCAAAATGCAATTTGCTTATGAAGGAGACTAGCAATTGAATGATGTCTTGGATTGAATCGCTAGAATCTACAATGAGGAGTGTTATAAAAATTTCAATGCACATTTTAAGTAATTCAAACCTTAGGTCTTAAGAAGGAAGCAATTAACAAAGACAGACTTAGTTGCATCTTTATGTTCTTGGGTACCATATTATTTTGTAAATCAGGATCTAAATTTATTTGCTTATGATCTCGTTTAGAGTTTTCTAAATATTTGGAGCATATTTGGCTTAAAAAATCTCTTACTTGCTATAGAAAGCATTCCCAAATTTATGAATGGAGTAAATGGAGTAGGCAAATGCCTATTCCTCCCACTAAGAACAAATAAAAACTCGGGACGTTATATATATACAGTCATCCTTTCATATCTGTGGGTTTTACATACATGAATTTAACCAATTGTATATAGAAAATACTCGGGGTAAAAAAAAAAAAAAGAATGGGTTGAAGGGAGTTGCCAAGATGGCTGATTAGAGGCCCCTAGTGTGTGCCATTCTCACTGAGAGAAGAAAACATGGCGAGTACATACTAGACCTTCAGCTGGAAGATCCAGGCGGACACTCTGGGATTCATCAAGGAGAGAACGGAACCCACAGAGAACGGAGAGGAGCAAGACAGGATGACTGCCCAGGAGTGGCCCGCAGCCAGGGGAGGCTCCCCCACCCCTGGTGAATGAGAGTTGAAAGAGTCCTCGGGGACCCACGTGCGTGCCATGGACCCTTGCAACCCTAGGCTCAGGAGATCCCCCTGTGAGCCCATCCCACCAGGACCTTCAGGGTGCAGAGCTCCGTGGAGTATGGGCAGAGCTGCCACTCAGGCACATGTGCCGTCCTGAGAGCCTTGAGTCCCTGGGCATCCCGGCATTAGTGGCTGCAGCAGGGAAGGTTAGCCTCCCTTGCACACCCCCAGGAAAGGGGCCGAATCCAGGAGGCTGAGCAACGACTGACTGCCAGCCTTGCCTCCACTGTACCTCACAGGGTAAGGCCCAATGGCCTGGAACTCCAGCCACTCCCCACCGGGGCTCTCGGGCTAGCAGCACCTCTGTACCTCCCTGGGACGGAGCTCGCCGAGGGAGAGGCAGGCCCCTATTTTGGCTGTCCTCCAGCCCTCGCCACTCTTGCCCTCAGGCTGTGGAGGATGCACGGTGACTAGCGACTGGCATGGACCCCAGCACACCTGCCCCACGGAAAACCTGCCAGACTGTTCTCCAAGTGGATCCCAGTTCCCAGTGTCCCTCACTGGGCGGGGCCTCCCGACCAGCGACTCGTGCCTCTGCCTGAAGACCTCAGGTGGAGGTGGCTCTGTATTTCTCTACGGAGGAAATCCCAGAAGCAGCCCACATCCCCTCCGTCATTGCAGCAGCAGTGGTGCCGCCCCAACCACCCTCAGGCTGGGGAAGGACAAAGAGCCTGGTCGCTGGGCTGGCACCTCCAGCACACTCCAACCCAATACAGAGATGAGCCCAAGTTCTCTTCCCTGTGAGGCCCCACACCCCGCCATTCTTCAGCAGGCGGGCCCCCCACCTCAGGACCGCAGATGAGCCGCCCGCCTCCCAGCTGAGCACACCCACTGGAGTTTCACTGGAGCTCTGAGTTTCACTGGAGAGGGGCTCCCAGAGGCAACCGATGGTTCTTCTGCCACAGCCACAGTAGAGGTCCTGCTGCTGCTACTCTTGGTCTGGGGCAGAAACAAAGGGCCCTAGGGTTCTGCTCTGGCACGCCACAGTCACCACAGGGAGAGCCCAGTCTCTCCTCCCCGTGAGCCCTCCACCCCTGCTCTTCACCAGGAAGAGCCCCCAGCTAAGGCCAGCAGACAGTGTTCCCAGCCCCTGGCCGAACATTCCCGGTAGCAGAGGCTCTGCGTTTCTCTGAGGTGGCCTCCCAGAGGCCACTGAAAGGCCCTCTGCCACTGACACTGCAGCAGTGTTGCCCTTGCTGGCCTCAAGGCTGGGGAAGGAGCAAAGACCCTGAGAGCATTAACCACACCTCCAGCAAGCTGTAGTTTCCCTGAAGAGAAGAGGCCGGTCTGTCTTCCCCGTGACCCACCTGCCCCACTGTATCTCACCAGGCAGGGCCCCTGGTTTGGGGCTAACACACAGCCACCCTATCCTGGAAAGGTTGCATTGATTGATGGTGGCTCCACATCTCCTTTTTGAAGATTTTTTAAATCACCATTAAGTTGTGGTTTGCTAAACTTCTTAAATCTGTAGGTTTATGTCTCTTGCTCTCTGGCTCTTCCCTCTTTCTCTTCTCTTTTTGGACACTAGTATTAGATCTTTTGTTCCATAATCTGACTGAGGTGGTTTGGATCGTGTTCCCACCCAAATCTCATGTCGAATGGTAATCCCCAAAGTTGGAGGTGGCGCCTGGTGGGAGATGATCAGATGACAGGGGAAATTTCACATGAGTGGTTTCACACCATCCCCTTTGGTGCTGTTCTTGGTTATTGAAAAGTGTGCAGCACCTACCTGCCCGCCTTGTTCTTGTTACAGTCGTGTAAGATATGCCTACTTCACTTTCACCTTCTGCCATGATTGAAAGTTTCCTAAGGCCTCCCCAGAAGCTGTCATACTAACTGTGCAGCCTGCAGAACTGTGAGCCTGTTAAACCTCTTTTCTTTATAAATTACCTAGTCTCGGGTTTTTTAGGCAGTATGAGGATGGACTAATACACTGAAGCTCTGTTTCTTTACTCTGTCTACTTTTTCTCTGCTTTTCAGGTTGGTTGGGTTATTTTTATTGTTCTGTCTTCCAGTCCACTGCTTATTTTTTCTGTCTCCTTCATTCCACTGTTGAGACAATTGACTGGTTCTTTTTAATCTCAGTTATTGTGTTGAAAATTGAAAAGTAAAAACTTTTAAAATTTTCATTTGGTTCTTCTTTATGTCTTCAATTTCTTTGCCGAGACTTTTTCTTACTGAGACTAAATTATTTTTTCATTTATTTCAAGCATGTTTGTAAATAGTTCACTATTTTCATGATGGCTGCATAAAAAGCTTTGTCAGATAATTTTAAAATTATTGCCACGTTGCCACGTTGGTGTTTTTTGTTGTTGTCGTTGTTGTTCTTTTTTAATCTATGATTTTTTTTTCTCATTGTGTCTGAGAACTTCCAAGTACTTGGTAGGACCTGTGATTTTTCAACTGAAACCTTGACCTGCTAGGTGTTATGTTGTGAGAGGCTGGCTCTTATTTAGTCCTTCTGTTTAGCTGACTTCCCCTGAAACCACCGCAGGAGAAAGGTCTGTGGCACCTCAGTGCTGCCAGATAGGATGGAGACCCAGATTCTTCTCTTGCCTCTGTTGACACAGGGAAGGGAGAGTACTCCTTGTTTCTGCTGGGGGGTGGTGGGAATGCCGGCTTTCCTCTAGATTTCCACTGGTACCTCCCTGTCTTGGAAGGGAAGAAGCACCTTATTACTGCTCCCCACATGGCCTAGACTTTCTTCACAAGAGGGAAGGCCTCATCACCCATGGGCAGTGCTGAACGTCCAGGCTTTGCACTTGGCTTCTGATGACACTACCCAGGGAGGAGAGGAAGGAATGCCTCATTACTGCAGAGTGAGCAGGAAAGGGAGTCCATGCTCCTTACCTGGTCTCTACAGACACCTTGGTGATGGTTGGGTGAGAAGGGGCTTGGGGCCTTGTAATTGCCCGGTAGAGTTAAAAGTCCCAGCTCTTTTGGGGTCTTCTTTGTTATCCCCTGTCACTCTCCTGGTGTGGGGGTTCAGGCACTTTGATGGAGCCTGGAAAGAATGGAAGTATCGGTTTTCCATGTAGACTTTGCTGGATTGAGTGGCCATGGGACTGCAATTTTCTGAACACTGTGGTGTTCAGCTGGAGAAGAGTGGTTATTTTCAGAAAGTTTTCTGTCTTACTAGGTTGTTTCTTTTGAGCACAAAACCGGGGTTATCTTTCGCAAAATTGAAGGCCAGGGATCTTACCACCATATTGTTCTTTGAGTCTCAGGATCACTAGCTGGTATGCCTTCTCCTCTATACCTTTCGGAGTCTTCTTTTTCTTCTTCTGCTTAAATAATGTATATGATATTCAGGGCTTTAGTTGTTCTTCACAGTGGGAACAGGATAAAGTACATCTATTCCATCTATTATGTCAGTAGTATATCCTGTAGCAATATTCCTGGTATGTGATGGGTTGCTTTTCTTTTGATGTTTTCAAGATTCTTCTTTGCCATTGGCTTTTGACGGTTTGATTTTGCTGTGTCTAAGTGTGTATCTCTAAGTTTATCCCACTTGGAATTTGTTGAGCTTGTTAGATGTGTAGAGTAGTGGTTTTCATCAGATTTTGGAAGTTCTTGGCTATTATTTCTTGGAAAAGTTTTTCTGCTCTTTTCTTTCTCTCTTCTTCTGGAACTACCAGTAGGCTTATATTGATGATTGATGGTGTCCCAGATTTCTATAGGTGTTCATTTTCCTTCATTATTTTTTTTCTGTTCCTCAAACCAAATAATTTCAATTAACTTATCTTGAAGTTCATTGATTCTTTCTTCTATTAACTCAAATATGCTATTAATCTACTGTAGTGAATTTTTTTATTTTAGTAGTTATACTTTTAATTACAGAATTACTGTTTTTTTAAAAAAATCATTCTATTGGTAATTGCTTTGATGAGACATAATTCTCAATGTATTATTTAATTCTTTAGACATGGTTTCTGCTAGTTATTTGAACATATTTAGAATATCTGATTTAAAGTCTTTGTCTAGTAAATCCAACATCTGCAATGCTTCAGAAACAGTTTCTATTGACTGCTCTTTTGAAATTTATTTATTTATTTATTTGAGACACAGTCTCACTCTGTTGCCCAGACTGGAGTGCAGTGGCACAATCTCGGCTCACTGCAACCTCTGCCTCTTGGGTTCAAGTGATTCTCCCACCTTAGCCTCCTGAGTACCTGGGACTACAGGCATGGGCCACCACGTCTGGCTAATTTTTGTATTTTTAGTAGAGGTGGGGTTTCACCATGTTGGCCAGGCTGGTCTCAAATTCATGATCCCAGGTGATCCACCTGCCTCAGCCTCCCAAAATGCTGGGATTACAGGCATGAGCCACTGAGCCTGGCTTGTTCTTTCTTTTTATTTTCTTTATTTTGTGTGTGTGAGGGGTCATATTTTCTTATTTCTTTGCATGTGTTATATTTTTGTGATAAAACCTGGACATTTTAAATGATACTGTGTGACAACTCTGGAAATAAGATTCTCTCCCTTTTTCTAAAATCTTGTTTTCATTGTTGTTGCTACTTTTTGTTTGTTTAGTGATTTTCCTAGACTAACTTTATAAAGTCTGTATTCCTTTTCATAAGTGGCCACTGAAGTCGATTTTTGGTTATCTTAGTGGACACATGATTATTCGACAGAGATTTTCTTAAAAGTTTTGGATTTTGAAATCTTCCAGTCATTGCCAAAAGGCTTTTGTGTATGATGGGGCACACCTTCAACACTGTGGCAGTTTATAGCCCTGCTTAATCTTCATATCCTGCTTCTGCAAAACCTCAATGGCATCCAGAGATAAGACATGGTCTCTTCAGGTCTTTTTCTGGGCATGTGCACAACCCAGAACATGTGCATAATCTTCTAGATCCCCAGGGATATGCTGGAGCTTTTTAAAGCTCCCTATGGACATGCCTTTTCCTAAGTATTCATCTTAAGATTTCTGGCCAGAGTCTTACTTGCTCCAACTAATACCACAGCTAAAGCAGCTGCTATGTTCAACAATCACTGCTGATTGTTTTAAAAAATGCATTGGTGATAGGACTTTTCTTACTGAGAAAACCCCAAGTCAGGTTAAATAACAGTAAGAACTGATAATGGGGTTTTCCAGGGAGGTGCCAGAGAAGTCACATAATGAAAATACTTTTTGGATGAGTTATTTTGAAGTGTCCCAAACCTAGTATGTTTTCTCTCTTGACTGCTAGGTTGCTGGCATTCATAGTTACTGTGGTTGCAAAGTTGCTGGTTTTTAGGGCTACTATAGACATGGAAAGTATAAAGAGAAGAAAGACAGTTAAAACGCTACAAAGTTCACTGCTGTTACTGAGATTCAGCATTTTTCTTAAACTCTTCTTGGATTGTTGCCAGTGTTTGGTTATTGTCAGAGTTATGAAAGAGTTGACATTACTAATTTTCCCTATTTTTATTGTTGCTTTTCTGGAGAAATGGATTTTTGATAGTCATTATTCTACAGTTCCATAAATATCACTCTCTCAATAAAATATTTTTAAACCAAAATCTTTAATTTTGTGATGTAGCTTTACAGAAAATTTGAAGGGCTTTCTAATATTATAAGAATGTAATTTTCTCTTCTATAATTTACTTACTTTTTTTCTCATCTACAATTTGTAAAAGGTTTTTTTTTAACCCTCTTGTAAATAGCATGAGACAATTATGCATTTAAGCATATATTAAAGTGGCTATAGCGTTTTGGTTTCTGATAATGATTATCAGCATAGACTGCTAATACTTCATTCTCTGAAATTCACCTTGGAGAAACAACAGTAACAGCAACAGGCAACAGAAAGAAGGCAAAGGAGGCTTTTACCTGGTATATACTTGTAGAGGAGTCTCAGACAACAAGAGTGAGTGAGTTTATTTATTTTAGACAGAGTCTCACTCTGTCACTCAGACTGGCGTGCAGTGGCGCTATCTAGGCTCACTGCAACCTCTGCCTCCTGGGTTCAAGCAATTCTCCTGCCTGAGCCTCCAAGTATCTGGGACTACAGGCACACACCACCATACCTGGGTAATTTTTGTATTTTTTTAGTAGAGATGGGATTTCACTATGTTTGCCAGGCTAGTCTCGAACTCCTCACCTCAAGTGATCCACCCGCCTCGGCCTACCAAAGTGCTGGGATTACAGGCATGAGCACTGCGCCCGGCTGACATCAAGAGTTTAGTAACAAGAACAGAAGGTAGACTGAGAGACCTTAAATTCTGGTATCGTATCTCACTGTGTTATATTGGGAAGTTCATTGCCTACCTTTTTGCCACTGACAGGAGAAATCCCTTCCCTTCCTTCCCCCCTCCCTCCCTCCCTTCCTCCCTTCCTTCCTTCTTCTCTCTCTCCCTTTCCTTTCCCTTCCTTTCCTTTCCCTTCCCTTCCCCTTCCCCTTCCCCTTCCCTTCCCCTTCCCCTTCCCCTCCCCTTCCCTTCCCCTTCCCCTTCCCTTCCCCTTCCCTTCCCCTTCCCCTTCCCTTCCCCTTCCCTTCCCTTCCCCTTCCCCTTCCCTTCCCCTTCCCTTTCCCTTCCCCTTCTTCCCTTCCCTTCCCCTTCCCCTTCCCCTTCCCCTTCCCCTTCCCTTCCCTTTCCTTCCTTTCCTTCAGACAAGGTCTCACCCTGTCACCCAGGTTGGAGTACAGTGGAGCAATCGTAGCTCATTGCAGCCTTGAACTCCTAGGCTCAAGATCCTCCTGCCTTAGTCACTTGAGTAGCTGGGACAGCAGACATGCTCCACCCACTGGCTACTTTTTGTACTTTTTGTAGAGAGAGAGTTTCAGGGATTCCAGGCTGGTCTCAAACTCCTGGCCTCAAGCAATCCTTCTTTCATGGCCTCCCAAACTGCTGGTATTACAGGCATGAGCCACTGCTCTGGACCAAGACTTACCTTAATTTTCCTTCCTTCTTTTCTTCCCTCCTTTCTTAATTTCATTTTATTTATTTATTTATTTATTTCCTTTCTTTGTTCTTTCATTCTTTCTTCCCATCTTTCTGTCTTTCTTTTTTTCCTCTCTTTCTTGGATTTGAAATTGCAACCTCATTAATTTATTCAAAACTTTTTTTTAGACTTTAACTAGTTCTGTTTGGATAAACGGAATTCTACTACCCCAAAACAAGTTGCAAACAACTTTTCTCAATTAATCACTTGACTGCCCTGTAAACTGATTCATTATTTTTCCACTTTTCTGATCTCAGTTAGCAACCACTCTGCCAACATTGCAATGTCTTTTCTTCCTGAATTCTTCTCATTGGATGTAGTATATGTTTTGTCCAATGACTTTCCTGTATGTTAAAAAGTCACATGGCTAATCTTCTGTATATTTATATTTAGTTAAATATTTAATTAATTTAATATAATAATTTAATATTTAATTTATTTAATTATTGTTAGTGTTGAAATGACAATTTGTTACATACTTGATACATTTGTGGTAGAGTTTTAGGCACTGAAAATACAAAATTGAGCAAGATAGACAAGTTCCTTGCTCATATAGACTTCAGCCTAGTAGGGAAGACTGATGACCAAATGATTCTATAAATTATAATGAGGAATCCAATAAAGCTTGCTTTGAAGGGAGAAGGAAGAGAGTGTGAGATTCAGCACATGTTCTAGGCTCTTGGTATATTATATAACTCCCTTTGTCCTCCTATTTATCCTGAAATATCATCTTATGCCTACTTTTCCTTCTTGTAACCTTTTTTTTTTCCTTTCAACCCATGGAAAAATTTTATAGGGTCAGAATTTAGAATTAGAAGGGCACTCAGAAACCAGGTGTCTTCATTTTAGAGTAGAAAAATACAAAAACAAAACCAAGAGTGAGGTGACTTGCTCAAGATCCCACAGCTAACAAAGAGTAGAACTGTCTTCTAGGGTCTTCCACTCATCAGACTCCACCTGTGCGTTCTTGTCCTCTGTTGTCTGAGCACTAGTGTAGCATAATGTGGACTTAAAATTTATTTGATGCGTACCATTCTTCCTCCTCATCATTAGTTTTTCATCATGTGTACATCCTTCAGTTGAACTAGAAGCTTCCTCAGCACAAGAACATACTTTTTTTCCTTCTTTTTAATGTACCAATCTACAGGAGAGTTTCTTACTCCCCTCTGGGGTTTTGCCAGTTTTCAGGAAGATTTAGATTTGCTCCTAGGCAAATTTCCTCATCTGTAAAGCAGAGATAATAAAAAACTTAAAATAGTACTTTTTTGTTTTTATTTCTGTAAACGAGACCATACATGTAAAGTTTGTTGTTTAATGCCTGATGTTCTGTAAGTGATCGATGATTATCAATGAAATCTGTTGCTGTCATTTAATCAATCCTTTGCTCATTCAAGGTTTATCTTATGTAATGGGAACCAGTTCTTTATGTCATTTTGTGATTAAATTCCAACTTATTCTTCTTTCCAGTCTTCTCAGTTGCAATTAATTATGTGTTTCTTATTAGTTACACAAGATTTTTCTTGAACTTATATTAATTCAAATAATTCATTTTTATCTGTGTTGGATTTCCAGATTAAACTATAAGCAATTCAAGCTCAGAAATTATAAATTATTCATCTCAGCATTGCCTCAATATCTACCTAATATTTTTTACAGATGGGTGCTAAATAAATGCTTCCATAATAAGAACATGTTATAATTCATTTGTTTAGTCATCCATGAAACATTCATTGAGCACCAATATTGTACCACTCTTTGTACTACTATTTATTACAGAATTATTAAAATAAAGAATACTGATGAATTGTTTTAAATACATCAATGGAAAAATTAATAATAAAGTTGAGTACTGTAGACTCAATCTAATAGCTAAATATCAAGCTCAGTTCTACCTCTAAAAGGTGGCAGTGATTTGAGATCAGAAGGTGTCTGAATTTGACTTCCCATCTCCACTATCTGCAGAGCTGGCAATGACTGAAGAATATAGAAAGCATGTCACACCTCTCTGGAATGAGAAGTGAAATACTCACGGAAGATGAAGGCCCTTCAGAGCTAGTTCAAGCCATTGCAATAATCAGGGAAACAAATTAGTATCACCTTTGTAATGCTATGTACTCTTGCCTACTGTGGTAGAGAACCTCCTTGCCTGTCTAATGTATTCAAAGCTTTTTATAAACATTAAATTGGTCTCCCTCTATAAAAACTAAATCCTCCTGGCTGGAGAGAAAATCCATAAATCACAAAAACAAACCATGAAAATAGATGAAAAAGAGAAAGAACCCTTCTTTAAATGTCTTAAAACACCTTCTTGTATTTCACCTCTGCGGCTGTTTCTATTTTGTGTTCATCTCTGGTTATTGGCCCGTGAGGTATCGGTTTTACAATTTTTGCTAAGGCCATGTGTCAGCCTTTCCAGTGTTGGCTTAGAAATCTTAGAAATGATTTAAGAGAAGAATTATCTTGGGAAGCATATCTTCAATTTAGACCCCAAAATAAACAAGAATGGGGTAGGTGCAGCCTTATCAAAAGCAAATCACTCTTAACTGCCTAGCAAGCCTACACAGAAAAGGCCCTTTTGTACATCTCCCATACAGACTCTTTTTCTCTGTTTATCTTACTTCCATTTTTTGTTACATGACTTTCTCACAGCTTTTTATGATGGGCATATGTGTATATTTAAAATGTGCTAACGCATACTTAAACACCCCAATGTGTTACATTGTGATGTGCATTCAAAGCGTCATTAAAATAGCGACAACAAAAGGCTAACTACTAGAAAAGCCCCAAATTTCAGAATTAGCTAGGTTTTTTTTGAACTGGTGTTCTCTTCTGGCAGTAAGTAAGAAACACACCAGGAAAATATTAATGCTTGCAGGATCTTCTCCTGTCAGATGAATGTGTCTTTCTCTTTGTCCTATTGATTTACAGGTGCTGAAAATGGGGGACACATTTCAAGGCGTACAAGTAACAATAGCTCCCGTGAAGAAGCTTAGTTTCAGAAAGCCTTTCTGGATGAAGTCTAGGTCAAATTCTTTCCCTTGTGTGTATCCACTGGGCTTCCTCAGAAAGCGGTGACAGGCACATTGTCAAGCTGACCTTGGCTGCCTTTTGTCTTTGGGTCCTTGTCATTCAGCTAAGACTTCATTCCCAATTGCAGAGATGAGGTCTAGGCAGCAGCAGGGAAGAGAACGGCAAGCCTGAGAGGAAGCCCCTTTGTCCCCTTTTGTTAGGAACAGGCAGGGAAGAAATTAACTTCCTCACTTGTAGAGTGCAAATGGTAATGATGACTTCCATCAGAGTGTTGTTATAAAGAATACTAGGAAGGGATTGTAAATTCAATGGGAAATGTTTATTAATTAAATGATAACAAATGTTGCTTAGAAACTGGCTGTGTTTTCTTGGTTGGCAGGACAATAGGTTCATTTTTTCTTCTCTTGGTTTTTGTAAGATTCACTGTTAGCAAGGAAATATTTGACTCTTCCTTTTGTCAATTTATTTTTCTAGCCCTATGAAATGTAGCTCTCAATGGTAGGGGCCAGCGACATAGTCTGACTTATCGTATATGAAAGGAGGACCTTCAATGCCAAGGACAAGCACACAGAGCTCCATGGAGACCCAGAGGCCACCCGAGGGCTGGGGCCCTGCCTCCGTGATGACGGGAGATGGCTTTCATTGCGGGGCCATCTGCTTAGAGTAGTTCACCAGCAAAGAACCATCCTCTGCTTCCTGGGGGCTGGGAAATGGAAGACCACAGCATATAAGGTTTCATAGTAATCGAGTAGATCATGCCCCATTAGTTGGATGTTAAGGTGCAGGGAGATATTATTGAAACAGTGTGAGAATTTTATTTACAAGGAAAATGCAGACCTAGCCAACACCCGAGGTTTAGAGAGTGCTTTACAGCCAGGACAAAGCCTCTTCAGGGAAAGGAGAGTCAATGCTTGGCAGACGCTGTTTTAGAAGTTTTTGTGTTCATCTCTGGTTATCAGCCCGTGAGGTATTGCTTTCACAATTTTTGCTAAGGCCATGTGACAGCATTTCCAGAGACCCTGCCCATCGAAACTGCTTCCCTGGTCCACCCTTGTGCTCTCTGTAGCGTCACCCTTCCTGTGCCTGCCTCACTGTCCACTTTCTGTGTAACTCCTAACCAGCTGCTCCTTACCGCAGGCCTCCTATGAACTGCTCCCTGTGCTGGCTTTTTAGAATACTGCAGCCAACATTTGCAGTGGGCTAGTTCTCTCCTATTCATGCCAACTACCTGTTTCACCCATGCCCCCTCCCCTCACTGCCCCTCCACTACTTCTCTTTTCCCATCTCTTCATTTCTCCTAAGCCTGGAATGTTTTTTTTTGGCTCCTGACCACTGACTCTTGGCTTCCTGAATTTGGCTATTACTTTCTTGTTTGATGTAAACTTGGAGAATATCCTCTCCAGGAGTTCCCTGATGAGCAGTCCCAACCAATAGAAAGCAGAATGGAAGGTGGCACAACCAATTCATTGGCCCCCAGGAGGGACTGAGGCTGCTGGCTGTTAATTTTCCAGAATATCCAACCCCTTACATTTTCCAAAAAATTCATTTTGGATGCCAGAGACTTTCTCCCTGGCTACTTTGTAGGATTAGCTCTTAGTTTTCAGGAACCATACTTTGCATTATTTACTCTAGGACACGTTGGAAAGATCACAGATTGAAGAATTAGACCTGTGTTCAAATCTGACAAATTGATGCCATCGCTACCCGAGCCTGACCCTCTTTACCTTAAAGTTAGAGTACTGGTATGAACGCCAGAATTCTATGGTATAAAATAAAGCCGTACAGATATGTCATCCAACCCAGCTCAGTTGCTCAGTAAATACTCAGTCCCTTCTTCATCTTTCACATTCTTGTAAAACCGTGCTCTTCAGAATGTTTGCGTGCTGGTAATTTTGTTTTATTCATGCTCTGTTTTGATTCTTTGGCCTGAACTTTTAGTTTAAACTTTTTTTATTTTTTTTGGCCCATCTTTCCTCCTCCAAACGAACACATCATTAAGGAAAAAGAAATGTTCGGTGGTTTTAGTGTGATTATTAATAAAAATAAAATATTCACATGGGGATTAAGAGGAATTAACATGGGCCTAACACTGATCCACACTTGATCACCTATTATACTTTCATGCCAAAGATAAAGAGGACCTAGGGAAATCCTTCCTCTCCCTGTGAAAGTTTATTAAAATGATGAATGAGGTTTTGGTGGCAGTTAAGCAACTCTGAAGTGCTCTCTCGTGGACAAACTCCAGTCCCCTGCTTGTTAGAGAGCATTCTGGTGAGAGGCGCTGGCTTCAGCACAAGCACATCAGGGCTGCACTTGTGGATTACCTGGGGTTGTCAAGGTTACTGAGATGCCAGGATTTTTGGACACAGAGTATCCCAAAACTGCCACTGGATAATCATAAATATTAGACATTCTGATTCCTCCCTCTGCATGGATCATTTTCTTCAGATTCATCTCAGGAGAAACAGTCAATATATTAATTTTCCTAATGGAACACAACACTGACAAGGATTAATGAGGAGGCTTCGTAATGGCCTCATTTTCCATCTGTCCCACAACACTTACATTGTATTCACAGGACCAGTCAAAACTAGGAAACAACACTGCTTTCTATCCTTATCATTAGCTTCTCAAAAAGCAGGAAGGCTGCTCAAAATTCACTTTCAAACATATAGCCACAAAGTATATATATGCATTTTGGAGGATCTCTGGGCAGTGAGTTTTGGTATATTTCAAAAATAACAAGATGCATCCCCTTTCTACATTCTTCTATAACACTTTAATCAGAGGTAAATGCCTCATCATTTTCTATCTAGTAGCATAAGAATGGTTGGCATGCTTATTGTTAAGCTTCCAACCTATGCCTGCCTTGAAGAAAGTTCACATTTTGTGTGTGACTTGTCTCAAGCTTTTATACCATTAAATAATATCCCCAAGCATATTTTACATCTAATATAAAACAGCAATAAAATGCACTTCCCCAAGTTGTTGGGGAGATAAAAATAAGACAAACTAATTGGAAAGGTGAGCACCCTTCCAGCATTTTAGTTATAAAATTGTAACAAAAGGGCTTCCTCACTTCCTTGTTTACAGAGTTGAATAAAAATAGTTGTTCTGTAGACTGTGTGAATGTTTCAAATGCAGGGGCATTTGTATCCATTCACCTGTGAAATACCCCATCATACTAAGAGCTATGATGGTGATGCAAAGTGGGTAGGTATGGCAGGTCAATGGGGAGTTAAAGGAAGAACAAACTGGTGAGAGACGTTAGACAGCAGTTATAGGACCTCCTGTTGTCTCACCATTCCTAGAAATTGTGCTATCGTTTCCAGTGATCAAAGGTCTCACCATTTTACTCAAATCTACTTTATATCTACACACCATGCACTAGATTCCTAATAGTAATGTACCTTTGCATTGTTCCTCCTGTTTAATATCAATTCCTATAACCACTGCCTAATCCTTCGTTCTTACAATATGCGTATTATCCAGAACCTGCTCAAATGTTTTCCCATTATCCAGCCGTCCAGATATTAGCATCCAGAAATCAACTCTCTGTACTGTGAGCTGGTCTAACTGCTTGTGTGTGTATGCTTTACATTTAGAGAGTATTTATCCTATGATGCCTAGTAGTGTAATTTACCTGCATAATGTTCTTTAGTAGAAAACAGTCCCTTAAATTTGTATCTTCTAAAGACTTGATTGCTAGAAAGCCATGATGTGAGGAAAAACAAAGAGAATTTTGCAAACCAAAAAACTAGATCTGAGTTGGGTAGTCTCATTTGAAAGGCTATAGACCTTGTAACCCAGGGCTTAAATTCCAGCTCCATTGGTAATAAAAAGCTATTATGCATTATCTATTTGAGACTGAATTTCCTCATATATAATAATGTAATAACACATATCTTGCTGGGTGATTGCGAAGATTATGTAGAGTAATGCATATAAAGCACCTGGCAACTGCAGACACAATGAAAGGTGGCTGTTATTATTCCACTTACTGAGCCATGGGGCTGGGAATTAGTTCTTGTTAAATTTGTGCTCTCTACTCGGCATTTTACAAGTTAGTTTTCATAATTATCATGGCAACCTCATTTTACAGATGAGAAAGCTGCATCCCATAAAGGGTAAGTCATATATCCAAAGTCAGTCTGTGCTATGACTTGCCTAAGCTAGAACGCCAGCCTGGGTTTGGACCCCACCCCTTCCTCTGTGTCATGTGGCTTTTCTAGAAGGTTCTCTTAAGTCAGAAACAGAACTATGAAGGCCTTTCCCAGGACCAGCCAGGCAGCCACATTCTGAATCAAGCCGGCTTTCATTCATGTCCACCAGTCACATGCCCAGGGATGCAGCTCATGTGTCCTTACTCCCCATGAAAACAAAGGGCCTCTTGAATGCTGTGAAGCTGACCACCTCTCAATGTTCTGAACCATGAAGAAATAGCCTAGTGCCTGTGGGCACGCTAACATTGTGGAGGCTCAAACAGGGGTACCAAACTGTGAAAATTTTCATTGTTTGTATTTAATAAGTTAATCCCTTAGTCTAATCACAGAATGTTTGTCACACTACCATTAAAGAATTTTAGAATCAGAGTTCATTATTGTCACAGAGTGAATTTTATGCCCCACTCCACCCCCTGCCACCAGAAGAAGATGTATCAGGGTCCTCACCCCCAGCACCTCGGAATGTGACCTTATTTGCTAAAAAGGTTTTTATAAAGATAACCAAGTTAAAGTAAGCTCATTAGGGCAAGTCCTAATCTAATATAACTGGTGTTCTTATAAAAAGTGAAAATTTGGAGACAGTGGCACAGAGGGAGTGTGATATGAAGAGACACAGGAAGAAGATGGCCATGTGCAAGCCAAGGAGAGGACCCTGGAGCAGAAACTCCCTGGCAGCCTCAGAGGAGCCAGCCTGCCGACACCTTGATCTCGGACTTCTGGCCTCCAGACTGTGAGATGATAAATCCCTGTTGTTTAAGCCACATGGACTGTGGTACTTATTTTATGGCAGCCACAGCAAAATAATGCAATTGTGTGCCAGAGGAAGAATAACCCAATCATGTGACTTAGTGTAAAGTGACATGATGAGTGACTCTACTTCCAATTGTGCCACACACCTTTGTTATTACACTGATAATTTACCTTAACCTTAAAGAGTCTAAATATTAGGCCGTTGAGAATGTGTAGCCTGGTGCATCTCATAGTGACAGGAGGCAGCCAAATGCCTAGGCAGATGGGATGGGTCCCCAGTGAAACTCACCTTTGAGCCGGAGACAGTCCCAGGTAAATCCTCCGACAGGATTGAGAACCTGCTTTCCCGTTTGGCACACTTTCCTCTGATTGATTCCTATTCTTTACCTACTTTACATGTCCCTACTCTTTCCTAATTGGTTTTCTACATGGTCATGTCCACCTTTGAGTGGTGTCTTCACTTTAACCTTTTTCACTTACTCACAAACCAATCAGCATACACTCCCTGTTTTGAGCCCATAAAAAGCCCTGGACTCAGCCATATTGGAGACTTTCCTGCCTTTGAATAGGGGGGACCATCCACGCATCCCCTCTCTGCTGAAAGCTGTTTCATCACTCAGTAAAATTCTTCTCCACGTTCCTCGCCCTTCAATGTCCAGCGTATGCTTGTTCTTCTTGGGCATGATATAAGAGCCCAGGAACCACAGGACACAGGTATAAGCTATAACACAGTTGAGCTGGGGCATGCCAGCGTGGCCACCCCTGGGCAGCAGTGTCACTGGCCAGGGGTCCCCGGCTTGCAAAGTGACCAAAAACAAAAATCCTGCATCACATCTACACCTGACAGAATGCTGAGCTATGAGCAGCAATAGCAGACACATTGTCTTCAAGCAAAACGTCCCTGAAGCCACGTACAATTGCTGTCTGCATTTAGACTCCACCGAAAGCTCTTCAGTGGGTAAGTTCAGTTTGTAGGTTGGCCTCTAGTCCATGTTCATTTTTAGGTTCATGGATTATTCAATACAGTGGATCACAATGTAGAGCAGAGTCATGACAGCTGTTTGTATTGAAGTTTAGCTGCAAGGCCCTGGGTGAGTCACACTTCTCTGCATCTTTGCTTCTTCAGCTCTAGGAAGGCTTATTGCTCCCTATCCCATTCTCTTCCCTGGAATTTGTAAAGCTAAATTGGCCATGCAATGTGAAAAGACTGTGTCCTTTGGAAGACAAAGTTCATTTATGTACTTCAGACTTCTGGATCATTGTAAAGCAAGGTTTTTTTTTATTTTTATTTATTTATTTTTTTTTGTGGAAATTCTTTTCAAAAGAGAAAAAGTCAGTGGAAACCCAAAACATATGAATTCAAACCTGAGCAGAAGGCCTGGCAGGCGATGTCATCTGAGAACAAAGCAGCCAGCATCCTCTCTCTAGAGACAAAACACATTATTTCTATGACATGCTTAGTCTCCATCTGCTCAGAGAAAAGGAGTGAATCTCCCATATGCCTTACCATTGGGCCATGCCTGCCTATGACAGTGGCTCTCCCTACAATGCAGAATTGAACATTAAGTAACTTTAGGCTGCTCTAATGGAAATAGCATATGGGTACTAAGTGAGTGAAAATAAATGAATACCTTGATTATTTTGCTCTATTTTTGTGTTGATAAAAGCGACTGCCACTAATCACTGATCAGTTTCTAATGATTTCAGTAAATCTGTTTTTCATTTTTCTGAAGAATTCTCAAGCAATACCCATCATACTCATTGTTGAAATTATATACTCATGAAAAAGAATTTAAATACTCCCAATTATGTTATATGGTCATATTTTCCACATAAACATAGGCATTTATTTCCTCTAGCAGTGCCCAGAGCCAGCACAATATGTAATTTGCTAGGCTATTTGGCAACTAAGAATGATTAAGACCCTGCTGTTTGCAGTTAATATGGTGTATAACTTGAGTTTGAGGCCAGAAAAGTAAGTAGGGCTGATACTGGACTGTTCCTTTGTTTGTGAACGTGAAAGTTTTATGTGTCATTGCACCTAGTTTGGTAGAATATTGCTACAGAAACAATAAAAGGAAAAAAGAGAAAACAGTCATTTCACTTAATACTTGGGTATTCTGTTCTTAATATTTGTAGTTGATGGCAAAGTCATTATTTTCAGGGGAAATGTTAGGCTCAGGTGGCTGGAGGACGTGTTAGTGAGACAGGACATGGTAGGATTTCCCCTTGCTGCACAGCTGCAAGCTAGCCCTGACCACAGACAGCATCCCTCATTCTGCACAGCCATGTTGCAAAAGCTCCTTCTGGGGAACAGAGGAGATAAGGTGCTCTAGTGTCAGATCAAGACAAACTCATTCGGGAAGATGAACTAGAAGCAAGAGGAAAGTTACAGACAAAATTGAAGAATTTGGGAAGCATTTAAAATGTTTATAAAATTCATGGATGGATGCCAATTTTTTTTCTGAAAGAGCAGTTCTATAGGCCTTCAAATTTAGTTATCAAGGAAAGGGAAAGTTTTGGATGAGATACAGAACAGGACTACAGATAAAGAATATTTTCCAGGGCTTAGTCTACAAAGCATTGTTTACTGTCCCTGAAAACTTTTCAGGGTACAGAGAAGCCACCAGAGTGAACAGACAGAAGGGGAATGGTCAGGGCAGCTAATCAGATGACTCACGTAAAGCTTTGTAGTTAAGAAGATGAATGACATTATGTGACCATTGAGGTCATGAGCCCTGTGGTCAAGAGTGTAAACCCTTACAGGATCAGAATTTCTTGCCAGCCTCTAGTAGACACATGTGTTGGAGAAGCTCTGGTGAAGCCGAAGATTGTGTGTTTAGGTACAGCATTCCAAATACAAAATATAATGAATTCAAGATAAATATATGATTTGACTTGTCAGTTAAAAATTTGTCTTATACTCTCCAGGATAATGCAGCAAAACAAACAAAAAATCATGTACCAGGAAAGATAGAGAAAAATACGTGGATGGTAGTGTACCAACAGTAGCTAGTAGCACTCACAATTAAGGGAGAGTGAGCTGGACCTACGAATGAGGACTAAAATAGCACAGATGGCCTCTCAGCGATTCCAGAATCCCCATCAACTCTGGGTACTATAGTAAGCATTACTGCTACTACAATTAAGTCTGATCATTTCAGTATCTATAGTTAGGAATCAATGCAACACATAACTACAGTCCAAAATATGCCCAAGTTTAGTTTCATTTAAAAAGTGTTTGAATCAGGGATAGATGAGTTATCCATCTGGAAGACACTCAGGAAAGACGGAGGAAGCAGTGACACTGGTATTACCATAAGAGTCACCTTTGCAGGTGTCCACTTCAGGTGGAGTCACTGCTTAACCTTTAAATTCTCAGCTCTAATACATCTCTGACCTACACCCTGGCTCTGTGTTCTACCAGTTGGTGCACTGAACCTGCTATTCTGTCTAGTTTGGTTCATTTAAATTTGACATGCCCCAAAACATTAAAGGGTAAGCCTCTCTCTCACAGACAGTGGGCTATTGGAATGCTAGATGTTTCTTTTCAAAGAGCATGTGAAGAGTATTATTAGAAAGTAATTAGTCCCTGACCACATCAATTTTCTTTGGGACCAGAAATGTCACCTCCTCTGAGGATTTGTGGAAGCAGAGGCAGGTGGCTGCCTGAAGAGCTGTTGTATAATGTGCTCTAGCTGCAGGGAGAATCGGAGAGCCATGGTACAGGTAGACTTTGAGCTCTTTGACAACTCCAGAATTTTATAAATCTATGTTATCTTAAGCAAGAACATTTTTTTTTATTTTTCCCGGACAGTTCCAGCTACTTGATTTTGGCAATGGTTTTAAGAATTCCAAAATACAGCTCTGGACTTTTGCCATGACTTGATTGTCTAGGGATGGACATGCTAAGAACCTGGGATTAAAAATGGATCCTGAATGTAGCTGAATGTGTCGTGGGTTGGTTTGTGGAGCCCACTGAGGTTAGCTGCAGACTATGCATGGTCTAGAAGGCCACTGTGTGGCTGCTTCTGTGGCCCACTGTCCTTTCACCTCTTCATCCTTGGAGCTTCATGTGTAGACGAGGATAAAACAATGACCCTGTGCTCACTCTTTTCAGATACATGTGCACTATGAGGGAGAGTGAGGTGTGCTAGAACCATCAAACAGGCCGCACATACAGTTCATTTAAATGACCACATAAATGTATTGATATAAAGATACTCTGCTCCTTTGGTAACGTAAACTATAGAAATTCAGGATAAAAGAGCTTAGGTTATTGGATCAGGTTCTAAAAGGTGATTCCTTTGGAACTGTTCACACTGGGGGAGATGAGAATTATAAGCTTCCAGCAAGATCTCATAGACTGTGCTCTCTTCAGTATTTCCACCATCAAAAATCAGGTATCTGTACTTGGACTTTACCTCTTCATGCCTTCAAGTTTGGAAGGGAAATTTTACCTATCTGATGAAATCATCTCTTTTTATACAGGCTTCTAGGTGTGAATATTCTACCTGATTTTTTTTCTAAAATGCAACACTTTTAAGGAATTTATTTAAAAAATAAAGAGTAATTTGCACTCTTGGGGGTCTGTACTTTGTGGAAGGCATAGAGACAGGTCTTGTGTGGCTGGTGCTCTAGCCCATGGGAGTTTCCTATGGAACTGGACATGCTGGACATAATCCCCAGCCCAGGAAGCTGCTCTCTGCCTGGAGCACATAAACCTTCCTGCAGGGAGGGCTGTGTCCTTATGGTGTGAGGCTGATGTCTTGGTGGGGTAAAACCACATTTCTCTTAGGTACTGGAAACTACAAGAGGAATCTCTATGTTCTCTTTAATTTATTGGGCTTTTAAAATATAAGAAACTGACTTCCGGTCAGGCGTGATGGCTCACACATGTAATTCCAGCACTTTGGGAGGCCAAGGTGGGCAGATCACGAGGTCAGGAGATCGAGACCATCCTGCCTAAAACAGTGAAAGCCTGTCTCTACTAAAAATACAAAAAATTAGCCAGGCGTGGTGGCATGCACCTGTAATTCCAGCTACTTGGGAGGCTGAGGCAGGAGAATTGCTTGAACCTGGGAGGCGGAGGTTGCAGTGAGCCGAGATCGCACCCTTGCACTCCAGCCTGGGTGAGAGAGCGAGACTCCGTCTCAAAATAAATAAATAAATAAATAAATAAGAAATTGACTTCCACTAAATCAATTTAAACATGTCCCTGAATCAATTGTATGTCTCACTTTAACTTGAATAAACAATTAGATTAAGACATTGAGAAATAAAACCCCCAATAGTAATATAATTTATCTTCAGCCCTTACTAGTATTTTCTCAATGTAACTCCAGTCTTGAGCTGCTGTTCACAGAAAAATCTGAATCTTGAGTCACTGGAAGAAAAGCAGTCTTCTTTGTCGGCAGAGCTCCAATTATCTGCTATCCATGCCTTGGTGGGACATAGATTTTGACCTGGGGCAACTGTAAAGCTCCTGCACATAGTGAAGACAAGGCTGGGTGGTGCTCTTCTTAGCACCCTGGTTGTTCTACTTGGGTTCTGGAGAAGTGGGGTTGGCATAGCTGTGAGGCTGATGTTCCTTATCGGAAAAACACCTTCTGATTTTCTTTGACCTCTCATGAAAAATATTTTCTGTGGTATTTTTTTTAAAAATTATTGCTTGTTTGCTTGCTCTCTGTTTCTCTTTCTCTGTCTTGTTTTATTTTTAAGTTGTTACTTTTTCACTCTGCCATTGGCCATTTTCTGAATATTCCAGTAATCCTCAAATTTATTTATTAAACACTCTCCATCATAACACTGTTACTCTACCTGAGGTTCAAATTTATTAGGTTGGTGTCAGAAAGAGCTTGATTATACAGGGACATTTTTATTTTACTTGGGTAGAATTTTTAGTACAGAAGAAAAAACCTTGTTAAAATGACATAAAACATTACTTTTCTGCATAAGACACAGTAAATACAGATGCCACTTGGCATATTATGGGGTTATGTCCTGATGAACCTGCCATGCATTGAAAATATCATAAGTTGAAAATGCATTTAATATATCTAACTTTTAATACACCTAACAATCATAGCATGGCCTAGTTCACATTAAATGTGCTCAAATCACTTAAATTAGCCTACGGTTGAGTGAAATAATCCAACACAAGGACTATTTTATAATAAAGTGTTGAATATCTCATGTTATTTATTGAATACTGTACTGAAAGTAAAAAACAGAATGGTACAAAAACAGAATGATATAAATTTCTGTATGAGTACACAAAGAAGAGTTTCTATTGAATGCATATGGTTTTCATACCATCTAAAAGTCAAACCATTGTAAATCCAGGATTGTCTGTATTTGGGATCACAGCACTTTTTTCATTTTATTATTTTGGTATTTTTTGAGACGGAGTCTTGCTCTGTCACCAGGCTGGAGTGCAGTGGCGCGATCTCGGCTCACTGCAAGCTCTGCCTCCCCAGTTCACGCCATTCTCCTGCCTCAGCCTCCGGAGTAGCTGGGACTACAGGCGCCCGCCACCACACCCGGCTAATTTCTTGTATTTTTTAGTACAGACGGGGTTTCACTGTGTTAGCCAGGATGGTCTCAATCTCCTGACCTTGTGATCCGCCCGCCTCGGCCTCCCAAAGTGCTGGGATTACAGGCGTAAGCCACGGCGCCCGGCTGGTCTTTCTTTTTAAATAACTGCACTTATTGGTAGAAAACAGAGTTGGAAAGATAACCAAGGGCATGGTGAGTATAGGAGAGAAAATGTAACTTCATAAAGGTCAGTAATGGAGTAAAATAATTGATTACTGGAGATAATTTCAATTTTTAGATCTCTATATGTTATATAAATCGAGATACCAAATAGATTCTAAAATTAACGTAAAAATCAGCAAATATTCTGTCATTCCCAAATTATGACTGCCTTACATCGTAAGCGCTATAGTAGTCTTTTCCCTGGTTAGTTTTAAAAATGATAGAAAAATATATAAAATGTTATGGTAGGTGTGGCCTCAATGCTGATAACAGAACTTTGTGTTCATCATTTTATTTAAATTGTAAAACTAACCTTATGAGGGTCATATTTATATTTTCAAAATGCAGATAAGAAAACTGAGGCTCAGAGAGGAGCAGTGCCTGGCGGTGTCATTGAATGAGGGAGAGGCTGAGCTGGAACTGAAACTCAGTTCTTAGACCTCAAACTAAGAAGCACTCAATGTCTCCTTGCCGGCAAGCAGGTGATTTTCATTGTGAACCTGTATACCCCATGCAGTCCCACAGAATCCCACATTCTGAGGTCCCAGGCTTAATGAGCTACTCTCACTGTCTTGTAATTCCTAGCAATTTTAGAACAAGGCTTCATAGAGTGGGATAAGAGAAAAGAAACAGTAGACATTATGCTGCTCAATTGTGAGGAGTGAGATGAGGATTGGAAGTTGCCATTGGCCCAGAGTTTCTGCTCTGAAGAAAAGAGACAAAATCACAACAATGCTTCCCTTGGAAACAGTTGATTATTTGTTCTTTGAGAGCCCAGCTCTAAATTTGCACATTTTCCTGCGTTATCAAACTCTGGAGACCTCACGATTTGAAGAGGCCTGGGATCCTGTACCATTGGGATAATTGTATTTCCATATTCAAGCAGAGAACAGGAGTAGCACAAGTACTCTCTGACATTGATTAGTATTCATTTAACAAGAAACAAAGAGGTGGCAAAAATCTCGAAGGGCAAACTGCCCTTGGAGTGTGTTGCCATAAAAATCTTGTGTCATTGAAAACAAGAAAAGGTATCTAACAGATCTTATGAAGCAAGAGGAGTATACCCTAATTTTTCCAGAGTCTAAAATTATAGGTCAGTTTTATTTTGGAGTATACATATTCCTAGTAACATATTGAAAAGTTGGTTTTCCTAAGGCAAAATTTAACTGAGTTGGTGCTTCGAGGAGAATGTTGCCATAGCTGGTGCCATATTGGATACTCCAAATGCCATTGTTTGAAAACTCTGGACAACTGATTCAATGTAGACAGAAATGAATTGCAGGTGTTTGTTAGGTGGCATTGTAAAAATGGGGAAATGACTTGTGAAGTGACAGGTCTATTTGTACCTGCGTCTACCATACTTTTTCTGTGTATGTGTTTATAAAATGTAGCACACCTAGAATTTTCAAAACTTCCATAAGAAGTTCTGTTTCTCTGCTTTTTTTTCCATGCTGATCACCAGAATTTTGACCATAGGATTTAGACAGAACCCACCTATTCCAGGTATCCATCTAAACTAATATATACAGAGCTCTTTACATCCAGATTTTACAAAATTTGAAAATATTGAATCCAGCCTGTGAAGTGAGAGCTATTTTACAACTTAACTCAATTCTGCGTAAATACACGACCATGAGCGCCGTGAAGTAGGGCTCCACCGGCATGCACTGAGCCTCCTCACTGATGGCCAGGGTAGCCAGGAAATAATACTGTCCACTTTGGATGCTAGACTCCTCCTAATGAGAGCTCCATATCCTGTTGATACTTGAAAGTGCGGCCTGCAATGCTCTACAGTGTGTTGTGGTCCCGATATGAAATCTACTCAGCATCTTGTCTTTCATCCTTACAAACAGAACTGCAATTTTATTCCAGTATCCAATATTCACCTCCCCAAACCATATGATTGTTTTTAAACCAATCTCACCCCAGTGCCAGAAGTTGATGGAGACACATCTAAGCCACTCAGTATATACTTCTAACTATTTCTGGTAAAAGCAAGATCGTTGTCCAATTGGGTAACTGGTCCAAAATGATGAAGAAAGTTAAATTATCTTCTTTGTCTCCTGTTATACATGAATCAGGAAGCACCCTGCTTGATTGGGTCTAAGAGACATCTGAGTATTTTGAAAGGAACAAGTCTCCGTGGTAAACTGAGGCCATGGGTACCCAGTGATGAATGAAAGCAGTCTAGGTTCCTGATGATTCTGTTGTACCCTGACTTAGAAAACCTGGAATCTGTACAACCTTTATATTTCCTATCAGAGGACATAAATTAATTCTCAAATTATTCATGCCAATTTGAGTTGAACTTTGTGTTATTTGCAGCAAAAAGTAATCCAGCTGCTACATGGTGCAAGTTTCATCTTAGTGGCAGGGCCCTAAAACCAGGTGTCTTTTTATGCACACGTGTAAAGTTCATTTTAAACACCAAATACTTATCAATGGCTTCACTTAAAGATGTTTTTACCACAGCTGAGAAAGGTGTTCTCAGGAGGCAGTACCATCGGCCTCACAGTGCATGCCGCTTAGCACCATGAAACCTTCTCACTCGCAATCGTAGCTCCGGGTGTTCTTGTTTAACCATTTCATATCCACTGCTACGTGGACAACATTTCCTCTTTGCAGTTTAGCCAAGAATCCGCTAACTGAAAAAGCATGTTTTATTAAAATAGCTATTAGACATGTGGCAGGCCTGGAGCAGATCTTGTCTATAACATTATGAAAAAACCTATTATGCCAACATAAAAGTGATTTATTATGCAACATTTGTACGGAGCTCGCCCTCAGAACTATCTGTACAATTCCCCGAAATATCAAAATGTAACCGAAACAGAAATAAACTACCTACAGGGAATCACAAAACTAACCTATTTCAATAATTAGGCCATGATAGAATGTGTTTCATCCTTAAACCAAAATTTAAGTAAATTTTATATGATTTAACTCGGAGGCTAATTGCAGAGTTTGTTGAGCAAAGGGTTAACACTCTAACTGCCACTGTCCATGTTTACGGGAAATGTTGGTTATTGGACTATTTACTGTTATTTAGATCCTGAAGAAAAGACTATTGCAGTCATGGAATGTTTATAGAGGCATGTTAAAGCTCAGAGATTTTATTCATCTCGGTAAAGCTCTTAATTTTTGTCGCTTGTGATAGCTTGATGCTTTTCTGCTGGTCTCCAGACTTCAATGTTTCCCCAAGCCTACAGCTAGGGTATTTCTACAATAGAAAATTGATTGCATCATTTCATCACTTAGAATTTCCCATCACAAACCTTCTTATTGAAAATCATATTCAAACTCCTCCTCACAGCACAGGGCCGTGGGTGGCTTCACCCCTAATAGGTATCAGCCTCATCTCCCACATCCCGTGTGCTCCAGCATGGCTGACGGAGTCACAGTTTCCTAACACCCTGTGCTTCAGAGCTTTTACTCATGTGATTCTCTTAGCCTATGTTGCCCGTTTATTTGTCCATCTAACAAAATTTTGACCTTTAAAAATATCCTAATCATCGCAAACCCCATGATTCATTCCCTGGGTCCTTGCCACCCTGTCCACCCAAGTCAGCAGTGACCAGTCCCCTCTTGTTTAAACTTGCTGTTTCTACACTTACCCATCTGTTATTCTTTAGTTCTTACCAGTCTATGTTCCTGCTGGAGTTGGTGGCTATCAGGTATCTCAACCTTTGACTCCTCACACTCTACTATAGTGTATATATAACAGACTCATATGAATTTTGATGAGTGGATGAAATTCCACATATATTTTTTGATAGAATCTCACTCTGTTGCCCAGGCTGGAGTGGAGTGGTGCAATCTTGGCTCACTGCAACCTCCGCCTCCCTGGTTCAAGCAATTCTCCTGCCTCAGCCTCCCGAGTAGCTGGGACCACAGGTGAGCACCACCATGCCCGGTTAATTTTTGTATTTTTAGTAGAGACGGGGTTTCAACATGTTGCCCAGGCTGGTCTCGAATTCCTGGTCTCAAGTGATCCATCCACCTTGGCCTCCCAAAGTGCTGGGATTACAGGCGTGAGCCACCACGCCCAACCTGAAATGGTATTTTAATCAAATTGAAGCTGCGTATGCACATGATTCTCCAGGAGGCACAAATGCTGGAGGAAAAGATTTCTTTCCTTAGTTTATTAGAATTTAATTACTTATTCTGTATGAACATGTCAGGCAATAAACCCATGCATTATGAAAACATCCACACATCTTGAGCATCACTAAGCACAAGAACGCTAGCAGAACCACTAAGGAGCACACAGATTGCACAAAACGGCAACAAACATGATTTTGCTGGCATCTTTTCTAAAAAAAAAAATTTGAACAAAACAACAAAAAGCAAACAATTACATACAGAAATGCAGGAACACAAAATCTTCTAAACAGTATAACACACACACATACACACACAAACATACAAAAAACCCCACAGATTCCTTTAGCTTTTCAATACAGCTATGGCCCTGAGCTTCACTCATCCAAAAAATATTATTGGGCACTTTGGGCCAGCCTGTGACAGATGTTGTGATACATACAACAAAGAAGACTCGATCTCTTTTGTTTACAAAATTGCAATCTACAGGGAAAAATGAATTAAGATGCTATTCAGTGTAGTGAGCTCAGTCAGCAGTACCAAAGGTGTCAAGGAAAGATCTTTTTCACGTCCTGGGAGAAAACCCCTCAGTTAGTTTTATTCTATTTTATTATTTATTTGTAAATTAATTTAATTTAATTTTTTAAGAGACCGGGTCTCACTCTTACCTAGGCTGAAGTGCAGTGGTGTGATCCTAGCTTACTGCAGCCTCAAACTCCTTGACTCAAGTGGTCCTTCTGCCTCAGTCGACTCAGTAGTTGGGACTACAGGTGTGAGCCACCATGCCTGGCTAATTTCTTATTTTTTTGTAGAGATCGGGGTCTCACTGTTTTGGTCAGCCTGACCTTGGACTCCTGGCCTCAAGCAATTTTTTCCCCTCTGCCTCCCAAAGTGCTGGGCTTACGGGCAAGAGCCATGATGCCTGGCTTAGCTAATTCTTGAGGGGCAGGTAGGTGTACCCAAGAGGGAAACACCAGAAAGACTTTCCAAGCAGCTCTGGCAAAGGACCTGAGGCCTGAGATTCCAGTAGACCTGAGACTTTGTCTAGTCTTCCCACTGCTGCTGAAATATAATATCTTTACTTGATACCAGGAATGATTCAAAATGTGTAGTAATGAACAGCTTTTTCTTACACAAAGTTGTACTTATTGTGTGCATGCACTGATTTAGCATTTATTTACATGATTTAATTATTCTTAATAACTAAATTTTTTTTTTTTTTTTTTGAGACGGAGTCTCACTCTGCGCCGAGGCTGGAGTGCAGTGGCGCAATCTGGGCTCACTGCAACTTCCATCTCCCTGGTTCATGTCATTCCCCTGGCTCAGCCTCCTGAATAGCTAGGTTTACAGGCACCCATCACCATGCCCAGCTAATTTTTGTATTTTTAATAGAGACGGCCAGGCTGGTCTCGAGCTCCTGACCTCAGGTGATTCACCCGCCTCATCCTCCCAAAGTGCTGGAATTACAGGCATGAGCCACCATGCCCGGCCAAAAATTATCTAATTCTCAAAAAGTCCTATAAGTATTCTTATCAATCTCCAATTTCATAGTTGAGGAGCTTGCATTATAATAAATCTAAGGAATTCACTAAAGACATTCAGTTACAAAGTGGTAGGATTTAAATGAGCCACTGTCAAAAACCTCCAACTTAAATCAACAAGTTTCAGTTGGCTAAAGACTGGGATATAGGTTTGATCACCTGTGTAATCGCCACTGATGCTAGCTAGACATTTTTCTTATGTTTAGCGGTTCTTAAAATACGTGGGGTATTTTCATATGATGCGTATATAGTTAGTCCCTGACATGTGTAACAAGCTAAGGAAAAAAAAAACTCTTCCGAAAAATCTCTAACTTTCATGCATGTAATTAAATTATGTGCTCTAAACAAAATGAAGCCTAGAAATGGCTACATTTTTTATTTATTCTCATCTTCAGGTAAGATTATTGGACTATCCTGGCAGACCCCTAAGAGAAACTGCACTTCTCCTTTCCTGACTTCTGTTGGGTTCTGCATCCAGCTCTCTGCATCTGGGCGTGTCTATCCTGGTGTCCTTCCGGCAGGTGATTTGCCCCATTCCTTCTGCACTAAACCCTCCTCTTGCTGCCTGCTGTGTTGGTGCTGCTGGTCCCTGTGGGACCCTGCAGAGTTGCAGGCCATGGCTGCCTTCTCCTCCCAAGCAATTTGGGCTGCACCCCGCTTCAGCTGTCGGTGGTATATTCCTGTACTTCTCCATGATCTTGCCACTTGTAAATTTCACTTTTTTTAGTGTTCACAAGCAAGTCACCTTGTTCTGAGTTCCAGAGTAGCTTGCACAGGACTTGGGCTTTCAGGATCACACAAATGACAACAGGTCAAGAAAAAAGAGTTTACACTGTTGGTGGGAATGTAAATTAGTACAACCACTATGGAAAATAGTTTGGAGGTCCCTCAAAAAATTTAAAATAGAGCTATGATACAATCCAGCAATCCCACTCCATGATATATATGTGTGTGTGTATATGTGTATATGTATATGTATATATGTATACAAATGTGTATGTGTATACATATATATCCCCTCAAAAAGAGGAAATCAGTATATTGAAGAGACATCTACACTCACATGTTTATTTCAGCATTATTCACAACAGCCAAGATTTGGAAGCAACCTAAGTGTGTATTAACTAATGAATGGATAAAGAAAATGTGATACATATACACAATGGAGTACTATTCAGCCATAAAAAAGCATGAGATCCTGTCATTTGCAACTACATGGATGGAACTGGATATCATTATGTTAAATGAACTGAGGCAGGCACAGAAATACAAACTTCACATGTTTTCACTTATTTGTGGGAGCTAAACATTAAAGCAATTGAATTGACGAGGTAGAAAGTAGAAAGATGGTTACCACAGGCTGAGAAGGTTAATGGGAGAGCAATGCAGGAAGATGTGGGGATGGTTAATGGATACAAAAAAACCAAACCAAGCAAACCAAACCAAACCAAACAAAACAAAACCTCGTATTTGATAGCACAACAGGGTTCTTATAGTTAAAATAATTTAATTGCACACTTTAAAATAACTAAAAGCATAATTGGGTTGTGTGTAACACAAAGTATAAATGCGTGAGGTGATGGATACCCCATTTACTCTGATGTGATTATAACACATTGCATGCCTGTATCAAAATATCTCATGTACTTCATAAATGTATACATCTACAATGTACCCACAAACATTGAAAAGAAAAAAAAGTTTTCCACAGAAGGATGGTTAGGCTATAGCCCAGCCAAGTCACACCTCTCAGAATAAAGGGACAGTCTGCACCAACAGTGACCTTGGATTTCAACGGAGAAAAGTGAAACTACCTGAACTGTTTCAAAAAGTTGATTTTTTTTAGCTATAAAACTATCCTAAGACCTAGTCAACATAGAGCATGCAGATAAAGATGTCATATTTATCCTCATGACAACCTTGCACTCTGTGGGTCAGGAACGTGAAACTCAGATAATTTAAATAACTTCCCTGAAATTGCACATTTAAACTGATTTCAGAGCCTCTTTTCCTTTCTCACTTGTGCTGAAAAATTCAGTAGCTCTGCTACTCCTGCCTGTGTGTTATTGGGCAAATTTAACCTTTGTATGCCTTCATGTAAGAGGTGAACTCCAAGGAAATTTCCAGCTCAAGTCTAATAACTTTCTTTAGGAACCATCAGAAGCTTAACCAAAGGAAAATGGAAATCTCTGGTCTAAAAAAAAGGAAGAAAGAAAGAAAGCAAAACAAGCACTGAAAAATGTAGGCGAAAGGACAGGTTAGACAACAGTCTTCTCCCACCCCCAATCCCCCTGCCTCACCTTGGCGACTTGAAATTGATGGTTTTTTTTTTTTTTCCTTTGGCTTATTTGTTTATTTGTCTTTACTTACTCTCGTTTTCTCTTGACTTCTTGAAAAGTCCCACATGGAAAAACAAAGCTCAAAAAATTCCTCCTAGCCTCCAGGCTTGCTAAACAACCACAACAAAAAAGCTGTTAAAATCGCTCTTAACAATGGAGAGCAATCTGCTTTAACCTGCTCCCTCACCTTTCGAAAGGCAGGAGATAAGGTGGGGTAGGGTTCCTTTCCTATCAGCTTCGCTGATGCTTGAAGGGAATCTGAGATCTCAATGACTTGGCGGAGCTTTGGGATATAAAATGAAGACCTGACTCTTGCATGGCCATGGCGTCCCCCACCGCACTATTCGAGAGTGTGATTTGTCATCCACTTTAAATATCATGGGGAACTGTGCACTCTGGAGGCGTCTATGAAGAGACATTCGTTGTAGCTGTTTTGTGCCTAAAAAAGAAAAACACCACGAATCAGCTTAAGAATCGGAAAGAAAAAGAGAGAGAGAGAGAGATAGAAGAAGGGGAGCACTTGGGCCTAGCTCACATTTTGGAAGGTATGTTTGGTGACGTCATGAAGGCTGGAATGTTTCGGCTTTCAGAACTGTAAAAATTCATATTTATAGGCGGCCTGTTTATGCTATATCACGCATGGTAGCGTAGGATATCAAAGGAAGAAGGTCTGTAGGACTGCCACCATTTTAAATGAAAAATGGCTCGTCTCCTCATGCGTGGCATTATAATGTGGCACAGATGGAAACGTGTGCTTTTCTGTTTTACTGTTTCTGTACATTACACAGGCAATAAATACTGGCCAAATCTAAGGTTCCATATAACCTATTTTACCAGTATCAGCTGCTGCAGTTTATGGGTCCCCTAGAGAAAGCTGCCCAGGTTCCCAGGTTTTATAGGCCGTTTCAAGGAGACCTCACAAATAAAATGGATGGAAAGTGTGGCCCATATTTTTCATATCCATACAGTAAATGCTGCATTTACTTGTTACAGTTTACACTCTTCAATTATGTGTTGGGCAGACCGTGTTCCTCTTCACACTCATATGCATTAATTTTTATTCTGTTTTGAAACCATTTTTTTGGTTGTCATGAGGCTTTTTCCTGTTGTCTAGAGAGGGTACACATTGTGCAAGAGCTGGGAAAGAGAGTGGTTCTAAGGTGGAGTAGTTGCTTCACCCCCAGGATTCTGAGAAGGCCTTACCAGCTCTGAACACCAGAGAACTGTGCTCCTGTCAGAAAAGCAAAGAGATGGTTTCTAGTCTTTTAATGTAATTCCTAGGAAATAAATAAATGAGTAAAAAGATTAATATCTAACTCAACTCCATCCCAGAGGAAAGGACATGTGTTGACTGCCTATCATGAGCAAAGCATTAGAGGTTTTAGAAACATTATCTATTTAATCACAGCAAACTCACAAATTCAGTCCAGTTATTATCTTCATTTTACAGATAAAAAAAGTTAATTTTAGAAATAATGATGAACTGTAAGTCATACAGCTGGGACTGACGCAGAGCTGGTAGTGGAAATAAAAAAAAGTCAATACCAAATTTATGTAAATATGTATTTTCATTCAACATAGCCCAATATATTCTGTCTCTAATAACTGAATAAGTTTCAACGTGGCTACCAAAGGTACATCTTTGCGCATTTAGGCATGGCCTGTCTTCGTTGGTTACACCATTGCCTCAGTTTGAATAAGATGATTTATTTAATATGGTCTTCCTAATGGACTTACAGGCATCCACCTCTCTTCTGTCCCTAAAATCCATAGTGTTAAAGCCACACTGTGGCATAGGTAGCATTAAGAGGGAAAGCCTTATGGATCAGAGAAGAGTTTCTGTCTTCTTCTAAAAGAGGAGGTGGCAAGAGGAAAGCAACCAAGGCAAGTTAAAAGCTCCACAGCCCACTGGTGGACTCTGGCTCTGTAAGTTGTGAGTTACTGGATAAATTTTTAACAACCTTTCAAACTGGTTCTGCATTTTCAATCGACCATTCCCATGTGGATTTCATTTTAATTTCATTTGTATTGGGATTTCAGAACAATGGGGAAATAGACTGTGACTTTCTTGAAGGAAAGGTTTCGAACTCATTTTTCTTGGGCCTCCTACCTCATGTATAGGAAGGGCTTGACTGCTATTTAGAAAGTTAATGGTTTCAAATAGATGTATTAGGGACACGTCTTTGGTAAATGCTTCCTTTTCTAAATATCACTGCAAAGAAAACTATTTTAAATACATGGAAAGAATTTCTAAAAATATGTTCCTAAAATACAAAATGTTACAATGGCTTCTCTCTTCTCATATGATAAAATCCAGTCTCTCATTGTGGCATGCACAGCTACTCATAAGCTAGCCTCAGACCTCTTTTCCATCAAAGCTCAGATCTTGCTGCTTGACAAAGGCTTTCCTGTTGGCCATACTGCAGTCAGGCTCCTTCAAGCCCTCTTCTCCACTAGGCCTTGACCGTGGCTCCTAAACTGTCTTTGGCCAGCCCAGCTGGGTCTTAGCAAACAACTCTGCTAAGTTATCCCCCACCCTGATGTCTAATCAAGTTCTTTACTTCTCATCTTTGATGTCTAAGTTCTTGGTCTTTCTTTAGCAAGAATCCTGTTAAGCCAGTATAGAAAGAACCTCTCTGCTCTGCCCCTTGTATGTAAATCTCCAGCTGTTTTGCTGAATTTGGAGTTCAGTTCAATCTCTCTCCCTTATTGCAATAGTCTTGAATAAAGTTTTCCTTATCATTTTAACGTGTCTGAATAATTTTGTCTTTAACGTGTTTCTTCATTAGATTTCCTGTTTTTAATAATAGCAAAATATTTTTTATTTTGTCAATAAGCCATGCTATGCTGTCTCCCACCTCCATGTCTATATACACATGATTCTTTCTGATATACTCTTTCCTTTTTCTAAACCAGAGAAGCTTGTGCTTTCTACTTAAGATTCAGCTCAAATGTCACCACCTTTGAGTCCCAGAGCACTTAAAATTTACCTTCATTAGGCTACTTATTACACTGTATTTGAGCCAGCTGCTAGTGTGTCTATCTCTGATGCTTGCCGGGAGAGTGGTTCTAATTCCTTACTTCCCTCCCCTCATGCTATTGTGCAGTACAGGCCCTCACATCTAGTAGGGCTACAACAAATGCTGATTGCATGAATAAACACAGCTTGGCAGAAACACCCATTTCAAAGCAATTGAGCTTGCCTTTTCTTTAAAATAATTCCACAAAATTTTCACTGTACAACTCTTAGTGAGTGTATTAAAAACAAAGGCTTTTTTTTCTTTTTTCTTAAGAAAAATAATCCAAAGTTAAGACTTACCTCCCATGTATACTGACCTTTCTGAATGTTTTCAGTTTGTGTTTTTTCCTTTACTTTTGTTTTCATTTGTTTGTTTCAGACTTTGGGATGTGTCTCTTTGTTCTTACTAGAAAGAGGAGTCTTATTTTCTGTACATGTTAATCCTAAATTACCTGCTTCCTCAGGTCTCTAAAAGGCAGAACTATATGACATTATTTATTGCCATTGTAACTGTTCTTTTCTCACTTCTACTTAACAGCAGAAGAGGTCCTGAATAGATGATGGTGGAAAATGCTTTGATAGACCCTACTTTTACATTTTCCTAAATATATATTTTATGGTCACTTTGTGATGAAGGCTGATGACATTGTGTTCATCTATCATCTGTGTTAACTCCTTAAAATGCATGACTGACTTTTTTACACACTCTCATACTTTTTCTCTTGTCTTATTTTGAAATGAAAATAAAATACTAAAGTACCCATTCATTTCAGGTTCACTTGGGAAAAAAACCTACTAATAACAATCATTTTAAATTCTCTCTTTTTATCAGAAACTTAGTAGTCTCTCAATGGGCTCCAAAACCCCAAGAAGTGTTTTTATTGTTATTATTAATTCCAATTTTCTACTTAAGCAAAATTAGGCAGGTGATTTGTCCTGTAACATGCGTCTAGGAGGTGGCTGTCTGGAGAATCCAAAGCTGCCTGTGCGCCTCCAAGCCTGAGCCTTCCCACAGCACCTGCTGTCTCCTGTAAAAGACTGTGGGTCTATTTTATTCTTTATAAATTTAGTTCTCCTTTATACATTGTTCAGCTGATGATACATTTTTAAGCAGTTTACATTGTTTCACGAAGTATACTATATTTTTGGTTTCATTTAGAACGAATTGACTGAATAGAAGTAATTGTTTTGACACATGGTTGGATTCCATTTTAAATACGCATTCTGCCACCTCACAGTGAGGCTGCCCTGAAATGCTGGGGAGGGAGGAGCACCCAGGTGTGGCTGAAAGGGAGCCAGAGGAGGAAGCACAGGTCAGGAGAGGAGGGTTTATTCTTGGGTACAAGTGGAAACTGTGCTGAGGAGCTGTGGGGTCAGGTCAGCCTGGGGCTCCGTGGCGCCAGACCCTCCCTAGGGGTTTAGCCTCTGCCAAGTTACCTGGGGTCTCCAAGCCCAGCCTCCTCATCTCAGGTGGGCAGTGCCTTCCCTGTGGGGTCATTTTAAAGGAATCAAGTACAGGTCCTAGGATGGCACCAATACTCCATATAGGCATCTTCCTTTTTACCATTAATTAACTTTATTACTTTTAAGACAGTTTCTTAACTTCCCTGTGACTGGTTTTCTTCTTGTCAAATAGCAATAGTAATACCTGTTTTATCTACACTTAGAAGTTTTTATGAGGGTCAAATGAGATAATAGACCTGAAAGCATTTGGAAAATATCCAAGCATGAGCCACTATGATTAATGACTCCTGTGGCCATTGCGACTATTCGGAGAGGGAGCATGGGGGAAGAGCAGATTTGCTGATGCCGCCCTCTCAGTACTATAGGAATTATGGTGGTGGTCATGTAGAAAAAAAAAGGAAGAAAAACTAATCTTTTAAAAATATTTTTCAATATAAATATGATATAGGAATCCTCCAGATTTTTTTTCTAACCTCAAATGGGCTTTTCTGCTTATTAAATAATATAGTATTTTTCTCTGGCTTCATATACAACTCTGAGAATAAAATTGCGTAAGTGTTACTTTTTAAAACTAATTTATTATTTAATATTACACTGGACATAAGATTATGTTATAAATCTCTCATCCTCTAAGAATGTCAGCATATACTTTCACATCAAACATGAAAAGACATCTAATTTATGTTTCAGGGTGGCTTAGACTTACATGACACTATTTTTCCTGAATTTATGTTCTTTGTACACACTTCTACAAGATTTCCCAGCATCCGATGTCATCCTTATAGAGCCAGCAACTAGCAGGACATCCTAACGTTAAGGCACAGACGTCCCTATTAAAATGAGCAGCAGGAATCCTCTGTGGATTTGAAGAATAATTCCCTGAAGAATTTACCCCTATCAGTTGCTGGATCATGATTACAGCAGAAAACCAGAAAGTTGAAAGCAGTGTGTGGGGAGAAAAAGGATCAGAAATACCAAATTATGCAGTTGGCCTAACTGCAGTCAGATGTCAGCAAAAGCACCATGTGTAGGCTCTCTCCTCATACTCGACGTGTCATTTTTTTTTTTTTTATAAAACACACATAAATAAATAAATAAAAGTTCTGCAAATTACAGTCTAGGAATTTAGAAATATGACTTTTTTTAAAGCAATCTTACCATTTCTTAAACTTTCTAAGCAACTCCAACCTGTTACAGAGATGCCTTTTAATTCATGGCCTCTAAGTAGATCAAAACCTGACCTCCTTTTTCTCTGGGCCTGGAGAACATGTGTTGCCACGTTGACAGCCCATCCCAGCCTAGTGGTGTGGCCTTTTCAAATTGAGCTTAAACCATTTGGTATGCAAGTTCTTTTGGTCGTGGCCAAACATGACTTCCTGTTTCTGAGGAGAAAGGCTTAAAAAGTCTCATAAAAAGACTCAAAGGGCTTCTTAGATATCAAAGCGTCCTTACAAAACATTGTTTGACGAGTTAAATGTATGGAATAAGAAACACACGGAATTCATTTCCTTTAAAATGCACGTGGGATTAAGGATTATGGAGAAAAAGGCTTAGAAAAATGCATTTTAGTTTTATCAAACTCAACTTAAAATGCGTAAAACATAGCTTGAATTGCATTAAATATTTAAATCATGGTTAACATTCTGTCTTAAAATGTGCAACTGTTTACACATACATATATTCAGACAGAAGGTGAACTTGTAAAATAATGTGATCGATTTTTAAAGTTCATAATAGAACTTTTACATCCAAATAAATATGTTTCAAAATACACACCTTGTAGGCCCTGCACGTAACGCAGAGATCCTGCCTCCCAGCCCCACTCCATGACAGCGCACGCCATGCCTTCTTTGTTTCAAAGCTGTCTTCAGGGTTTGGAAAACATTGTTTTGAATAGTTTCAATCTTCATTTTATAGCTATATTTGGAAAGAAGAAATTTCTTTTAGAGTCAAGCTTTATGTATAAATTAAATGACAAATCTGGGAATTCTAATTTAGGCTTAAGAAAATCAGATGCGATTTTCTAGTGGGTGTCTTAAACTGGCTCTCTGACAGTCATGACAGAGGATATGCAAAAGTGTTTAGAGCAATGGAATCATTCCTAGAAGAAACATTCTGACTCATCAGATGATTATTTCAAAAGATGATACCCATCTACATGGCTATATTTTGTAACATCTGTTCAAAACAAATCTCATTACTTTATAATGACTGTGTGTTATGATGTGGGTGTCTGTGTGTGTTAGCATATAAAAGAGAAGAGGAGAAACATCCAAATGTTTATAGGGGAAATCCCCAAATGGTAAGATTATAGGTAATTTTTGCGTTCTTTTTTGTACTTATCAATTTTTTAAATGGCCTATTATCAGCTTATCAGTGTTAATATGGTGTTTCATAACTGACTCTCAAAATCAAAGTCTGATTTGTAGCGTTTGCCCATTTTCATGATGGAAATAATCCTGTTATGGCTTTTTAAGATACCAACTTCAGGTCGGGGCAGGCAATGTTGGGTAGAGATGCTCTGATATGTCAGACCATACAGACCATGTTCAGAACACCACTGGGGCCCTTGTTCCTTTTATAGGAAAAGAAAATATTTCACATAAAAAGAAAATGACTATATGAGACTTGTGAATAAATTGCGGCCCCAGATATTTTCAAATGCATTTTCCAAAAGGGAAGAATTATACTAACATGTTAAACAGGTTATCTTTGTGTCAGGGTAGGAGAATAAAGAAAGATCTACAACACATTTTATCATAGATTGAGCCTTCTATTTAGGATGACCATATCATAATTCATCATCTAAACTGTGACAACTTTAAGGTGAAAAGGATTACTATTATTTATTTTGCAGAGAAACAGGCATAAATTGCAACTCTCTCTAGAAAACCGGAAAGCATTGTCATCCTACTTACTCTGAGCATTTTGAGAAAACTTAGCCTTGCCTGACACAAAATTTGATCCATAGATTTGTGCTTAGAGAGGCAGCATGCACTGAACTTGTATCTTGTTATTTTTGGTAATACCAAATGTGCATTAAACAACTAATTTGTGAGAGGCACGGTGCTGGGTGATGGACATGAAGATGGGCTACATCAGCAGAATGTGGTGTAGTTTGATAAGTACAGGAATAGAGATTTTATAAGGCACTGACAGTTGCAAGGAGCTTGTGACTTCAAAAGAGAAGCTAAGGAATGGTTTCATATTCTCTTGGGGTCTCTGGACAGGGGGTGCCTCCCATTTCACCTTGAGACATGTGATGACTTCCTCATTATTTAGGAAGATGAAAGAAAATGCCTTGAATTCCAAGCCAGAAAATTCCCTCTCATCTCTGTGTTGAATCTGGAAATACAGCACCACCTCCTTTCCGCCCTGTGAAAAATCTACGTAGATCCTAAGCATCACTCCAGGAGGGAATCAGAGCCGTTATGCAAGCCTTCCCTCAGCTCTCATGCCCCTCCTGAAACCTTTACTGATACGTGTTGATCAAAACAATCTCTCCAATAGATCCCTATAGTACTTTTTGTTGGTGGCTAGTATATACTCTCTTCTATTTGGTTAATTCCCCAATATATGTTTTAGCTTCTCCAGTAAGCTGAAAATGGAATGTTCTGTGTAAAAAGGTTTTTAATCTAATAGCTGATCTCCTTCACAAACTGCCTAGGATCATGTTTTGCTCATAGAAACAGCTAATGAAATCTTCATTTATTAATGGATTGAAAATCACTTTGGCATATGTGTGGTAAGCACTGTATAAGATAGAGAATACCTGTTAATACTAAAAATGTCTTAATATAAGCAAGACGTTTAATAAATTCTGATCTAATGCTATTGGAGCAAAGGACAACTGATAAATCAGAGGGAGGTGAGCAATGTAATCTAGCTGAAAGGGAGCGAAGCCTTGGATTCTGCCTTCTAAGACACGCACATCAATAAACCCAGAAAAATGCAGTCATGGTCACACCGCTGTGCTTTGATGTGGGTGCTGTCTTGGCAGTCACTTTTTATATTAATATTTCATATTAATGTTGGGCAGTACAATACGTTTAGGATAAAGAGGCCAGCGTTTCGGAGTCAGCCGCCGTCTGTCATAATGCCGTGTGATCTGAGTCTGACTACAGGAAGCCTGTCCTGTGGCTGAGCTTCCTCGGCCCCGTAGGATGCTGCACCTGATCTGTGATTCCTAGCTGACCTTTGGTTATGCTGTCTGCATCAGTTTCCCTGGTAACCTGACAAAGGTAAAATTGTCACTTATGTTACTAAGCAACCCTCAGGATAAAAGGACCACTGATTAGTACATTTTATCTGAACTGGAAGGAGCTAAAAGTGAACTAGGAATACCTGATGGGGATGCTGTGCTGTGGACTTTCTGGAGTCTGGTGACTCATAACCATCGTATCCTTACACCCATGAAAAGGTGAATTGAGAGGAGGGGACTGACTCCTCTAGGGCCTTTTTTTTTTTTTTTTTTTTTTTGAGAGGGAGGTTTGCTCTTGTTGCCCAGACTAGACTGCAATGGTGCCATCTTGGCTCACTGCAACCTCCACCTCCCGGGTTCAAGCGATTCTCCCGCCTCAGCCTCCTGAGTATCTGGGATTGTAGGCGCCCGCCACCCCGCCCGGCTAATTTTTTGTATTTTTAAGAGAGACGGGGTTTCACCCTGTTGGCCAGACTAGAGGTGATCCACCCGCCTCGGCTTCCCAAAGTGCTGGGATTACAGGCGTGAGCCACCGTGCCTGGCCTAGGGCCTTAATTTGAATTCAGAAGCTTTTTGGTTGTTTGTTTGTTTTTGTTTTTGTTTTTGAGACAGAGTCTCGCCATGTAGCCCAGGCTGGAGTGCAATGGTGCGATCTCGGCTCACTGCATCCTCTGCCTCCCGGGTTCAAGCGATTCTCCTGCCTCAGCCTCCCAAGTAGCTGGGACTATAGGCGTATGCCACCACGCCCGGCTAATTTTTCGCATTTTTGGTAGAGACGGGGTTTCACCGTGTTAGCCAAGATGGTCTCAATCTCCTGACCTCATGATCCACCCGCCTCGGCCTCCCAAAGTGCTGGGACCACAGGCGTGAGCCACCGCGCCCGGCCCTGAATTCAGAAGCTTTTAAACCAGGGAAGCTCCTGTATTTACTGGACATGGATCTCATTTCATTGCACCTGTGCTGCTGATAGAACACTCACTATTGGTGAGGAACATTAGCTCTGCAAGAGAGCAAGCTTGGGTTCCCTCCAGGATCTTCCTGAGAAAACTGGAGTCAAGAGTGATTTGGGGGCCGGGCGCGGTGGCTCACGCCTGTAATCCCAGCACTTTGGGAGGCCGAGGCGGGCGGATCACGAGGTCAGGAGATCGAGACCATCCCAGCTAAAACGGTGAAACCCCGTCTCTACTAAAAATACAAAAAATTAGCCGGGCGTAGTGGCGGGCGCCTGTAGTCCCAGCTACTTGGGAGGCTGAGGCGGGAGAATGGCGTGAACCCGGGAGGCGGAGCTTGCAGTGAGCCGAGATCCCGCCACTGCACTCCAGCCTGGGCGACAGAGCGAGACTCCGTCTCAAAAAAAAAAAAAAAAAAAAAAAAAAAAAAAAAAGAGTGATTTGGGGTAGAATTATAGGTTGGCTACCCCTTGGAGGATACTTTAGTGGGAGAAATACTAGTGCCTAGGAGAACATGCAACAATTTTTAAATGCATTTTTGAATCAAGGATTCTGTGGTAAGCTGAAAAAAAAAAATGCCATACATATTTCTATTGCCATAATTTCAAAAGTATCTATAATCTTTAGTTTGAAAAAGTACATTAAAATGCTAAGGAATTTATTCTAGCTGTGGTATACTGAGCATCTTATTATTATACAGCGGTTATATAAAAAGTTTGACTTTGAATTTTTTTTGCCTTCAATATTTCTTCTAGATATAAAATTTTATAATTTTAATGTTTATGTGTATGATATTATAATTATTAATATCGAATGTGTCCACTAACATTTTTTACCAACTAGAAAAATCAACAAATTCTCAACTTTCCATGCAAAAACATTTTCCTCAAATGTCAGCGACGAAAACTAGTTTAAACAAAAGCAGGCTTTAATTGCTTTGGGAAGAGGTGATTTCTTATGAACTAAGAGGAAGTTTTCGAGAGTACATATATTTATTATACATTAAACAATATATATGTTTAGGTAATGTATACATACTATGTATAGATGTAAATATTTGCAAATGCTGGCATATAGCATCTCATTCATTAATTTTAAAATGTACTCCGTTCATATTTCTCGACTTCTTTCAACAGAGCTAAAGAGATACTCTCTGGTTGATCTCAGACCCTATGGAGGCATATCATGTGATTAAGAAGGTAACTGGATCTCTAAATGCGTAGAGTTTTGTTGATGAAAATCTTGTAATTGCACCCAGAAATGTGCTGGAAAGCAGCACTGGCTGGAATAAATCAGAGTAATCAATACCATGTGAGAAATTCTTCTTAGCTATCTCTTACCAGAATAGACTCTATACCAAGACTGATATAGGTAGTAAAATCAAATGATCCAAATTTTACTCCATCTAGCAAATGTTTAATTAAATAGAAATTTGAACAAAGGTGAAGGGACTCACAAGAGATTAGAAAATCCACTGGCTTTGAATAATTGAGTTTACTAAACTGTTCAAGATGTAATCCAGGCATTTAACTAACAAAACAGTTAGGATCTGAAGAAATTCATGTCCCCAGAAATTATAGCATAGTTTTCTTCTCATAGAGGGCCTGTTACTTTAAAAAAAAAAAAAAAGTCTCAGAGCTTAGCCAAGACATGGGAAGAGAAAATTCCCTCTTTCCCAGTCCTACTTCTGTCAACATTACTTAGAACATGTGTTTGATTTAAAAATCCTACAAAGCATCAGGAAATAGAAAGTGAAAAAAACAAAGGAGAAAAGGAAACATGGGGAAAAAAGGAAGTTGTGGTTATTAGGGTGTGAGACCCCATACAAAGAGGTTTTCTTCTGCCAACGCCCAGTGCCTTTCTTCAGTCTTCCTTTCCACAGCATTTCTTAAGGAGGCAGCTACAAAGAAACTCAGGATTTGTGAGCATCTTGAATAGATCAGAGGAAATTCAGATGAATTGAGAGGAAAAAGTGGCCTCAGTTATTTGAAGTTCAGGGCCTAAAGGAAAGCCATGTCAGGCATTCATGAAACAAGAGCATGACCAAAAAAAAAAAAAAAAAAAAAAAAAAAAAAAAAAAAAAGGGAGAGGGGAAGAAAAATGATAAGAAAGAGGAAGAGCCAGAAAAGACGTGAGGAAAGAAGGGGAGACAAGGAGGTTAGGAAAAAAGGAGTCAGAGGGGGAAGGGAAGGAAAAGCTGGTGAAACTGATGAAGAAAACAGAAAAGAATTGTGGACAGAATGAAAGAAGGAAAGAACTAAGCAAAGAGAAGTTTAAGAGAAGGAAGAGAAAGAAGAGGAAAAAGAGCCAGAGACAATGCATAGTTTAAATAGTAAACTATTAAACATATGGCAAGACCTTCATCACCAGATGGTTGCAGGACACTTCTTGGAATGGAAATGTGTTCCATTACAGTTAAGGACTCAGCAACGACTACTGTTTCATCAAAGAATTGTGTTTGACAAAACCATGAATCAGAGATCCATTGTGATATTTTTTGAAAAAAAAATTTATACAAATTCATTAATGCTTTAAAAAACTGGAATTCTGCTGAATTTTTTCCAGTACCCACATGCTTTCCTTAGCAGGAGCGCAGTCTCAGTAAAACCGACACAGGAGAGCACCTGTAACCACAGTCTTTTTATAACGAACCCATTATTCTTCTTCACAGTGAAATTGAACACATGGCCACTGGTCATATATGTGCTAAGTTTTCAGCTTTGTCGCATATATCTTCCTACATGCAGTCATTAGTCTCAATGGATATAAGATCATTGACATCTTTTTGATTGAAGTGTCCAGGACATGTGTGGAGGAAAAGTTAAATATTAAATTTGAACTCGATTGAACATGGACAAAAACGATGGTCACCAAGTCCTGGAACAGGTTGCGTAAGTACCTTGAGGCATTCATCCAGCACTGTTTCAGAGAAATCTGTTCCTGTACGTTAGTTATTGAAAAATAACAGACAATCGCAAAAACAAGTTGACCTTTTTGTGTTCCTTGAGCCCAGTGGTGAAGGGCCTTTGAGACTGGGCCTCATGCCAAACAACTCGTTACAAAAGGAGCTAGGGTTCCAGACCACGCCAAAGCTTCTTGAGACCTCACCTCATCTGTGCACGGATGGGTGGCTGACTCTGGAGCCCAGGCTGTTGCTTCCCAGTATGGTGATGAATCCTCCATAGTCTAGTGAGTGTAAATATAAATATATATATCTATATATATATCTATATCTATCTATCTATCTATATATATATATATCTTTTCCCTTCTCCCCTTTCTATTGCAATTTGCTTATTATATCATTTGCTTATTATATCTGTATTGCCACATACTTAGGATAAAGGTTGTTTACCCTTAAAGGTATTGTGTGTGTGTCTTTTCTTCTCCCCCACGTGTCTTCCGCACAGAACATGTTATCCCAAATGCAGTAATCTCAGCCTCTGAGTGCTTGGAGTTTTTCCCCCAAGAGACAAAGAAAGATACATCCACAAACAGGAAAACTCACAAAACCAAAGACCACAAGTTGAGCTCCATGGAAGAGACAATTAAGACCACATTCCCACCACTTTTGAGCTCCTCTAATTTGGTTCCCAAGAACAGCTTGGTGGAAATACAGGGGTCTGGTTCTCCACCAGTGAGCCAGGGTGCTGTCTTCTAGACAAGCGTGCACATGGCGTATGGGAGGAGGGAAGCTTGTGTATAAGCAACACTGTGGAGAAATTTCATTCATCAGCTTCACAAAACAGCTCTTCAAAATGGCCAATTTTGTGATGTATTATCACAATTCAGCATGTGAAGAGGCTTCACCATCCGAAATGTACACATTAGTTGGGAGATAATTATGAGTTCAGACCCCTCTTCAGTCAATCACTCTGCAACCCTCATCCAAGCCATTTTCTAAAGCAATTGAAAATTACCAGTTAAGAATGCTCAGGAATGTTTGTCATAAGATGCTTCCATATGCAGATCTGCATTGAAGATTTGAGAATACATGTCATGTCAAAGCCCCATCGTGTCAAGGGTCCATTGCTTTAAAATAGTTCTTACATAGGAATTTAGAATTCAATAGACTATATTAGCTTCAAGGAAGTAGTCAAAGGAGGGTGATTAAATATACATACTTTCAAAACTAGCTGTTTATATGGTCAAAAGCAGTACTATAGTCGATTCTTTAAATATGAATTTCTTAAAATGTGAGGAGGTGCACATGTTAATAGTTTCTTGTGTTGCTGCCAAATAAATTAGGATATCAGAAATGTGGAAAGGTTCTCACTGAGAAATAATCACTCGGTTAATTTCGGTTCTTAGAGAACAGAGGGCAGATTTTTTGTGATGGTTGCCCAGATGGCAGGTCGGGGAAAAGAGAGAGCTACTGAAGAGTGTGTGGGGCTTGCCACCCTTGTAGGCCTCCCATCCATTCAGGTCTGCTCCATGCCAAATAGAACAGTGACTGCAACACCAGCCATGCGTGACTCTCTTCTCTCCCTTGTCCTCCTTCCACCTGGCCCTGGAGTGACCTGACAAATGGGTTACTTGTAGCCCCCACTACCCCCAACAAATTATGCCACCAGCTGGCAGAAGAGCTGAGCCCGCAGCAGGTAGGCACAGCCATGGAGCTTGGCCAGCCATTGGCCCTTCACTTGATGTCTTTCCTTCCGTTTCCTCTCCTCGCTTCTCACTCCTGTCCTGGACATTCCTAGCCAAATGCAACTGAAATACGAGGCTGATAGTAATAGTAAAGCCTCCAGAACTTTCTACCTTTTAAAGGCATCTCTAATGTTTTCTGGAGTGTGATCAAGCTCTACAATGATGTATCTCCCCCACTAAATTACAGTCTTTGAGGGTGGAGATCTTGCTGATGAATTTCAACAGTGATTTGTGCATTGTCGTCAGCGTGCACTATGCCTTTGCTCATCCTATTTTCCCAAGCTGGTCCTATAGAAACCTCCCCATGCCCCTACATTTTCTTATTTAGCCAAACCACTGCATCTCATTGGCAAATCCTTTGCAGGCTGTGGACATCTCTTCTTATTGACATTTTTGGAGTTGACTCTGATAGGGTCTGCCAAGTATTGTGGGGACTTTTTTTCTACCATCTTTGTCTTAGCTTTATGATTGGATTCTCAGCTACTGGAGAAAGGCTTATGGGCACAACAGGAAGAGGAGTGATTCCTGCCATTTTTCCAAATAGAAGGAAAAAGAGCCTGATTCCAGAGCACTTAAGTAACAAAAGGCACTTTCTAGCAACTCAACTCCCATAGGCAAGAAGTCTAGCATAATGGGTAATGTGACATGAGTTCAGCACCTTGGCTCTTTTATTTATCAGTTGTATGGTCTTGGGCAAATTATATGATTCTAAAATGTCAGTTTCTTTATTTCTAAAATAGGAAAAATAATACCATTTACCTAATAGGGCTTTAGTAATTTTTTTATTTGCATTAAATTCTTAGAATAACATCTGGAACAAAACAAATTCTCAACATATTTTAAATATTATCTTCATTGTTTATTTTATTATCATATCAGTATCATACCTATGACCCCATGGCCTCTAGCACTGCTTGGTATTTCTTGTAGTTGCTCAAAAAATATTTGCTGTTTCTTAGTTTCTTTGATTATTAAGTTACTATTTTTGTTTAATGTTTGAAAACACATATTTCCAATGTGAATATTAAAACAATACAAAAATATGTACTAAACATCAAGTCTTCTACCCTAACTTCCAAAACTTCCCACTAAAGCAATCACCCTTACCAGTTATTTATGTGTCTTCCAAAAATATGTTACATGTATGTTAGTATAAGTGTGTCCATGTACATTCCTTTACACAAAGTATTGCTGAAACCCTCTTCATGCTCCTGCCCAAGCCCACACTTCTGTCGTCCCACTAGAAGTAATAAATTCTGCTATGTTGAATTTTATATTTATTTCCTTAGTTTATCTTTTTCAGTAGTTTTTCCCTACCTAACTTTAAACAATATATTTTTAGTTAAACTTATATTTGAATATAGAAAAAATGCTATCATTCACCTCTTTGTTGTGATTAATAAAAATCTCATACACATTTTTAGCTTTTTGCTTTCTTTTTTAACAATATTGATTTACAAAAAGTATTTGAGTCAATTGATCACGAAAACTCTCATAATTGTGAATTGATGATATGAGATTATTTTCTAAAAACAATTATGCCACAAATATTATTATTTTCACATATCTTCTAAAATTTCTCCCTATCCTTCAGAACCCAATAGCTAAGTATTGATATACTTCAAAATTATAAAATGGTGCATAGAAATAAGAGCTGGAATTGAAGCTTACTTTCTCATTAGCAGAATGGGGCATGAAAAAGTGTTGGAACTCATTATCTCATCACATCTAGTAGAACTCCAAACACATGTATTATTTAGGATAATAATAACTTTCACACAAATATTAATGATGTCACATGATCCTAGGATTAAATCAAGTTTTGTTTCTAATTTATCTAGTCTTTCACATTATTCTTAAAAATAGGAATAATGTTGATTATATGTGTGTGTGTGTATATATATACATATATAGATAGATAGATATACAAAAATACACACAAATTGTTTTATTATGTTAGACCCTAATACATTGGCTGTTAAAAAATAACTTTGACACTTTCTGTGCAAAACCAATTAGATCAGCAGCATCATCATAGTTCCAAGAGCATAAATTTTAAAGTCGTGGCACTCATGATTCAACATTGAAACAAAGAGCTTCTACGTAAAGGTGCTAGTTATGAATCCTCATGTGATTGAATATAACAGTGGAATGGTAAGTAAGCCATAAGTGCCTTAAAGTGAGCATCTGGGCCCCTTTGAAAAATTTAGCTCTGATTCCTAAATGCCTTTGTAGCTGGGGAAAAGCTGGAGGCCATGACTGAATCAACTCTACAAACATGTATTTTTATGGTTTGCATGCATTCATTTTACCAAGTCGTTTTATATCCAGTATTAAATTTGCTTCTCATTTCTCTGGGAAAAAATCTCATTAGTCATCTGGATAAATACAACTAAATGAATAAAATGAGATTTATGTTGATATAGAAGTAAATCTAAGAGAACAGTCTAGTCTCAGTTTGTTTGTTCGTTTGAGTGTTTTGTTTCTTCCCTCTCATCTCCCCTTCCCTCCTTTGACCCCCTCCCCTCCCCTTTTCTTGCTTCCTCCCTTCCTCCATTCCTTCCTTCCTGCCTTCCTTCCTTCCTTCCTTTTCTCCTTCATTCCTTCCTTTCTTTCTTCCTCTTACATTTGTTAAAAAGCTGCTACATGCCTGGTATTGTACTATGTTCCAGGGCAACAAATAGGTCACAGTCATTTGAACTGAAAGTGACAAAATCTCAAATAAATGTGGGTTGTGTTGAGTGTGATTACAGTAAGAGGGTGGGTCTGGTGGAGAGGAAGGTGAGTCAGAGATGTGTCGCACCATAGGAAGGCTAGAATTGCATCTGCTCACATGCTAGGTCCTTCTGTTGGTTCTATTTTTTTAATAACACGTCTTAAGAAATACTAAGAGTCAAATTATACTGACAGAAATTTCTTTCATGATGAACAAAACAGCTTTGTATTTTGTATAAAACCTATAAAAATGGTAGTTAGAGTAAATATAAGCATTGACTCACTTGCAACTAGAGGGAGTATCAGTATCTCCCATATATACAACATGACTTTAAACAATGTCAATTTCTCTCATCTTTCTATGGTGATATCCCGTGGTACTTAAGACTTAGTGGAATTACACAGGCCAAGGAAGGTCATATGATACTGACATTGCTGGTAAACACAAACTCTCCTTCTTTCAGAGTGACTGGATAGAGGCAAAGAAAAACAAAATCATTTTACAAGAACAAAGTACAAAGCAAGTAACAATAGGATAGAAACATCACCTGTGTTTAATAGGCTGGTCTTATTTTTGGGCTACCTTCTAAGCATATTCAGTAATAGCCAAACTCAAAAACATCCTGCTAAATGAAAAAAGCCAATCACAAAGACCATATATTCTATTATTCTACATCTATGAAATGTCCTAGGCAAATCTACAGGGACACAGACAATGCATGAGTGAGTGGTTATATGGGGCTTGGGAGTGGGGAGCAAGAATGAGGACCTCTGATTTTGAGTAGGGGGTTTTGTTAAGAAGTGACGAAAATGTTTTTCAAATATATTGTGACTAGTGTTGAACATGACCGTGAATATACTAAAAGCCACTGATGTGTACACTTTAAATGGGTGAGATTCATAGTATATAAATTATATTACAATAAAGCAAAAAATGAAAATATTGAGTGACTCTAGGATTAGGATATTCTCCAGCCCCCGAATGGCTAACACATTTTCCCAAGAGTGCAGGTAAAGAATCACTCCTCCTGAGAGGCTGGCCTCAGGGGCCTCCCAAGCAGGAACAGCCAGGAGCCTCTCACCAGCCAAAATCACTGAAAAGGCCAAGCCACAGAAGAGATGGTTACAAGCAACCTGACCAGTTACCTAATGAATGAACCAGCAGGAGACTGGAGAGAATATTTTCCAGTTGTTTAATTTTAATATCCGTGCTCCATCAACAGGAAGGTCTTCTCCAGCTCAGTAGCTTCATTGCTACCTTGGTGTCCCTGGACTTCTCGGTCTACATCAGGGAGTCTCTTCCTTCATGGCAGTGTTGGGGGAATACAGGGAGTCATCTTCAGCTCCTCTTAGAGGAGGGTGGTTGTCTTTTGCACTGACTCTAAAGTTCTTTTTTCAGCCCTAACTTACCTTTCTTTTTTCTCTTTTCTTTTTTTTTTTTGAGATGGAGTTTCACTCTTGTTGCCCAGGCTGGAGTGTAGTGGCATGATCTCAGCTCACTTCAACCTCCGCCTCCCAGGTTCAAGCAATTCTCCTACTGCAGCCTCCCCAGTAGCTGGGATTACAGACACTTGCCACCACACCAGGCTAATTTGTATTTTTAGTAGAGACAAGGTTTCTTCATGTTGTCCAGGCTGGTCTCGAACTCCTGACCTCATGGGATCTGCCTGCCGCAGCATCCCAAAGTGCTGGGATTACAGGCATGAGCCACCATGCCCAGCTCCCACCTCACCTTTTTGGGTTTCTTTTTTTCAGATACCATGGCAGAGCTCACGTTTCCCTTACATCCATTTGGGCAAAGCCCTTCTTTGATTGATTTTCATCCTCTCCTGTCCTCATGCTCTATTGCCATTTTCCCCTCTTAGCAAACACTTACATGTGGATCTTGTGTGTCACTTTATCTGCATGTGCTCTTTCAAAATGGGTGAATGTATTTTAAAATATTCAGAGTATTTACTATAAATCCATTAATGTTATAATTATTTCAGTCTCTTGTCTATTTAGTTTCATAAAATTATGTTTGAATATCACCTACCAAGTGATTTGAACATTTATTTAAAGCAATTATGTAAAATCAATCATGCTACTATACCATAAGATCCTTGAGGGAGAGCATAAGTGCCTTCTAAATGGTCCTGGAATGTTGAAAGAAAGAAAGAATGAAAGATAAACTAAAGGAAGGAGGGAAGGAGAAAAGAAAGAAAATCCCTGAGCTCCTGCGTACCTGACCTCTTGAATCACTGCCCTCTACGAACTCTGCCACTGTTTTGCTTCTCTTCATATTATGGCCATTCTTACTTGTGTGATATCTCCCTTCCGACCTAAGCATTCAAGCATGTTGTTACATAACAGCAAATGTTTCCCATCACAGCCTATCTTTATTGATACAGTCAGCACTCACAGTATTCAAAAACAGATTGGTCATGCATAAGCCAAGTGTTTGCTGATAGCTCATTAATCCCAGATGCTCAAACTGTTAGGCATTCGACTTGACACTGCCTCCCACAGACTTTGTACCAAGGCACATTTTGGGTAAACACCAAGCAGTTCAGAGGAGCTATGGTGAAGTCATTACCAAGGTTATTTGGTATGTTGGAAGCTGACAATACAAATGACAGCATCCATGGTTCTGCCTAGTTCTGAGGCTTTGCCAAACGGTAACATTCATAGGCTACTGGCTAGGTTTTGCCAGCTCCATACTGAAGGAGGTGTTCCAACTGGAAGCCATGAATTTAATTATCCCAGTCTTGCTTAAAAGAGTCAGATACTAAAAGTACCTGACATAAGAAGCTAGAATCGCAATTTCAGAGGAAGATGTAGCACGAGTTTGTTTTGTGTGCATCAGATTTAGCCCCTCTTCGTTCAAGTTCAAATTCATGTTTCACATCCCGGTGGACCCTACCCTGATTCACGAGCGCACAGTGATCTTTCTCTCACATGATGTTCACCTCTACTCAATTCCAGTAGGTCTAAGTTTCATTATCATCATTTGGTACTTAGGTGGTGTTGTTACTCTGATGTGATATGACACTTCAATATTTGTAAAATTCTGACTTATATTTTGATATATCTGACTTATATTTCTACAGAAAACTTATTGAAATGGAGATATTTCTGGGCAGAATATTTTTAAGGATGCACTCAGAAAAATCATCATAAGGGGAGTTAGGGAAGCAGGTGTGAGAGAAGGAGTCATTAAACTGCAATGCAGGCTGGGAGTGGTGGCTCACACCTGTAATGGGAGGCCAAGGTGGGAGAATCACTTAAGGTCAGGAGTTTGAGACCAGCCTAGCCAACATGGTGAAATCCTGTCTATACTAAAAATACAAAAATTAGCCAGGCATGTTGGTGCATGCCTGTAGTGCCAGCCACTTGGGAGGCTGAGGCACAAGAATCACTTGAACCCGGGAGGCAGAGGTTGAAGTGAGCCAAGGGTCCCGCCACTGCACTCCAGCCTGGGCAACAGAACAAGACTGTGAAAGAAAGAAGAAAGAAGGAAAACAAACAAGCAAGCAAGCAAGCAAGCAAGAAACCCTGTAATGCAGCTATAGCCGAGACCTCAATTAACCGTATAGGCAGCTCTGGAACAAGTATGGTCCTGTGATTTGTCCTGAATCAAGGCAAAGGACTGGGCATTTGTACCCCCACGGGATCTATTGGACATAGCTTGATCCTGAGGAGGAGTGATAAACTCGGGGGAGGCAACTCCTTCCAGAAGAAGGCACTTGGTGAACAGGTACCCATTAGTGGTGAGTCCCCAGTCCTTCCAGTAGTCAGGGAAAATGAGTGTCTTCTCCCATGCAGAAGGGAGACCTGCATGGCATACCATAACATCCCACATATTGTAGCATTTTATCAAAGCAATTAAAGGTGGTAGATATTATTATTATTGCAATTTCATAAAGGGGGGACCTAAGACCTACAGAAGCTCACATGTGGTCGTCATTCCACACTTGGATCACACAGCTGTGCAGTGACAGAGGCAGGTCTTGAATCCAGGTTCTAATTTTTTTTAAGTGGAATATAGGTAGTTTCACATACAACTTAGGAAGAAAAAGGACAGGAAGACCACAAAGAGCTCAGGAAAGCTAAATAGATTGGAACTTGTTAAGACACGTTACAATAATACCATACTGTCACATCTAAAATGAATATCAGTCTGACAATGCAGAAAGTATGGGAAAGCAATTTCCTTGTGCATTTCCAGTAAGTCAAGTAGGAAGAGCCACCCCTTCATCTCCTTAATCCAGTCCTGGAGATTCCACAGAAGGGAGGGCATTAGTCAATTAAAGTCCAACCAATTGAATAAAAACCATAAAAAAACTGTATAAAGACGGTATACATGCTGTGACTTCATGTGTGCACAAGAGAAAGAATAATCATCCTGGGTGCCACAGTAGATGAAAGAACAAATTTAACTAGATCCCTTTCTTCTCCTATTTTACCTGTAAAAACCAGAGAACAACTCTGCCCAATCAGTATGTTTAAGCTAGAGAAGAAAGAAGAAAAGAAAGAAGCAAGAGAGAAAGAAAGAAAGAAAGAGTAAGAAAGAAAGCAAGAAAGAGAAAAAAGAAAGAAGGAAAGAAAGGAAGAAAGGAAGGAAGGAAAGAAAGAAAGAAAGAAAGAACAACAGAAGAAAATAAGAGAGAGAAAGAAAGAGGAAGATAAAGAATGAAAGAAGAAAGAATGAGTGAGAGAAAAAAATAGAGAAGAAGAGAAAACTAAAGAAGGAAGAGAGAAATAGAGAGGAAGAAAGAGAAAGAACAAGAGAAGAAAGAAAGAGACGAAAGAAAGAAAGAGAGAAAAAGAAAGAAAAAGAGAAAGAAAAGCTTTTTTGACAGCAAGTGTGGGAACATCTGGTATCCTCTGAGCATACGCTCCTCATCTCCAGTAGCTTCCAGCCCTCAAGTGACTCCTGATTGCAAATAACAAAATCATCTCTAAAGAGCAGCTCCAGAACCCTGGAGCAAGTTTCAGTTCTAAAGGCCCCTGCATTGGGCAGTCACCTGCACTTCTCATGGCGTGGGACAGAAAGGAATCATGCTCGGACCTGGCACGTCCCTCCCTCTGGTCCTACATCTCGGCCAGGGGATCTAAAACTCTCAGGTGAATATAAACTCCCAGGGATAAATAATGAGAAAGTTAAATAAGTAAGTATTACTGAAAAATAGACAACTAATGGAACCCTTTATTCCAGATGTAGCATACCTATGAAAGTAGAGAGATTGGGAATATATAGGATGCATTTGTAAGAGAGAATATTTTATATTTCAAGCAGGAATACATAGTTATAAAGTAAGGAAATGAAGGCAGTATGTATTGAAAATACATTAATATATTAATGGAAGAGTTTATTAACAAGTGTTACAGCAAAGAGCAAATCAATAAGTTATAAAATGTTTCCTAAGACCATAAAGAAAAGAGTTAAAATAACAAAAATAAATTAAAATATAAGAAAAATTGTTAATATATATGCAGGAGAGAACAGAGATGCAAAAAGAAATCTATTTGGGGATGCTCTAGAATGATAGCAAAAACATTAATGGAGAGGAGAAAATAAAATTAAAAGTAATGATCAATATAGTCCAAAAATTAGAGAAAACTGTAAGAACTTATGTTGAGAAAATTCATAGAATAGCAAATAGAATAAATAAGGAAAAAATTTCAGATAGTATCAACATGATGCGGAGAAGGAGAGGCGGAACATACTAAGATATTTGATATTTTTTAAAATTTGCACAGATAGATGACAGGTACTTAAGGAACTCACAGGGGAAATTTATTGTGGCTTTAGTAAGTCAGAAATAACCTTTGAAAAATAAAAACAGTTCATGTGGGCTTTTATAAAAAAGTAGACAATTGGACCTCTCTAATGAAAGATTTAAAAATGTATATATAATGAATATTTCAATAAATATAAAAGTGTATGACATATATTATATAGAACCAGTTGGGGCTTAACTCAGATGTACGACATTGATTCAAAGTTCCAGCATCAATGTACTTTATCACACTAAAAAAGAAAAAATATATATGATCATCTCAATGGATGCAGAAGCATTTGAAAAAAGTTAAAAAAAATTAAAAATTTATTTATTTATGGATGCCCTATAACTAAATGGATGCCCCAGTCAATGCAATAAGGAAGAAAAAAAAAACAGAAAAATTGGATATGAGAAGAAACAGCTATTCTTATTTGATGATGCCATCATCATGTTTGCTGATATTTTAAGAGCCTACAAATGATAATATATAGAACCAAAATTCAGTTTTACCGGTATGCAGGATACCAACCAATAGCAAACTAACCCATCACTTTTCTACCTGTTTGCAATAAACAGTGGCAAAATAAATAGAAAATATAATTTGTAATAGTAAAAGTATATGAAATGTTCAGAAATAATTTAACAAAATGTGTATAAAAACTATAAAGTGAAAATTAAGAACAAAAACAAATAAACCAAAAAAAAAAAAAAAAACGGAAACAAGAAAAATCAAATGAGGACTAAATAATTAGATATACTAAGGTCCTGTTTTGGAAAATTTAATATTGTTAGGATATGAATTATCATAAAATTGATATAGAGATTTAATACACTCAATCAAAATCTCAGCAGTCTTTTTTGAAGCAATTGACAGATTCTAAAATATATATTATAATGCTAATCATCTAGACTCACCAAAAGAGTTTTGAAATAGTAAAACAAATCTGGAGGACTTATTGCCTGATCTGAAAAATACTGTAATCAGGACACCATGACAGAAGCTTAGGGTCATTAACATAGATAGATTAAGCAGAATTAAGAATTCAGAAATAGATACACACATACATAAGTAAGACATTTTCAACAAACATTGAAGTGGGAAAAAATGAGTGCTTTTCAACAAATGATGATGGACGAATTGGATGTATTTATCCAGCACCATTTCCTCATATAATTCATTTCCTCAGTAATTCAAAAATTAACTTGAAATACGTAACAAAATTAAAGAGCAAAATGATAAAAAAACTTCTGCAAGCATACAGACAAGATCATTGTGAATTTAAAGTAAACACACATTTCTTAGGATACAAGAAGCATGAACCATGGGAAGAAATAAATAAAGTTGACAAATTTTAAAAAATTACTTTTGAAAGGCCCTGTTACAAGATTAAAAGTACAGCCAAACATTAAGAGAAAATCTTCACAATACATTTACCTGACAAGGGGATCATATTTAGAATATATAAGAAACTCTTACAGTGAAACAAGAAGGGCTAAAACAGCAAAAATATTTGAATAGACCCTTCATTAAAGGAGATATATGGATGAGAAAAACACATGAAAAAATGTTCAGTATCATTGGTAATTATAAAAACGCAAATTAAAATTACAACAGTATACCATTGCATACCTAATAGAATGGCAAAAGTTAAAATGACTGAAAATACAAAGGGTAGAAGAAAATGTGAAGCAAATTAAATTCTCATGAACAATGTGAATCAAAAAAATCATATAATCAATTTTTGCCGGGCGCAGTGGCTCACGTCTGAAATCCCAGAACTTTGGGAGGCTGAGGCAGGCGGATCACAAGTTTAGGAGTTTGAGACCAGCCTGGCCAACATGGTGAAACCCCGTCTCTACTAAAAAAAAAAAATTAAATTCAAAAATTAGCTGAGCATGGTGCATGCACCTAATCCCAGCTACTCAGGAGGCTGAAGCAGGAGAATTGCTTGAACCCAGGAGGCGGAGGTTGCAGTGAGCCCAGATTGCACCACTGCACTCCAGCCTAGGCATCAGAGGAAGACTCCCTCTCAAAAAAAAAAAAAAAAAAATCATATAACCATTTTAAAAAGTCTTTCAGTTTCCTATAAATACTTACCATATGAGCTCTCCGAAGTCATTATCTACAAGAAAGAAAAAATTATGTCCTCACAAATATCTGTATTGGAATGTTTATAGCAGATTTAACCAAAAACGGAAACAATCTTAATGTCCATCAATGGGTAATCTGATAAACAAATGTGGTATATACATGTATAGATTCCATGACATATATAATGGAATACTACTCATCAATAAAAAGGAACAAAGGGATAATACACATAAAACATGAATTCATCTCAAAATTATTACACTCAACAAAATGAGGACAGGCATGAAGAGTGCGTACTATGTGATTCCATTTATATGAAATTCTACAAAAGATTAAGCCAATTCATAATGACAGTAGATTACTGGATACCTGAAATTGAAGGGGAGAGGATTTGCCTGGAAAAAGTGTATGAAGGAAACTTCTGGAAGGACCAGAATGTAGCTTGATTGTTGCTGTGGTAACAAGATGTGTAAATTTTTCAATAATCACTGAATTAGTTACTTAAAAATGATTCAATTTATGACACATAGTTACATGTCAATAAAATTCATATATCTAAAAGGGGTCAGATAAATACATTCATATCAGTAATGTACTGACATACTTCATTTCATTTCACTTGGCTTTACTGTGCTTCCCAGATATTGGGTTTTTTATAAATTGAAAGATTTTGGTAACACTGCGTGGAACAAGTCTATTGGCATCATTTTTTTCCACCAGAATGTGCTCACTTTGCATCTCTGTACCACATTCGGGTAATCTTCGCAACTTTTTAACCTTTTTCATTATCATTATATCTGTTATGTTATCAGTAATCTTCGATATTACTATTATAATTGTTTTGGGCTATAATAAACCATGCTCATGTAAGATGACAAATTTAGTCGATAAATGTTAAGTGTGTTCTGATTGCTCCACCAAATGGCTGTTTCTTATCTCTCTTCCTATTTTTTGAGAAACAACAATATTGAAATTAAGCCAATTAGTAACCCTACAATGGCCTCTAAGGGTTCAAGTTAAAGAAAGAGTCAAATGTGTATCATTTTCCAAAACTAGAAATGATTAAGCGCAGTGCGCGAGGAAGGCATTTCAAAAGCTGAGACAGGCCGAAATCTAGTCCTCTTGTGCTAAACAGTTAGCCAAGTTAGGAACGCACGAAAAAGCTCCTGATAGAAATTAAAATTGCCACTTCAGTGAATACACAAATGATAACAAAGCAAAAGAGCCTTATTGCTGACAGGGAGAACATTTTAGTAGCCTACATAGACGATCCAACCATACACAACATTCTCCTAAGCCAAACCTCATCCACAGCAAGGCCCTAATTCTTCAATACCATGAAGGCTTCAAGAGACAGGAAAGCTACAGAAGAAAAGCTTGAAGCTAGCAGATGTTGGTTCATGAGGTTTAAGGAGAGAAGCCATCTCCAGAACATAAAACGCAGGTGCGGCAGCAAGAGCTGATGGAGAAGCTGCAGCAAGTTATCTAGAAGATCTCAGTAAGATGGCTGATGAAGGTGGCTACATTCAACAACAAATTTTCTGTATAGGTGAAACAGCCTTTTACTGGAAAACAATGCTATCTATAACTTTCATAGCTACAGAAGAGAAGTTAATGCCTGGCTTTAAAGTTTCAGAGGACTGGCTGACTCTCTTGCTAGGGGACCAGTGCATCTGGTGGCATTAGGTTGAAGCCAATGCACATTTATCACTCCAAAAATCCTAGGGCCCTTAAGAATTATGCTGAATCTACTCCGCTTGTGCTCTATAAATGGAAACAGCACCTATTTACAGCATGATTCACTAAATATTTTTAAGCCTTAGTTGAGGCCTACTGCTCAGAAAAAAAAGTTGTTTAAAATATTATGTTCATTGACCTAGTGACCCAAGAGCTCTGATGGAGATGTGAAAGGAGATAAATGTTGTTTTCATGCCTGCTAACACAGCATGCATTATGCTGCTAAGATCAAATAGTAATTTTGACTTTCAAATCTTCTTATTATTTAAGAAATACCACAGCTATAGCTGCCATAATAGTGATTCCTCTATGGATCTAAGCAAAGTAAATTTGAAAACCCCTGGAAAGCATTCACCATACTATATATTGCTAAGAATATTCATGACTCATAGAAAGACATGAAAATATCAACAATAACGGGAGTTTGGAGGAAGTTGATTTCCACCTTCATGAATTACTTTGAGAGGTTCAAGACTTCCTTGGAGGAAGTAGCTGAAGATGTGGATGAAATAGCAACAGAACTAGAATTAGAAGTGGAGCCTGAAGATGTGACTGAATTGCTTCAATCTCATGATGAAACTTTAACCGATAAGGAGTTAGTTTTTGTAGGTGAGCAAAGGAAGAGGTTTATGGAGATAAAATTTACTCCTCCCGAAGATGTTGTGAACGTTCTTGAAATGACAACAAAGATATTACATCAACTTAGTTGATAAAGCAGCAGCAAGGTTTGAAAAGATTGACTCCAATTTTGAGAGAACTTCTACTGTGAGTAAAATGCTATCAAACAACATTACATGCTACAGAGAAATCTTCTGTGAAAGAAAGACTCAATAGATGTAGTCACCTCAACCTTCGTCACTCACCATGTTGATCAGTCAACAGCCTTCAACCTGAAGCCAAATCCTCTACCAGCAAAATGATTACAACTCACTCACGGCTCAGGTGCTCTGATGACTGCCGGCATTTTAGATCAATAAAGTATTTTTAATTAAATACACGTATACATACGTCTTAGACATAATGCTATTGTACACTTAATAGATTAAAATATGGTGTAGTTTTCATATGCACAGGGAAACCAAACAATTTTGTGTGACTTGTTTTGTTGCAAAATCTGCTTTATTGAAGTGGTCTAGACCCAAACCTGCAGTAGCTCTGAGGTTTGCCTGGATTTTCTATCAAAACTCCCCAGAGACACAGGAAGGTTGAATGTTAAGTCAATGAAAAAAATATACAACAAACTTTAATTTAGAAAAAAAAAGTGTGAACATTTAAAATAGTCTAAGTAGATTTTAATGCAAAGCTACGCAAATAGAACTGTGTATAAAAATAGAAATGATCCAATACAGTTTATCTCTAAAAGAAGACATTTTACCATCAGAAAATTCTATCAATAGATTAATAGATTAATAGAATAAATGACGAAAATTCTAAAAAGATTTTGAGAGGTAGAAGAAAACATTCAATAAAATTCTTTAGAAATATTAAAATCTTTATACGTGATTTTTTAAAACCTCAGTAAACTAGAATGAGAATATATATGAATATATGTAATAAATACAGAATAAAAAATACATAAAATATATACATAAAGAAATACACATGTGATTTTAAATGGATTAAATGTACCTTAAATAAATCATTATACCAAAAATACACCTGCACTTAAATGTTTATCATAGCACTGTTCACAATAGCAAAGTTATGGACCCAAACTAATTGTCCATCAATTCATGATTAGGTTTTAAAATAAGATGTATATATAATGTGTATACACACACACACACATACACACAAACACACACCACGGAATACTAACTTGGCCATAGAAAAGAATGAAATCACTTCCTCTGTAGCAACATGGATGGAATTGGAGGCCAAAAGCGAAATGACTCAGAAACAAAAAGTGAAAATAAACACATGTTCTTACTTATAACTGGGAACTAATAATGGGAACACATGGACATACACAGTGGGATATAGACATTGAAGACTCCAAAGGGTTAGGGGGTGGTGAAAGCTGAAAAATTACCTGTTGGGTATACTGTACGTTATTTGAGTGATGGGTACACCAACAGCCCAGGGTTCACCAATGCGTAATGCATTCATGTAACACAGCTGTGCTTTTATCCCTAAATCTATAAAAACAAACAAAATATTAAAAACTAAATAAAAATGATTAAACTTAAACCTTTATAGGCGGGCACGGTGGCTCATGCCTATAATCCCAGCACTTTGGGAGGCCGAGTTTGGTGGATCACCTAAGGTCAGGAGTTTGAGACCAGCCTGGCCAACATGGTGAAACCCTGTCTCTACTAGAAACACAAAAATTAGCCGGGTGTGGTGGCAGGTGCCTGTAATCCCAGCTACTCAGGAGGCTGAGGCAAGAGAATCACTTGAACCCAGGAGGCGGAGGTTGCAGTGAGCTGAGATTTTGCCTTTGCACTTCAGCCTGGGCAAGAGTGAAACTCCCTCTCAACAAAACAAACAAACAAGCAAACAAACAAACAAAAACTTAAACCTTTGTGTCATTTTTAAAAACTTAGAAGACTAGAGAGGAATGTATTTATACAAATGTGTATATAAAATAAATATAGAATTTTAAATATATAAAAATACATAAAAATAAGCGTACATATACAAATATAGAATATAAATCTTACGATAAATGTTATATACAACGGTGACAGTTTAGATCCATTTCTCTTAAAATATTTACTGCTCAGCATAGCATTGTAGGGCCTAGATATTTTTAAAAATGAAGATAATTTTTTAAAAAAGATTGGTTTAAGCATGCACATGGTTGAATACTACATTTTTGTGTCTCTCTCTCACACACATATTCTTTTTCTGAGCATTTTGTATATTTCTTCTGGCACTTAATGTTGTTTTGGATAACTTTGAAGTCAGTCTAATTTTCTCTTTGTAGATAACTTAATATTTTGCTTTCATGTCTAAAACAGTTTCTAATTCTAAATTCCAAAATTTTTATGATGCATTGCTATAGAATATTTTGAATCAGTTTTCCCTGGGATACAGTGTAACCTTTTAGTATCTAGGTGCGAGCCTCTACGTATTTCAAAATAAAGTTGTTTTTTTTTTTTAACTTTTATTTCAGGTTCAGGAGTACATGTGCAGGTTTGTTAATACAGGTGAACTCCTGTCATGGGGGTTTGATGTGCAAACTCGTCAGCGACTTACTAAGCATAGTACTCGATAGTTGTTTTTTTGAAAGTTTTTAAAGTTATTTTGTTGTTGTTGGGTTCAATTCATTTATTTCTTATTCAGAGACAATACTTATTTACATATGGAATTTTTATCTCCTATAATCATCATTTTAACTCTTTTAAAATAATTTTTAAGCAATACATTGCTCATTTTTCTCAAGACCTCCTAACATGTTCCTTTTCACATTTTCAGCCATGTAGAATTTCTTTTCTTGCTGCTTCCAATCTGGCCTTCACAGAGACAGTTTTATTTTTCTGTCTCACTTTTTTTCTGACTTTTACAAGCACATTTTTCCACCTCCTGTAAAAAATTTTGAGTTCTTTTCTCTTTGATTTTCAGATCCTATTTTATGGAGGTAAACATTTGAGTAAAAGGCTACACGATCTTTATTTGCTCCAAAAAAATTTTTTGTTTTGTTTTGTTTTAGTGGCGTTCATTGCTCTATCATTTTGCTATTGTTCTTTCAGTATACATACAACAATTTCAAAGGAATCAGGGCAAAATTCTCTTCGATTATTGTTTGCTTTTGCATAAAGTGAGTTTTTCCTGGATGAGCAAATTGCAAGAGTGAAATGTTGGAGGAAGGTGGGCAGGTGAGGAAAAACTGTGACGTGGAGATGGAACAGGGTCCACGGAGAGATCCGTGGAGTGCATGTGCAGTATTTCAGCACGAACTAGGTTTATCAGCAACAAGTACCTTTCTCTCAGGAACAGAAACCCATTTAAAAAGTAACGACAAATGACTTTCCCAGACAAATTCATTAGGAACCCCATTGCCAGCACCATAAAAACTCATTTTTTATAAATTTGTAGAAGCCCACTTACCCACAATTGGAATACCTGGTTCTGGAAGGACTAAAATCTAGGCTGACAATTTTAAATCTTTTGGGCTTTAAGTTAGGTCTTTTAAAAATATTGTTAAAAGGCCAGACGCGGTGGCTCACGCCTGTAATCCCAGCACTTTGGGAGGCCGAGGCGGGTGGATCATGAAGTCAGGAGATCGAGACCATCCTGGCTAACACCGTGAAACCCTGTCTCTACTAAAAATACAAAAAATTAGCTGGGCGTAGTGGCGGGCGCCTGTAGTCCCAGCTACTCGGGAGGCTGAGGCAGGAGAATGGCGTGAACCCGGGAGGCGGAGCCTGCAGTGAGCCGAGATCGCGCCACTGCACTCCAGCCTGGGGGACAGAGCGAGACTCCATCTTAAAAAAAATAAAAATAAAAATATTAGATAAATAAATAAATAAATAAATAAATAAATAAAATACTGTTAAAAAAGAAATAAAAGCTTCATAAGAGATAAGACAAATCTGGCTTCCATTAGAGGAGGACTTTAAGAAGGCGTTGTATGTTATCTTAACACAGATTCATATACAGTAATCTTAAACAAGGCTCAGTGAATTCCAATTCAATGCCCTTTCAACTGTGTATTTCAATAAAAAATTATAGCCTCCCAACAGACACCAAATAAACACTTCCATCTAGAAGAAGGAGGCATACTTCAAATGGGAAGAAGGAGGATGTTGTCATGACAACTATGGAGAGTGTTTTATTAGATGGCTGAATTTAATGTTGTCCAGAGCTCCTGGGCTCTGCGGTCTTATTTGAAATTCTGCAAACTTGTATGATGTCTCATATCTTTAAAATCATAAAAAATGTGGCCACTACATATGCAAAGTGTGACCTAGTGAAACATATACCCTTTTACCTTAATCCTGATGTGTGTTTTTAAACAGATAAACATCAGTATACAGAGAGGTCTCTCTAGAATGACACATACTTGTATCACTGTGCTAGATGATTCTGGTCTTTGTAAATCTCTGATCCTATGTTATGTCTCAACAGAGTATGTTTAGTGCTGGAAGGCCTGAGCAGACTGGCCCAGGACTCTGCATTTCCACAAGGAGAAGGGGCGAGGTACAGATGTGGATATAGAATCAGATCAGAATTTTCTTGGCAGTTTCAGGTAACTTATCTCAAAGATTTCTTTATTATCTTTTGTCCAAATTCTTCTCTCATATAGTCAGAGCCCGGCATTAAGTTGGTTTTTTAAGATGTCTCAGAACCACTTGGTCAGAAAGCTTTTTTCCAATGGTTTGGTCAGTTCCGCTTCCTATTTGAATATTGTCCCTCTTGAATATTTTATTATTGCTTTGAAAGAATATTAAATTTAAAAATACCTTACATCTTCCTATTTAATTCTTTCCTATACTTAATTAACTTAAAAAATCCTTTAAATCAGCAAATTTGGATTATCCACAAAGACCTCGTTTAAAGATAATAGGCAGCATCAGGCAGTTGGTATAAACTGTCTCATTTATTTTGCAAACACTTTTTTGAATAATCATGTAGAGCTGTATAATGTATCTCAAGAGGCTAGAACAATGCATGGCACCTGGTAGACTCTCAATACATAGTTTTTTAATGAATGGGTAGGATTCTTACTTTAATTGCTTCTGCTATCTGCGACTGAATTGTAGATTTGAACTCAGGTACTCTAATTTCAGAAGTACTTTGATCCATTTTGCTATATGGTCTTCTGAGGGCTCTTATTTAATTATGATTGCATTTTGTTTTGCAGTAGAGTAAGTTGTCAACTTATTTCTCTGTTCTCCTATGCTGAAAACTCTTAGGGGATAGAGGCAGTAACCTGAAAATATGCTTCTCTTAAAGCATAGAATAAAGTACCTGCCTTCAGTGGTTGGAGCCAGGTATGACAGGGAAAACATGGTTTTAAACTTAGACCAATTTTGAATTTCAGCTAGGTCACTGTCATGGCTTGAACTGTGTCCCCCTTGAATTTGTGTGTTGAAGCCTTAATGCCTTGTACCTCAGAATGTGGCTGTATTTGGACATAGAACTTCTAAGGAGCTGATAAAGTGAAAATGAGTCTGTTAGGGTGGGTCCTAATTCAATCTGACCAAGTCATTATAAAAAGAGAAATTTGGATACACAGAGATACCAGGGTTGTTCACAAACAGAGAAGACACCATGTGTAGATGTAGCAAGACGGTGAGCAACACCTGCTGACATCTCAATCTTGGACTTGCAGCCTCCAGAACTGTGAGAAAACAAATGTCTGTGGTTTAAGCTGCCCAGTCTCAGGTATTTTGTTTTTGCAGCCCTAGCAAACAAATACAATCTCTTACGTTGTGCTCATACACAAATCTTATGAAACTCTTCTGTGCCAGTTTTCACATCTGCAGAATTAGAGATGACAGTACACCATAGAACTAGTTGTGAGGGAGGTCAGGATTTTTAGAGCTGCCATGTAAGAAGCAGGGGGCACGGTGCCTGACACAGAGTATCTGTTCCAGGATGGCACCTTCTGTTATAGTTATTATATTACTGTTATCATGAATAGTGTTGGATTCCACTAGATAAAACAGTTCATGGTATCTGATATGGTTTGACTGTGGCCTCACCCAGATCTCACCTTGAATTGTAATAATCTCCCATGTCAGGGGCAGGGCAGGTGGAGATAATGGAATCATGGGGGTGGTTCCCTCATACTGTTCTCATGGTAGTGAATACGTCTCACAAGATCTGATGGTTTTATAAATGGGAGTTCCCCTGCACACACTCTCTTGCCTGCCTCCATGTAAGACGTGACTTTGCTCCTCATTTGCCTTCCATCATGATTGTGAGGCCTCTCCAGCCATGTGTAACTGTGAGTAATTAAACCTCTCTCCTTTATAAATTACCCAGTCTTGGCCTAGTGCGGTGGCTCGCGCCTGTAATCCCAGAACTTTACGAGGGGTGGGTGGATCACCTGAGGTCAGGAGTTCCAGACCAGCCTGGACAACATGGAGAAACCCCGTCTCTACTAAAAATACAAAAATTAGCCAGGCATGATAATGGACACCTGTAATCCCAGGTACTCGTGAGGTTGAAGCAGGAGAACCACTTGAACCTGGGAGGCAGAGGTTGCAGTGAGCCAAGATCGCACTATTGCACTCCAGCCTGGGTGACAGAGTGAGACTCCATCTCAAAAGAAAAAAAATTAATAAATAAAATTTGAAAAAAACTACCCAGTCTTGAGTATGTCTTTATTAGCAGTGTGAGAACAGACTAACACAGTATCACAAGTATGCAAATCACCCTTCTATATGTTGAGGTGAAGGACACACTGCACACTTTCACTTGTGGGTAGGACCAATGGCTTCTCAGTATTATAGCTGTGGCTTTACCGTATTTGCACTTTCTAGGAAGACATGGCAATTAGGGTCATCTCCAGGATGAGTTTCTGCAACCAGCTCACCTGACAAAATAACAAAACTACAACCATGTGACAGGTGGAAGAACAGCTATTCCTGAACTGGAGATAGAGCGTATTTTTCACCTTTATGTTGGCCTTTTGAGAACTCGTTCTTCAATTTCAATTGACCACCAGTTTGTTTGCCACATCTTTAAACTGGTATTATTTGGTGCCTCAAAAATGGTTGTAATTCCTATTTTGGAGTGTGTTTTCTGTTCCTGCTATGAAATCCAAGGTATTTTGCTACTTGAGTAAAAACTGGACAAGGGGTAGTTTCTTTCACCGTTTTCTTTTTTTCCACAAACCTCTTAAATAGGAAGTATTTAATACACACCATTGTTTCTGGGCCATTTCAGTTAACACGTTGTTTAGGCATAATTATTAAAAGCACACTCCATTTCACTGTCAAAGTTGTTCCGTTTTGGATGATAAATTGTATGGCCAGCCCACAGCTAGGGCCCTCTCTGTCCTCCCATTCACATCCTCTGTAACTGTGTCAAGTGAGTCAACACACCGCACTGGGAAGGATACCATACTTGAACATAACAGATATTAAAGCCAGTTTTCCACCTTCACATTTCCTTAGCACAAAGAAGGTGGCAAGATGGGGGAGTGACAATGTTATCATTCCTGGGTAATTCTGTTGCAGGGCTTGAGTCTTCTGCCTTTCCAAACTTTCTTTGACCATAGCTCCTTCCTAGTTTGTCTCTAAACTACATTAACATGATCTTCATTCATTGCCTCTAAGTTCCAAGAACTAGGCTCAATAATATTTTGCTGTGATCTGCAAAATCAGAGTTCCCTATTGACATTTATGGGAAAGAATTTGGAAAAGAACATAGATTTGGGTGTAAACATAAAATATCATATTGTTGGTTCTCTCACCTATAGGGAGAGATAATGTTAGTAGTCTTGTTCTTTAAATTGGGTCTTGGAAAATAAAGGATATTGGGCAACAGGGAGAGAAAAAGGTGAAAATTATAAAGGCACATTAAGTTTCACAATCTAAGAAGACTGGCAAATTCAGCGTGGAAGACAGGGAGGGAGCTAAGAATATTCTCAGAAAGACATAAAAGCACACTAGACCTAAACAGGATGAAAGCAAGAATAAGGTGGCTTTGAACAACATTTACAGCTTTCTTTTTCAGGATCAGCTTGGGACATAATTGATGAGTGGGTGTATCAGCCCCTGTAAGGGCAAGAGGTGGAAAAGAGCAGAAAATAGTGGTTTGAGGTTAATGAGAGGAAAAGTGGCCAAATATCTGTTGTGTTCACCAACAGGTAAGCAGTTTGGAGCCATGAACTTTGGAGATATACTAATCCACGCTAAATTGGTTTCAGAGACATTGTCCTTCCTAGCTTGCCTGGACTTGAAACAGGCCAGGTCCATTATACCTTGAGAGAGGCCTGATGGTAATGATTTACTCTTGAGATCTGAGGTGACTCAGCCAATGCAATTCTTTTGTCTCACTAATGTGTCCCTCTCTCACACAATAATTTGCTGGTTTCTCCAGGTAGACTCTTCATTTATTATGGACAGCCCTCTCATTTTACCAGTATTACGTCCCTGTTATCCCACTTTGAAACCCTCCTGCTTCCAAAATCAGAACATCTCTGCCTTTACAATAATGCATTGAGTTTTATTCATTTCAAGGTAATATAGCCTAGGAGAAACTCTTTCTATCACTTAAGTGCTATCTGACTGTACCACCATAAGAAAGGGAAAAATGGAGGCTTGTTATCTGGGTAGCCTGAAAACGATCCCTTCTGTTTTGACTTGAAAGGCAGCTGGCTTACAGGGATACATTTTCCCAGGAAGAGCTTTTACCCTTTTCTGAAAGTAAAGGCCAAATAGATCTTTTAGACGCTGACACTATGATCAAAGACACAATACACTAGTCACTGACTTCAAGGCAAGACCAAATTGAGAAGACTCAGAAAATCTAATAAAGTAGCCCTTGTTCAAGCACATATGTGTCTTCCATATTGTGTTCACACAGGTTTATTTGAAAATCAGAAATGTACTGGACTTTCAAACACTCGTATGTTTTTATATTTTATAGAATCTCTGATTATTAGGACAAAGGTGAGTTGTGCTTTAGGATTAAGGGATTTGATTTTTGTGCCAATTATTAAGTAAAGAAAAAAATCCAAAAATAGCCATAACATTTCAGTTCAGGAACACTTCTTTTCATTACAGTTTTTCTCCATGATGGTTTTGCAGACATTTGGAAAATTCCTCATGCCATGATATCAGCAAGGACTTCAATGTAAAATACTGAAATTAAAGAACTTTGAAATTCTGAAAGAGACAAAAGCTTCATGAAGGAAAATTTAACATTTTTAAATTTTAAAAGACAAAAGCTTCATTAAGGAAATATTTTTGATAAATATAGGTTCTAGATATAAATATTTGTACAGATTTATCTTATATTAGAAACTATGCTAAGAATGGTATACTTTTTTCTTTTTTGATTGTTTGCTCTTCTTCAGTACTGGATGCCTGACTCTCCACTGCTTAGTTCCACATGGCTTAAAAACATTTTTTATTCTCTATGCCGAGAGACATTTTCCCTTCTTCTTGCCTCCCATTGTCACTTCCTTTTTAAAATCACCAAATGTCTCCAAACCACAGCCCACACATAGATTGCTCACTAATGCAGGGTGAATTCCTTGCAGCTCGCTTCCCCCCGTCATCATCAGGGTTACCTCCTCGCATGACTCTGGGGACAGCACTGCATTTTGCATAGTTTTTTGGGAGATAGGCAGCATGTGGGTAGCGTCTGCTTTCTCCTAGACACTGATGAGGGATGAATCGGCTTGTCAAATAGCTTTTCATAGTTCTCATTGTCTCTGGGTCATGTTCCTCTCCTTCTTCCTTTAAGCAATTTTCCTTGGTTTTGGTAGATGATTACCTCATTTCAATCATGTCCCCATTCTCACCAGGGATCAAGTCTTTCCAAACACATCCAGTGGTTCTTCTTTTATTTACTCAGCTTTTTGTTTGTTTTTCTTTTACAGGAACTATAAGATTTACTATTGGCAAACTCCAACACCATCCTCAGTAATTTGGGATGTCTGTCAATACCATCGTTCTGATTTCTGAAAATTTTCGCTGAATGTGACATTTTTCCTCTCAAACTAACCCCTCCACAGACACACCCACACACACACCACACACACATGCATGCGTGCACACACAGACACACACGCACATACACACCACATACACGCACACAAGGCACATACACACACGCACACACACATGCACACACGTGCACACATACATGCCCACACACAGACACACATGCACACACACCACACACGTGCGCACATACCACACACATGCATGCACACACACACAGTGCACACACGTGTGCACACACACAGACACACATGCACACACATGCGTGCATGCACACTCTTCAGTCACAGCTCCCAGACAGTGGTGGCATCATCCTCTCAGTAGCTCTAACTTTAATTTTTGAAGTAACTTTCTCCCTTTACGTCTTCCACATATATAGCCACTTAAAGTCTTTGTAATGTAACACATGCCAGCCTTTTCCAGTAAAGGACCTTGTTTTCAGTCTGATTTATCTATCTCTAATCTCTCATTCTTTCAATACATTTTTTGTAAATGTTTTATTTTACAAACCAAAAATAAATCTCATATTTTTTTTAACAAATACTAAGACTGCTTCGTGAGAAGGTTTACCAAAAAAAAAAAAAAAATTCCAGCTCTGAAAGCCAAATTCATAACAATGCCCAAGTACCACAAACAGAGTTAAAATTGTATACAAACTACATATTAATTATTTGTTCTGTTGTGGATATGTTTTTGCATTTGGATGTAGACTGTGATTCTTAGCTATGAAGAAAGGACAAAGATTACAATTAGGACAATTCCATTTTTTTGTCTCAACACTTGTATCAGTTTGCCAGAGCTGCGGTAGCAAAATACCAGAGAGTAAGTGGCTTCAACAAAAGAAGCTTATTTCTCACAGTTCTGGAGGCTGGGGGTCTAGGATCAAGGTGCTGATGATGGAGAGGTTTTCTTCTGGGGCTTCTTCTCTTGGTTGTGGACAGTCACCATGCCTCTCTGTGCTCACATGACCTCTTCCTTTTTTTTTTTTTTCTTTTTTGAGATGGAGTCTCACTCCATTACCCAGGCTGGAGTGCAGTGGCGAGATTGCAGCTGACTGCAACCTCCACCTGCCGGGTTCAAGAAATTATCCTCCCTCAGTCTCCCCAGTAACTGGGATTACAGATGTGCACCACCACACCTCGCTAATCTTTGTAATTTTTAGTAGAGATGGGTTTTCACCATGTTGGCCAGGCTGGTCTAGAACTCCTGACCCCTGGTGATCTGCCTGCCTCAGCCTCCCAAAGTGCTGGGATTACTGGCGTGGACCACCACGCCTGGCAGTCATGACCTCTTCTTTGTGTGCAACATGAGACACTAAGAACAAGTTCTTGGATGTCTCTTCTTATAAGGACACCAATCCTATTGGTTTAGGGCCCCACACTTATATAACCTCATTTAACCTTAATCACTTCCTTAGTGGCCTTGTCTCCAAACACAGCCACACTGGGTGTTAGAGCTTCAACATATACATTTTGCTGGGGGACACAAACATTGAGTTCCTAACAACCCTAGTAGCAGAATGTTGGGTAGGTGCTGTAAAAAGTACCTTGGGAGATGGAAGCAAAAAGATCAGCTTATTTCACGGTCACCGTGCTTCTCATGAAAAGGAGATGAAATATCCCTTGGAGGCAGGAAGGGGCATCTGCTGGTGGTGGTAACCCCCATGCACATAGATGGATGTGTATGTGTGAACCAGGGAGCGACCACCAGACACCGAATCTCCCAGCACCTTGATCTCAGACACCACCATCTCTAGAATTGTGAGGAATAAATTTGTGTTGTTTATAAAGCACCAAGTCTACGGTATTCTGTCATAGCAGCCAGAATGGACGAAGACAGGTAGACATCTACCTCTATAAGACAGAACTGAGAATCCAAAAATAAATCCACATATTGATTTTTGACAAAAATGCCAAGGCAATTCATTAGGGAAAGAACAGTGTGTTCAACAAATGGTGCCTGGACAACTGGATATAAAATCCAAAAAGATAAACTTAGACCTTCACATAAGTCAGAAAAATTAATTCAAAATTGATTATATGATTACTTCTAAAAGCTAAAACAATAGAACTTTTGGGAAAAGATAGGAGAAAATCTTCAAGACATTGGGTTAAGGAAAAATCTCTTAGATTCTATACTGAAATCATAGTCTGTAAAAGAAAAAAATGATAAATTAGACTTTTTCAATGTTCAAAAATTTTGTACTGCAAAAGATAATATTAAAATAAAAATACAAACAGCAGACTGAGAAAATATGCAAAACACATATCTAATAAAGATCTTGTATTCAAATTTTCAAAAGAAATGTATAACTCAATAAAAAATACCCCAATAAGAAAGTGGGCAAAATGTATGAACTAACATTTCACCCAAGGTATATATGAATAAGTACATGAAAATGGCTATCATTAGTCATTGGGAAAATGTAAACTAAAATGACAATAAGGGACTATTTTATATCTGCTGCAATAAAAAATAAGATAGAAAATAACAAGCATTACTAAGGATGTGGAGAAATGGGAACTCTCATACATTGGTGGTAGGAGTGTAAGATGGTGCAGACACGGCCGGGCGCGGTGGCTCACGCCTGTAATCCCAGCACTTTGGGAGGCCGAGGCGGGGCGGATCATGAGTTCAGGAGATCAAGACCATCCTGGCTAACACAGTGAAACCCCATCTCTACTAAAAAAATACAAAAAATTAGCCGGGCGTTGTGGTGGGCGCCTGTAGTCCCAGCTACTCATGAGGCTGAGGCAGAAGAATGGCGTGAACCTGGGAGGTGGAGGTTGCAGTGAGCCGAGATCCTGCCACTGCACTCTAGCCTGGGCGACAGAGCGAGACTCTGTCTCAAAAATAAAAAAATAATAATAATAAAATAGATGGTGCAGACACTTTGGAAAATAGTTTGGCGGTTTCTCAAAAACTTAAATATAGGACTTCCATATGACCCAGCTATTCTGCTCCTAGGAATCTGCCCAAGAGAAATAAAAACAGGTCTACACAGAGACTCGCACATGAACGTTCTTAGAGGCATCATTTCTAAGAGCCTGAGACTGGACACAACGTAGCTTTGCATCAGCTGGACAGTGGATTGAGAAAATGTGATATAGCCATATGCTGGAATACTATTCAGCCATAAAAAAGCAAACTACTGACACATGCTACATCCTGTGTGAAACTCAAACTCATAATGCTAAGTAAGCGAAACCACACACACACAAATACATACCGTATGAATCCATTTATATGAAATGTTCACAAAGAGCGAATGTATAGAGAAAGTAGATTAGTGGTTAGCTGATGCTTGAAGTAGGATTAGAAGTAAACTCGAAATGGGTTTGAGGGATCTCCTTGGAAGCATGAAAATGTTAAAAAAGCAATATATGGTGAGGGTTGCTTTCCATGAATTTTGCTTATTTTACTCAGTAAAATAAGTAAAAAGTAATCACTTAAATACACTTGAAATTGGTGTATCTTTTTATACCATATGTCCCTCAATAAAGGTGTTAAAAAAAAAGTGACAATTGGGAGGCTGAGGCAGGAGGATGGCTTGATTCTAGAAGGTTGAAGCTGTAGTGAGCTCTGCTCTACCACTGCACTCCAGCCTCGGTGACAGACTAAGACCCTATCTCTAAAAAATACAAAAGAAACAAAAATAAAAATAGTGAAAAGGCACTGCCCATCACATTCAGACATTGGACCCTGTGTTGTCTTTAACTGCTACCAGAGGAAATCTTGTCCTTTCTTCCCAGGTACCCCCATGTAATGATCAAACAAATGACAACACCACATTCTGTATCCCTCATTACCTGTGTGCCCAAAATAAGCCAATAAGCTCATTCTCAAACTTTATGAAAAGGTGGCAGCGAAAAGAAAAAATGAAAAAAGCATGAGATTGGAAACAAGCATGTCCCATTACTAATGGGTGACCACCCTGACCTTGCTCCTGCTCCACCTACCACAAACGTTTCCTACAGGGTTGCAATCTATCAGGAAAGAGTAAGAACTTATGGTCGTTTGAAGAACTATGTTTCCTAATAGATTGCAACCCCACAGGCAAGGACCACCTCACATTCCGGGTTGAATCTTCCATGGTGCTTTTCTTCTACAGGATATTTAGTAAAAGACATGACTATGAGCAGAAGAAGGAAAGGGAATTCCAGAAGTGCCAAGGTGAGGAAAAAAACTAAAACAAGGAGAAAAGTTCAAGTTTAGGCGTCAAACTCAAGGATTCTTATGTGACAGAAAGGCATACATGTGAGAAGTAAGACATGGAATTGGATGTGGACCAAAGGGGAATGACTCCAGGGTTCCACACCTGGACCTTGGAGATAGTGTTATTTGCTGGAGCAGAGAGTTAGGGAAAGTAAAAAGCTCCTCAAAGACAATGTTCCACCTTTTAATTTTAATTCAGGAAATCCAAGCTCTAAGTCATAGAGTAAGAAAGAATAAGGCAGTAGATAAGATAATAAGTTGGAAATGAAGCCTGAAGATGTAGACTAGATAATTCTCATAGAAGTTAGAAGATTAAATGTCCCAATTTCAGATAGGTTCGTGACATAGTAATGACTTTGATGTTTCCTTGGAGAACCCGTTCTTGAATTTCTAACATCTTTCTGGATCTCTTTCATTTATTTCCTCCAAACCATGCCTGATATATGCATGCTCCTATTAGTCAATTACTTTATACTGTATCTGATTACAATTATCAGAACCTATAGGATTTTCTAATGATAATCTGGCAGACACAAAGTATAGTTGACTTTCATATTTCACCTCTCGTAGAAATCCTATGGCATTATTTAAAGCTCTGCTCTAGCTCTGAGCACAACCTGTTTGATATAATGGTCTGTCTTGCCTGATACACTGCAAGCTTCCAGAATGGAAGTGCTAGAGAGTAAACTTTTGTGTACCACCCCAAAAAATGCATCTGTGGAAATGTGGTGGTATTTGGAAGTGGACGCTTTGTGGAGCACTCAGGTTTAGATGAGGTGTTGGGGTTGGGGTCTCCATGATGGGATAAATGCCTTTATAAAAAGAAGAGACAGGCGATCTCTCTGTTTGCATGCATGTACCACAGAAAATCCATTTGAGGCCATAACCAGGAAGAGGGCTCTCACCAGCGCTCCACCAAACTGGAGTCCTGATCTCAGACTTCCAGCCTCCAGAACCAGGAGAAATCAATGTTTGTTGCTTAAGCCACACAACCTATGGTAATTTGTTACAGCAGCCTGAACTGACTAAGAAAAGAAAGATGGTGTCAGATTCAACTTTCTATCTCCACAGTGCCTACATCGTTCCTGGTCAACAGAACTTTCCCATGTCAGAAAGATAACTTGCTGTGTATGTAGGAACATCGTGGGTTCATTTATGGCTTCAAATGTTTTCTGGACTTATTGTTATTTTTGTTTGGCTATTGGGTAGGTTGTAAGAGGTAAAATACCATTTTTTCAATGACATTTTCAAATTTCTTATAAGATAATTATGACCAGAATTGGGAAATAAATAATATATGAGTTTTATCTCAAAAAAGACATGACTTACATAATAAAATAAATGAACTGATGAGGTTGGATGTTGAGTTGGGGGCGAGGGATGTGAAATGCTCAAGTAGGTGTATGCAGCTCACAATCAGAGACACAAGCTCAACTGGGAGACGGATCTGGGAGTCAGCAGATAATTGGAATTTGAAGCCACGTAAAGAGCAGATTGTTGGAGTGTGTGTCATAGGACCCTATGAAGAGGATCAAAGCTGGAAGCCTCTGAGACTGCCCACACTGAAGAAACTGGCAATGGAAGAGGAGGAGAGAAAAGATGAGATGATATGGGTGATGAGGTACGAGAAGACCCAGGAGGAATTCCTCTGAAGGAGATCAAGGGAGAGAAAACAATTCCAAGCAAGAGGTACGGATGGTCAGTGTCAAATACTGCACAAGTCATCTAGAATGCACACTGAAAATTCACTTTTATGTTTGAGAAAAAGGAGTTCAGAAGGAATGACTTATTGTCTGTTTCTGGATAAAGAGAAAAGACACTGGAGGATGGATGAAGAGGCCTCACGGTGGGCATGGGTTTGCTGAAGATCGTACCACAGCAAAAAAACCTCAGTGGAAGGATTTGGGAACTTTGCAGGCTAAGGACACAATATGAAGAAATGAAATGCAGCATAGTTGGGGAATTGAGGCTGCTGGTAAGGAGGCCCTAATGTGAAGAATATCTAGGAAGGAAGAGTCCCAGAGAGCTGAAGCCATCCCAATCAGACAAGTCTGCAGACACCATAACAGTCACCTCCACAGGAGGAGGGACAGCAAGCGTCATGGGATGCGGGCCGGTGAGGCCTGAGGTTGTCCCGACATGTGACATCAGAAGTGCAGAAATTGGGCCGTGGACTTAAGAATCAGCTCCATTGTAAAGAGAAAAGATCAAGCCATCTAAAGCAAGAAAGGAGATACAGCCTGGAAATGATAGCTGAGCTGCAGGAAAACCTTCTCAGTATATAAGCAAAAGAGGAGTGGAGGCTGATAAGAGTTGGTTGTGAAAAGGAAGATTTTTTAATTTTTTTTTTTGGTATTGTGGTTTTAATTTGAATTATCTCTACAAAAAAAAAAAAAAGTCCACCAGGGATCTGTTACCTAGACAGAAACCACCTGCAATCACTGAAGATGGGAAGATAAACTAGAACATGTGAGCAAATGGTGAAAGAAGATGTAGAAGCATAAGAATGCAATGTGAAAATGTGAGGGCGTATACTGCAACCTTCTGTAATGGGCAGGTCCGATAACATACTAAGGAGCTTTAAGTTTTCTAGGAACTTTCTAGGCTTTGTACTTGCTATACAGACTTCTAACTGTGGAAAATGCACAACCAGAGGCTAGTATAGGATGCTGTGCCTGCCCTCACAGGGGCAGAGGAAGGGTGAGGGCATTTTGTGGGAAACCTTGGTAGATGACTGGGTTTAAGAGACCACACAGGCAAAATGAGAATAATAGCCTATCATGTAGATGTTGGTTTGCTAACAGTAGTTCCTCAATGGGGAGGTAAGAGTGGAGGTGGGAAGTACAGTCTTGCATCCCATAAGGGCATTTTAGTTAAGGACAGACCATATATGTGTCAGTGGTCCCATGACATTGTAATGAAGCTGAAAAATGTCTTCCTATTGCCTGGTGACGTTGGAGCCCTCCTGACACTGTAGCACAATGCCTTACTCGCCTGTGTATAGCGATGCTGGTGAAAATAAATCTACTGTGCTGCCAGTCCTGTAAAAAGTCTAGCCCATACAATTATGTACAGTACATAATACTTAATAATAAAATTATTGATTATGTTACTGGTTTCTATATTTGCTGTACTCTACTTTTAATTATTATTTTAGATTATACTTCTTCTGCTTGTACAAAAAAATAGTTAATTGTAGAAGAGCCCCAGGCAGGTCCTTCAGGAGATATCCAGAGGAAAGCATTATTACCAGGGGGGTGACAGCCCATGTGTCTTACTGCTGGTGAAGACCTTCCAGTGGGACACGATGTGGAGGTGGAAGACAGTGATGCTGATGATCCTGAACCTGGTTAGGTCTAGGGGAATATGTGTATTTGCGTCTTCACTTTTAACAACAAAAGTTTAAAAATAAATAAATAATAATTTTAAAAAGATAAAAGAGCATATAGCTAAAGATACAAAGGAAAAATATTTTTGTACAGCTGTACAGAGTGTTTGTTTTCAGTTATGTTACTACAAAAAAGTCAAAAAGTTAAAATAATTGTAAAAGTTTGTAAATTTAGGAAGTTACAGTGAGCTGATTATTTTTAAAAGTGTATAAATTTAAAAAGTTACAGTAAACTAAGATTAATTTGTTATTACAGAAATGAAAATGTATTTGCATAGTTAATGCAGCCTAAGTGACAAGTGTTTCTAAAGTCGACAGTAGTGTACAGTGATGGCCCAGGACTTCACATTCATGCACGATTCACTCATCAAGAATAACTTCTAGCCCTGAAAGCTCCATTCATGTTAAGTAATGCATACAGGTGTACCATTTTTTAACTTGTATGCCATATTTTGACTGTACCTTGTGTGTGTTTAGATATGTTTAGATACACAAATACTGACCATCGTGTGACAATTGCTTACAGTATGCAGTTCAGTAACCTGCTGTACAGGTGAGTGGCCTCAGAGCAAATGGGCTATCCATATAGCCGTGTGCACCGTAGGGTGTGCCACCTGGGTGTGAGGAAGTACTCTATGATGTTTGCACAAGAATGTAGTCACTTAATAATACATTTATCAGAATGTTTCTCATCTTTAAGTGAGGCGTGAAAATGCTTCTCTTTGTCTAGGTAGTTTCAGTGTCTGCTGTAGAGAAAATAAAATAATAAATATGGAAATTAGGTAAAATCTAAGGAGAGAGACCGTTCAAAGGACAAGGGCTGAGCTAAATTATAAAAGATTCAATGGCACATTCAATGGCTCCAGCACCCCTGGGGGAAGCAACTGCAATGGAGGAAAGCTGTTGGCCAGTGTTGACAGGAACAGAGACTCTGCAAGTCACTGAGGCTATTTCTGGTTTTCACCCCCTTAGCAGATTTGGCTGGAAAGTCAGGTGAGAGATGTCAGGTTTGGCCATCCAGCTGTCATTCACTTTAACATTCAGCAAAACAACTCAGACTTCTGTGTTATTTTTAAAACCTGGGGAACAAATGATTACTCCTTTATATCTGATGCCGAAGACAACTTGATTAATTAGAAAGAAAGAGTTTAAACTCAAATTAACTTCGAAATCCAGCATTCTTTTTCCCTTTCAAAATAATGCCAGATGCAACAATGTCAAGGAGATCAGAAACAATGGAATGGGAAACAAGTTGTGAGAAGGCTGTTTTGATATTTGAAAATATTGCTTCTTATCATGAGTATTCATATGACTTTCTTTCTTCAAACAGTTATGAATCCTGACCTCCATCTAAAAGTGTATCACAAAACATTCTAATTATTCTTCGATATTTTCAAAGAACTCAAAGAGGTCAGATCTCATTTGTGGCTCTGTGAAAATTGCCTTGTGTTTTACCTTGCTTTCGTTTGAGGATGTTAATGTGACAATTCCAACATTAACAGGAAAAGAAAGTCGTCTTGATTTTCTCGATATATATTTTGCTTACATTATCTCTCACCTCTTTGTTTTCTACTATTTCAATGTCTTCTTACCTCTAATGTATAAGAGTGCACAAAAATAATGGCTCAGCGAATTTAGTCTTGTGGATAAGCAGGATACATTTACCTGCATTCTAGAATGAAGCCCGGATAATCATCAAATCCCAGCCTGCCATTCAATCCTCAACCTACCCGTGGAAAGATGACTTCAGCCAGTCCTGAGTAGTTGTGTCGTGTCAATCCTGCATCTCAAATACTAGCTGCTGGCTCTGGGCAGTTTGGGTTGGCTAATGTTGTCCCATTAGTATAAAATTTCACATTGGACATACACTTGAGAGGATGCTTTCTCTATAGAATGAGTCATTCTAAAGATTTCCAATACTGTGTCTACAGGAATTCTGAATGGTAATTGTTACCATTGACTCCAGTCCCAGTTGGTGGAAATCGCCCCAGGAGGCTGTCGCTTCCCCACATGTTCAGGCTGTGCTGGCCTGGAGGCGTACAGGAAAGGCAGTCAGAGAAGGGGAAGAGAAGAAAAACACCTGGAGTAGAGGCATTAACATCCGGGGATGCTGAATTTACACAGAACTGTTTACCTGTATCTGAAGTCAGTGAAACCAAAGGGATACGATGCAAGACATTGGGGTGTGCTTCAGTTTCACTTAATTTTTCTGAAATGTAATGATTCCTTCGTATCTGCTTAAGGGGGTTCTTATTTTTATTTCTTTTGGAAGCATTTAATTATGTCTTTGATTTTCATCTCATTTCTTAGTGCTTTGGCTTTTACTTCAACAACTTTAATTTTTAGATTAAACCTCCAATTACAATCTTCCGTATCAATCATATGTCTTCTTTTCATTTTATCTTTTTTGCTTCATATTTGAGAAAGTGTACCAAGTTTGTCCTCTACATCACTAATTCAATTTTCTGTAATTCTATTCTTAGAGTCTCCAGTGAAGATTTAAAATTCTCATATTTTTCTTTTATGTTTTCCTTAATAACACATCACACTTTTTTCCCATTACATCCCATCTATATATATATTTTTGAAACGGTGTCTTGCTGTTTCACCCAGGCTGGAGTGCAATGGGGTTATCTCAGCTCACTGCAGCCTTTGCCTCCTGGGCTCAAGCGATTCTCCTGCCTCAGCCTCTCGAGCAGCTGGGATTACAGGCGCCCACCACCACACCCAGCTAAGTTTTGTATTTTTAGTAGAGATGTCATTTCACCACATTGGTCAGCCTGGTCTCGAACTCCTGACCTTGTGATATGCCCAGCTCGGCCTCACAAAGTGCTGGGACTACAGGCATGAGCCACTGCACCTGGCCCCTATTGACTTTTCTTTCCTTAAGGCTTGATTCTCAATTTCAAAAAGCTCTGTTTTTGCTTCACATCGAGAATGACAAACACAAACACACTCTTCCACAAAAGAGGTTGATTCATTTATCAAGTCATGTTTATGTGTGTGAATCTCCTCTGGGCCTTAAGGATAATGTTCTTTTTCTATTTTGTTTTCTGATTTTTTTCAACAAATAAGATCTTTGCAAATTGCATATTTTTTATAGAAACAAAATGTTTGCTGTAGCACTACACAAAATGGCCAGAGATCATCAGTAATAAAATCTAGTGCTACATTATAGAAATACTTCTGTACATTATGTAATTTTAATACAATTAAATAATACATGCATATCCAAAATACAATTATAAAGTCTCTATAAATATGAGACATATTTATGGCATATTGTTAAGTGAAAATAAAAGGACCAAAAGAGAAAGACCCACGTTCTTGGAAATTCAGAAGATAAAAAAGACTTCTGCTTGCCTGGGGAAGAGTGGGTGTATCAGTATTATTTCTTTATATTTTTCTATTACATAGTTCATATTATATTTTTAGTATTTTTAAAAATAAATTTCTGAATGTCAAATATAAAGGTGTTTCAATTGCATAATCACAATTTTAGATTATTGCTGTGGGAATGATGACTGTGGAGAGGGAGCTTCTAGCTTGGATTCTTCAGACTTGAATTTAGCAATTTTTAATCTACTCTGACTCCAGGGAATTCACACGTGATCATTTGCTGCTTCTCCTTCACAATAATCCTCCTTACTTGCCAAAAAGAAAAGTAAACTGAATCTCTGGTCCAACGATGACTTTGTCTCAGAGGTGTTCAACTAATTATACAGCTAACAAAATTATTGTGATTTTGAGTGTCTCTGGTTTAGAGGAGTAGTAGCAAGATTAAGTACATCCATTCAAATAAAACATAACTGAAACTCCCCACTGGGTAACTGTTTCTACACTCGTGAAAAATACTGGAGTTGTTATCGATCTCCAAGATTCCTACAGTTTTGCCATTCTGTGAATCTAATTAGTCAATTTTTTATTACCTATAACTAAAAATGAATAATAGCATAAATATGAGAAGATACAACTGGATCAAAGTTTCAGAGGTTTGATAAAGTTCAGATAGGTAAATGGTTAAGAAAATACAGTGAATGCTTGAGATATAAATTACCATTTAAATGAAAGATTGTCTCAGTAAAGAAAATGCTACCTGTATTGTTTATATTTTACATAATCAAAACACTTTAAAAATAATTTCTAAATGTATATATGACAAAACTTGTAATTTCTTCTTTACATGATGTTCCTTCTTCCTAGTCTCATCAGTGGAGACAAAAAGGAAAACAAATGTTTTATTAACTGAATTTATTAATTAATAAATTATTTTTTCCATTGTAAATCACAACATAATAATGTTCACTTCTTTCCATAAATATTGCTTTCTTTCCTAAAAGACACATGCGTTTAAAATTTTATATATGGGATGGTTGAGTAACCCAAAAATGTTAGCGTTTGCAAATTTGAATAGTTTTTTTGTTTTGAACTTGACCCATAATTGCCATCACTGTTGTTTCAAATGACTCTCTCTTTCTTTCATTTCACCATATTGGGTGAAAACAAAAGGGAATGTAGAATGTATAAATCATTCTGTGAAGAATTCCTATCTCTGTCTTACATTTCCTACATTGTTACTATCTTGGTTTAGTTATATTTGAAACAAAGTTGAAAGGAATAAGTTTTTCAATTAAAGATAAAATTGTGTCTCTTATAAACAGGGCTCCCTTCTTCATAGTTCCTTATCATCACTGATTTAGGTTTGGAGAGGCAATGCATTTGTTTCTGTAAATAATTTCCAACCTGTGATACAACTGGAAGCAACTACAGTGTTCAGCTACTGAGAGCGTAATAGGAAGTAGTGATCTAACTATTAACTTCTTACAGAAACCTACTCCACTGTCTTCCAAAGAACAAACCTCCAACTGCTAATGCAGGTGAGCTCTCCTGCAGAAATAAATATTATTTATTGGAAGGGCCAACTGATAGATTATTTCCTAAACCCTTGTATATTGGCAGGTAATTCTATAAGCGGAAGCACGATGATTTGAGTAACTTCGACAATTAAAGATACATAAAAATAGAATTCTGAAGCATGAAGACCTATTCTTCCCATTTCATATTTTAATAGAAATCTATCTCATGTTGTCAGACATTCAAAACAAACTAACAAAAACCTCAAGCTACTTCTGAATTCTTTGTCTTGTTATTTAAAAAAAACCCAGTAATTAGTATAAAATGCATTTGAGATTCATCCAGGCTGTTGAGTGTATGAACAGCTCGTTTCTTTTTATCGTTGAATAGTATACCATGGTATGGGTACTCCACAGTTTGTTGATCAATTCTTCAGTTGAGGTACATTTGGATCTTTACAGTTTTGGCAATTATTAATATAATCACTATGCATGTACAGGTTTTTATGTAATAATAGGTTATCATTTCAGGCAGGCAAATACTGATGAGTAAGATTGCTAGGCCATATGATAAATACAATATATTGAACGTTATAAGAAACAGCCAAGTTCTACTCAAGAGGCTAAAAGATGTTCCTATTAGCAATCTATGTGAATTCCAATTACTCCACATTCTTGTCAGTACTTGGAACTGCCCATCATTTTAAAATTTTAATCATTCTATTATGTGTATAGTAGCATCTCACTTTGATTTCAATTTGCATTTCCCTAATGACTAATTGCGTTGAACATCTTTACATGTGTTTATTTTTCATCCATGTATCTTATATTGTGAAGTCTGTTCAAAACTTTTATGCATTTATTAGTTTGTTTTCTCTTTTTTTAAAAAAAAATATTTTCATGGGTTTCTGGGGAACAGGTGGTATTTGTTTACATGAGCAAGTTATTTAGTGTTGATTTGTGAGATTTTGGTGCACTCATCACCTGAGCAGTATACACTGAAACCGATTTGTAGTCTTTTAAACCTCACCCCCTTCCCACCCTTTCCCTTGGAGTCCCCAAAGACCATTGTATCATTCTTATACCTTCACATTCTCATAGCTTAGTTCCCACTTATGAGTGAGAACATACAATGTTTGGTTTTCCATTCTTGAGTTACTTCACTGAGTCTCCAATCCCATCCAGGTTGCTGTGAATGCCCTTAATTCATTCCTATTAATGCCTGAGTTGTATTCCATTGTATATATACCACATTTTCTTTATCTACTTGTTGATCGATGGGCATTTGTGCTCCTTCCACATTTTTGCAATTGTGAATTGTGCTTCTATAAACATGCATGTGCAAGTATCTTTTTCGTATGATGTCTTCTTTTCCTCTGGGTAGATGCCCAGTAGTGGGATTGCTGGGTCAAACGGTAGTTCTACTTTTGGTTTTTTAAGGAATCTCCACACTGTTTTCCACGGTGGTTGTACTAGTTTACATTCCCACCAGGAGTGTAGAAATGTTCCCTATTCACCAAATCCATGCCAACATCTATTATTTTTTGATTTTTTGATAATGGCTATTCTTGCAGGAGTAATGTGGTATTACATGGTAGTTTTGATTTGTATCTTCCTGATAATTAGTGATATTGAGCATTTTTTACATGTTTGTTGGCCATTTGAATATCTCCTTTTGAGAATTGTCTATTCATGTCCTTAGCCCACTTTTTGATGGCATCGTTTGTTTTTTTTTCTTGCTAATTTGTTTGAGTTGCTTGTAGGTTCTGGATATTAATCCTTTGTCAGATGTACAGATTGTGAATATTTTCTCCCACCCTGTGGATTGTCTGTTTATTCTGCTGTTTCTTTTGCCATGCAAAATCTCTTTAGTTTAATTAAGCCTCACCTATTTATCTTTGTTTTCATTGCATTTGCTTTTGGGTCCTTGGTCATGAAATCTTTGCCTAAGCCAATGTCTAGAAGGATTTTTCTGATGTTATCTTCTAGAATTTTTATGGTTTCAGGTCTTGGATTTAAGTCTTTGATCCATCTTGAGTTGAGTTTTGTATAAAGTGAGAGATGAGGATCCAGTTTCACTCTCCTACATCTGACTTGCTGGTTATGCCAGCACCATTTGTTGAATAGGATATCCTTTCCCCACTTTATGTTTTTGTTTGCTTTGTCAAAAATCAGTTGGCTGTAAGTGTTTAGGTTTATTTCTGGGTTCTCTATTCTGTTTCATTGGTCTATGTGCCTATTTTTACACCAGTACCATGCTGTTTTGAGGACCATAGCCTTATAGCATAGTTTAAAATCAGGTAATGTGATGCCTCCAGATTTGTTTCATCTTGCTTTTGCTATGTGAGCTCTTTTTTTGATTCCATATGAATTTTAGGATTGTTTTTTTCTGGTTCTGTGAGGCATCATAGTGGTATTTTGATGAAAATTGCATTGAATGTGTACATTGCTTTTGGCAGTATGTTCACTTTCTCATATCCATGAGCATGGATGTGTTTTCATTTGTTTGTGTTGTCTATGATTTCTTTCAGTAGTGTTTTGTAGTTTTCCTCACAAAGGTTTTTCACATCCTTGGTTAGGTATATTTCTAATTCTATATATATTTTGGCAGCTATTGTAAAAGGGGTTAAGTTCTTTATTTGATTCTCAGCTTGGTCACTGTTGGTGTATAGGAGAGCTACTGATTTGTGTTCATTAACTTTGTATCCAGAAGTTTTGCTGAATTATTTTATCAGTTCTAGGAGCTTTCTGGAAGAGTCTTTAGGATTTGCTAGGTATACAAACTTATCATCAGCAAACAGCAACAGTTTGACTTCCTCTTTACCAATTTGGATGCCCTTTATTTCTTTCTTTTGTCTGATTGCTCTGGCTAGGACTTCCAGTACTATGTTGAATAGAAGTGGTGAGAGTGGGTATCCCTGTATTGTTCCAGTTCTCAGAGGGAATGCTTTCAACTTTCCCTGGTCAGTATTGTGTTGGCTGTGTATTTATCATGGATGGCTTTTCTACATTGAGGTATGTTCCTTGTATGCCAATTTTGCTGAGGCTTTTAATCATAAAGTGATGCTGGATTTTGTCAAATGCTTTTTCTGTGTCTATTGAGATGATTATGTGATTTTTGTTTTTAATTCCATTTACATGGTGTATCACATTTATTGATTTGCGGATGTTAAACCATCCCTTGAATATTCTTTGTATATTGTGGATGCAAGTCTTTCGCAAAATGTGTGATTTAAAAATATTTTTCCAATGTATAGCTGCCTTATCTTTCTTTCAATACTATATTTTAAAGAGTAGATGTTCTTTCTTTTGATGAGATTCAATTTATCATTTTTTCTTTAATAGATGATTTTTTTGAATTTAATCTAAGTTCAAATCATAAGATTTCCTCCTATGTTCTCAACTAGAAATTTTGTAATTTTCAGTTTTGTATTTAGGTCTATGATCCTTATAGAGTTAATTTTTGTGTAGAGTGCAAGATATTGATTGTGGTTTCTTGTATTACATATAGAAATCTGATTGTTCCAGCATCATTTGTAAAGACTATCCCATCTCCACTGAATTGCCTTTGCACCTTAGATAAAAATCAACTGGGCATATACGCATGATTATATATGTGGATTCTATTCATGTCCATTGATCTAGATGTCCACTCTTTCTGTAATGTCAGTCTTGAGTGGTGTAGCTTTACATCAAATCTGGGCATCAATGTGAGTCCTCCTAACTTTGTTTTTTCTTTTTCAATTTGTATTATGGGTTCTAGTTACTTTGTCTTTCTATATAAATTGATTGGAATTGTGTTGAATCTATAGACAAATTGAGAGAGTTGACAACATCGAATCTTCCATTCTATGACAAAGTATATATTTCCATTTAATTAGATTGTACATTATTTATTACATCAATATTTGAAACAAAATTTTAGCATACAGATTTTGCATAAATTTTTAAAGTTTTGTAACTACCTCAAGCTTATTGTACTATTGTAAATGATACCATTTTTCAAATCAATTTTCATTTTTTGTGGCTAACATATTTAGATACCATTAGTTTTTCTATACTGGCATTGTACTCTCATGCCTTTCCAAACTTAGTATTAATTCTGTTTAAAGATTCTTTTGGATTCTCTTTGTAACCAATTCATGTCATCTACAAAAAAAAAAAAAAAAAAAAAAAGAAAAAGAAAATGGCTGGGCACAGTGTCTCATGCCTGTAATTCCAACACTTTGGGAGGCCAAGGCGGCAGATCCCTTGAGCTCAGGAGTTTGAGACCAGCCTGGGCAATATGGCGAAAATGTGTCCCTACAGAAAATACAAAAATTAGCTAGGCATGGTGGTGCAGGCACCTGTAGTCCCAGCTACTTGGAAGGCTGAGGTGGGAGGATTACTTGAGCCCAGGAAACCGAGGCTGCAGCAAGTAGAGATTGTGCTACTGCACTCCAGCCTGAGCGAGACCTTGTCTCAAAAAATAATAATAATAATAATAATAATGTTTTATTTATTTTCAGTTTTCTTGTCTTTTTTCTGTATTGTGTTTATTGAACTTGCTAAGATCTCTAGTATAATGTTTAATAGTAGTAGCATGATTTTTTTGATGATGTCTTATATTTGGTTGAGGAAGTTTATTTCTATATCTAATTTGCTGACTTTTGAAAGAATCATGAATGCATTTTGAATTTTATCAAAGACTGTTTCTTCATGTATCAATATAATTTCTTTTTTTTACACTTTTTAGTTTTTTCATGATGAATTGTACAGATTGATTTTATTTTTAAATATTGAACCAGCCTTGCATTCTCAGACTAATCTCTACTTGATCATGATGCATTCTATTTTGGTGGATTCAATTTGTTAGTATTCTGTAAGGACATTTGTGTTTATATATATCTGTCATATGTATATATATATCATATATATATCAGTCATATATATATCTCACACATATATGTAAGTGATTTTATGCTATGTATCTTTTTTTCTTCTGATATCTTTTTCTGGTTTCAATGTTAGTTTAATGCTAGCTTCATCAAATAAGTTGGGAAGTGGTCTTTTACTCATATTTTGAAAGAATTTGTGTAGAATTACTATAAATTGTTAAGGAGAATTTTTGTAGAATTTGCTAGTGAATATATTTATGTTTTGAATTTTCTTTTGTGGAAGGTTTTTACTACAAATTCCACTTACTTAGTAGAATTAAGATTATTCAAGTTATCTAATTTTTTACTGAGTAATTCTGGTCTCATTATGTCTTTCAAGGGAATTTTTTTCATTTTTTAATATCATTTTATAGCTTTATATTAAAAGTTCTGAATATGAGTGGCTCTCTGCCTGCTCCCTTTCACCACCTTAATATCTTAAGTGAATAATGCATTCTCATCAAGAGGGTTAAAACTAATCATCAGCTGATGGCAGTTCACTTTTTGAATTACAAAAAACTTTCCCCCTCAGGCCATTTATTTTACTCATAAGCAACCTAACTATATTATAGATTCTAAAATATTATCTCCAAAGCCCCTAGAAGATGCATACATTTAGTCCAAAAGGTTTAATAACTCCCCAAGCTGATATTTCCCTTTCTCCTTTGATATTTCCATAATTTGGAGTGCCCATTGTCTGTTTTATTTCATATTGGGACAAGCTGAACAGGGACTAAGGTGAAGGCAGAGAGGCATTCAGGGCAAATCGTTTAAGGAGGTACTACAAATACAAGGTCAACACTTGCAGGAAACTAAGAAAGAGTGTCTCCTTAAAATTTGTGTCCTAGGTGTCTTATCTAGTTCTGGCCTTTTTAATGTGAATTCTTTTTTTTTTTTTTTTTGAGATGAAGTCTGGCTCTGTCACCCAGGCTAGAGTGCACTGGTGCGATCTCGCCTGACTGCAACCTCCACCTCCTGGGTTCAAGGGATTCTCCTGCCTCAGCCTCCCAAGTAGCTGGGATTACAGGCATGCACCACCACACCTGGCTAATTTTTGTATTTTTAGTGGAGACAGGGTTTCACCATGTTGGCCAGGCTGGTCTTGAACTCCTGACCTGAGGTGATCCACCCACCTCGGCCTCCCAAAGTGCTGTGATTACAGGCATCAACCACTGCACCCAGCTTGAATTCTTTGTGTCCTCTAAAAACTCAAAATTATTTTTTAGTATTTTACCAGAAACATGGGAGGCATCAATTTAAAAGGAATGCACAGAAGACACTTCATCACTACTTCCAACCAAGCAGTAATGGGCTGGAGATCCTAGATTAAGCTACTGGCAGATCTGGTGTCTGGCGAGGGCTCTGCTCCTGGTTTGCAGATGGGTGTCCTCTCATTATGCCCTCGCATGGTTGAGAGAAAAATCATCGTTCTTCTGTTTCTTCTTAGAAGGGCACTAATTTTATTCATGAGCTCCATCCTCATGACCTAATCACAGCCTAAAGGCCTCACCTCCTAATACTATTATATTGGGGGTTTAGATTGCAACGTATGTATTTGGGGGGGTCGGCACAAACATTCAGCTCATAACATCTTGTGAATCACTTTTAATTGCAATGTTGGAACATTGCTTTAAAATGATGCAGGTCTTATTTCCATATATGCATTAGGCAGTTCTTGCATTGCTATAAAGAAATACAGGAAACTGGGTAATTTATAAATAAA